>NC_000002.12:199913860-200216890 GCF_000001405.40 Homo sapiens | reverse complement strand
ACTCCATGAAAGTCTCTTTCTCTCACATCTTTCCTGCCTCTGGTCAAAGTATCCACCATTCTTCTAGACATGTGGATGTGAAAACTCAGAGCTGCCTTTCATGCTTCCTCTTATTTTCTCCTCTGTCTCTAGCATCTTATCAACTGTTCTCTTCAATCATCTCTTCAGTGCATTTATCTACTCATCCCATAACCACCACCCTAGTGCAGGTCTTTACCAGCTCATGCATGTATTACTGCCCAGTGTATATTTGGCATCTCTAATTCTAGGCTTTCACATTTCCCATTCCTTGGGCCAGATTCTTCTCCTTGAATGCCGCATTTATTATGCTCCCTGCCAGCTTCAAAACCTTCAAAAACTTCCCCATTTTGTACTGTATCTCAAGTAAACTCCTTCGATGGACCTAAAGGACTTCCCTAAACCAGCCACTCTCATCAGGGCGTGCAATTTTCTTGGTAATACTGGGACTATCTCCTCTTTGTCCTGAGCATTTATTCTCATATTCGCAGCATTTTCCATGCTGCCCAATGTCTGGAAGGTCCTTGCTTGTTATTGATATTTTTAAGGCATTTTTCCTCAAGAGTTTCTGTTATAAAATATTTTCTTGTCCTTTAAAACTTTGACATAAAAACTGCTGAAAGAACCAAGGGTGCTGTCATGCAAGGAAATGTTGAAGAATGATCCGAACAGAAGAGAACAGCATAGTGGTTAGGTAGAGTCCATAAGAGCCCATGGAAGGAGGTTGGGCAGATGCTATTGTCCTCATTTCCTAGGTCAGTTGAGGCTCAGGGAATCTGATTATTTATTTATGGTAACAAAGCTATCCAACATCTAAAGAAGGCCTAAGCCCTACATATCCCTCTGAACCCAGAAAGGGTTCCATACCATAGCAGAGTTAGACACTGTGTATACAGTCAATTGATAGAAGTCTCCTGAAGATAGATGTCTGTTCAAAATGAGAAACTACCTTCTAACAATTAAAGTTATGTAAGAGCAGAATGAGTAACCTTATTTTAAAAATGAGTTTTGCATGTATTAGAAGCAAAGGTGAGATAATGGAAAGAGTTTTTATGTTTGGAAAGGAGAAGATATAACCTTTAAGATCCTTTTGAAGGATAAAGTTCTGTGATTGCCAGCTTGTTTGTAAATGCTGCTTTTACCTGAGAGTAAAAGCTCAATAAAAGTGGGGAAGGGAGGGAAGAGGGATGTGAGGGAACTAATGTTTATTTAATAAGTATTACAAGTGACATCCTAAGGGATTTACATTTTTATTTAATCCTTACAGCAACCCAGTGGAATAGGTTTTTATTATCAGCATTCTAAATGCACACACAAAAAAATCAAGGTTAAGAGAGGCTAATAAATTTGCCCAAGACAACAAAACTGATAAGTGAATAAAATAGAATTCAAGCCAAATAGAGGGAGGAAGGCGAATGAAGTCGCTCCAACTCCCTACATGTGGGGTCTCCAAGGCTGACTGCTTGTCTGAACCATAAGGGTCAGGTACCCTCTCCAAGGGTCATTTTCTTTTTACCACATCATGTTGAGCCCGGTGGAGCTTGAAAAAAAAAAGCTTATTATTTGATTGCCTAATAAGGAATCAAATGAATAGACAAAGAACAAAAAAAAAATGAGAATTAAGCCAATGTATTGGCAGGTCAGAATTTTATTGCTTTTGACCAAAGTTTGCTGTGTGACTTATAGAGCAAGAGTAGATGCCAAGGGATATTTAACATAACATTTAAAATTCAATGAGAACAAACTATAGTCATAGGAGCTATTTAGAATCATTGTCCTAAAGATATTTCTGACCAAACATGGAGGGAACTAAAGTAGCTTTAGTTCTAAGTGCAATGTAACTTGAGCCTGCAGTAGGTAACATATATCTGCTTTAAAGAGCCAGCAACTCACCTTTTCTGGTATCATTGAGGACTAGATAGTTCTTAAATTACTTTCAAGAAACTCTGGTTTGAGTACAGATATGTGGAGCAAATTAAGAGATAATGTCAAACATCTGCTCTTCAAGTATCTCCACTTATTTATGTTCACCTGTCTTGAGACATCCACCGGCATCTGTCTTCAGCCCTGGCGATGGCTGCTTTGGATGTGGAGCGCTGGAGGTGTGTGCGTGGCTGGGTGGTTTGGTCTACCATGATGACTTTTCCACATGGAAAATACGGTATCCTAAATAATCAGCCTGAGGGACGTGGTGTTTTGATTGAAAATCCACTCAAATAAACTGATGTATTATTGAAAAAAAATAGCCTGTGTAAGATTTGAAATAATTTTGTATTTTAAAAACAATGCTTATGATTCTCTGACTGGATACCATCAGCTGATAGTTCTCATAGGAAACCCAAGCTGGGGGGAGTTTTATTATGGTCATATGAGGGTGAGAGCTCCTGGAGCAGGACAGAATTTCTGCCTGTGTTATGGTATTGGAGCAGAAAGAAAGGTGGCCAATGTAAAAACTTTGCAAGTAAAATGTTCTGTATGGTTTTTAAGTTTGAATTCCATGTATCATTCCAGGTTCAAGCCCTTGTTGCATAAAGTCTATAAGCCACTCAGGATGAATTTTAGCACAGAATCGATTATGTGGTTAACTTTAAACAAACTAGCATTTTAGTGCTGACTGAGGGATTTTAGATTTTACTCTTTAGTGTAGGCTCCCAGGAGTGTGTGTGTGTGTGTGTGTGTGTGTGTGTGTGTGTGTGTTAAAGCCTAGATTTTTAAATTCCTAACAGTGAATATTTAAATATCCTTCATTCTCTGTCTGATAGTAAATACCAGACTGGTTTCCTAAATGATCACTTTGGCTTGTGACTTCTGAAATAGTCATGAGTTTAGAAAGCAGTCAATCAGGGTCTATGAAATTAAAATAAAATAGGCCATATAGTCAGCAGACAGAAGAATAAAGAATCTTTGAAATCTAATTGAGGAAGGGAAACAATTGGCTCAAAGACATCCAAATTACCTCATCAAGCTAGAAATCAAGTCTGGGGACTGAGGATATAGTAGATGCCAAATGTCTTCTGTTAACTGCTGCAGACCCTCTCTCCATTCCCTTTCTGCCATAATCTGTGCCTTGGGAGTCAGACCTGCACTGAACATGCTAACAGGCTCCTTTGACCCCTGACTTCCATTTGGTTTAGCTTAACGGGAAGTACTAGAAGAACCTGGAGGAAGAAGGTATTTATTCCACTGGCTCCTTCCCTGTGGGTTCTCTGAAAACAAATGGAAGGGCTCCGCTCCTGTCAGGAGGCCCTCCCCACACATCCCGCCCTGTCTCACTTTCCCCTTTTCCTTGCCCCTTCAGGTCTAGGGGTGGTGAGATCCCTAGATCCTAGCCTGGGTGCTGGGCCCTGCACTACTCCAGTTACTACTGCTACTATTGCTACTATTGTTAATAGCCCAATTATTAAACTCTTCTCAAATTATCTTCTTTTTTTAATTTTAGTATGTCTTCTGCTTTCTGCGTAGCTTTAACCCTTGAAACATAAAAATAAACAGAAAGAAAGAAAGGAAAGAGGAAGGGAGCAAGGGAAAGAAAGGAAGAGAGGAGAAAAAAGAATGAAACCAGAGCTGTGTGCTTTGTGGTGTCTCTGCAAAGTTACTGAATCAAAGTAAGAGACATCTGTTAAAGTGAGTCCCTTGGGCAACTCCTGAGGGCAGAGTCAGAGGCTATGGATACGCCACTGAGGGAGCATCATGGTATTTCAGGGGTGCCTTCATACTTGATTGCACTAAATAACAGAGAGGTAAACATTGGTCACTTGATAATTGTCCTCCTCTGAGACTAGCTTGTTCTGGCAGTGGATGCTATTGGATTCTTCGCAGGCTCTGTGCTCGTTCAATATGTGTTTGTAACACATCTTGGAGCTTTATTGGGCAAGAGGTGCCCGGGTTTGTTTTTTGCCCTTTTAATTATTTGGACAACAGTTTTTTTCTTTTCTGGCTAAATTGAGTGTTCAGGATTTGAACTCAAAAGGGTAGAGACTCACTTAATAATTCTGAAGGCAATACATGCTTCTGGAAGGTCTTGCCTAAGGGAAAAGATCTTTTTGTTTCCTTCTTGTTTGAATAGAAGAGGTAAATTCAATGTATCCATTAAAACACAGATAAATCCAAGGGAAAAAATATAGTTAATAAGCTATCTACTTGGATGTCACATTTTAGTAACAACATATTTCATAGATGTATTTTTGGCAAACATTTTACAGGCAATTTACAGAATGATTTAGGCTATAGGTAATCAGGTCTTTAAAGGATTCAAGAAATTATTTAGGGTCCATTTGGTGCAGAGACTTGGACCAGGCAAAAGGGACCCAGTGTTGATCAAGATAGACAAGATTCTTGCTCTCAAAGGGCTTGCACGCTGGCTGACACATAGATGGCTGAGAAAAATCCATTGCTCCCACATGAAATTTGTAGTGACTAGCAGACACTTTTATTATATTTCAGCCTCAAGTTCAACAAGCCTTATAGGATTCATCAAATACAGATTTTTTTCATCATTCATCTTTGTGGGTGGCTTCAACTTTTTTTTCTTGCTTTCTGAACTTTATATTTTTGCCATTAAGTACTTTCATCTTTGAAATGGTTACTGTATCAAAAACAACTTCACAGAAACCCAGCTGTACAGTGTACATGAAATACTTGTTACACCTCTCAGGACTGCAAGTTTAGGGCACAGGGATGTTTACTTCCTTTTTTCCTGGGTGAATGCTTGGTTTGTGAATAGTTTCCAGTTACAATACCAGACAGCCAAGTATCCAGGAAGGACAATAACTTTCCAGGTTTGCAATGAACAAGATGCGCCCCAAGCAATATCTGGTAGGAATCATCCTGCATAGCTTTCTTCTATTATCTTTCTCTGACCTAAGAGGCATTCTGCTTCGCCTTCAAAAGGACTTTTATGAGCCAGATGTTCAACCCATATTGTATTTTGTGACTTTGGAAAGAAATCTGAGCACCTGGACAAGTGCTAGGGGGAGTGAAATGTTTAAAGAATGGTAAGAAAACGCCCAACTCACACAGTCCATTATAAGCACGAGGCACTAGAGTGTGATGAGTCCTTCCATTGTTAGATCAAACAAAGCAGCAACAACTTCCTTTGTTTTCATCACTGATAAGATAGTTCTATACAGCTGCAGGTTTTTAAAAGATCACAAAGAAACTATACAGTTTATGAAAAGTGCTATATTACGTGCGATATCTGTGATTTTAAAAAAGCAAGATTTCATTATCTTAAAGGCACTGAAAATACATCTGTTCTGAAAATTCATCTAATTTAGGAGTGAATCACTGTCTAGATTAAGTCCTAGCGTTGGTCTGCACAATTCAATCTGACTCTTCTGTAAATATAACTAAACGCAATGGTCTCCATCAGCTGAAAGATAGAATCTTAGGCAGACAAAGAGTTTTGTCCATTCTACACTTCTCTTTTCTTTCCCCTTCATGCCCTATTCCCTGTAACTCTTTCTATCCATTAAAAGTCGAGTTTAGGAAAAATCTTTCAGACTGAAATGTACGTGACTGGGTAGTTAAGAGCTCTCATAGACTGTGTGCACTTCCACTGGATGCAAAGAAGTCAATCTCCAGTAGGGATTTACGGTGTCAAGGAGTAAAGGGAGGAGATGGGAGCAGTGGTCCTTCCTGATTGTCTTGCTGCCTCACCAGTAAGATAGATGAGGTGCCAACCAGCACCACTCATGTGCATGGGTGGTGGTGACAATGGGGTAAGGTGAACGCTGCTGCCAGTGTCATATATGCTAATTTTTAAAAAAGAATGCTTCCAGATCTGCCTGGGATGGAACACCAAGTCTTATAGCTCACATAGGTGTTTTAGAAGCAAGAAAAATGGAGTTGAAAACATCCCAACTTTGCTTCCTGTATCTTGGCTACCTCTGCGTGTGTGTATATCACCATGCAGCAAGTCTGGCTCATTTGTTTCTCCCATTGAGTAGAAAGGAATGTCTGTCCCTGGATGTCAGAGAAGGAGATGCCAAGAGACAAAAGATGGAGACAGATCACATATAGTTATGAACATGGGCTCTAGAGCCAGACTGCATGGGTTCAAATCTTGACTCTTTAGGTTTGTGACTTTGGACAAGTTAGTTAACTTTTCTGTGCTTTGGCTTCATAACCTATAAAATGAAGAAAATACTAGTACTGGCCTCATATGTGTGTTGAGAATTATTTACATGAAGTGCTTAGAATATTGCCTAGGACATAGGAAGTGTTGTGTATTAATAATAATTTTTAAATGATTATAATATTGTTCTTAATGGGGACCTCTGAGATTCCAGAGCCCACTATTTTAACGGCTCTTTCTCTAGGACCCGTACCCCCAGCCCCAGTCTACCTTGGCTGTATTCTCCTGGCAACACTCCAGCGCTGATCCCAGAGCTCATAATTTGAGCTACTGAGTGAATTCTGCTAAATAAAACATCACAGTGCAGCAGATTTGTGTCACCACACATTTGTGAGCACCAGTTTCAACAGGGCTCCTAACACCACCAGAAATTCTGTTTCTCTGCCTCATTCTCCATAAAAACTAGTATTTCTTTTTTTTTCCTTTTAGAAGAAGCCAATTTTATCAAACATTTCAAATAAATTTGTGTTGTGGTTAAATTCCAAGGTCAAGTCAATAATACAGAGTGACTTAGAGAAAATATTCTAGACTAGAATTCATGATTTCTTTAAGTGACAAAAAGTTGATGTGTTAAACAAAAAATAGCTAAATATAATTATATGTAGGCTGGGCACAGTGGCTCAGGTCTGTAGTCCCAGCACTTCGGGAGGCTGAGGTGGGTAGATAGCTTGAGTCCAGGAGTTTGAAACCAGCCTGGGCAACATGGAAAATCCCTGTCTCTACAAATCATACAAAAGTTAGTTGGGCATTGTGGTGTGCACCTGTAGTCCCAGCTACTCAGGAGGCTGAGGCGGGAGGATCACCTGAGCCCAGGAGGTCGAGGCTGCAGTGAGCTGTGATTGCAACACTGTACTCCAGCCTGGGTGTCGGAGTGAGACCCTGTCTCAAAAAAAAAAAAAAAAAGAATAAATAAATATGATTATATGCAAATTACATACATGCTTATACTATAATCTATTGTGGCCAAGCAATAATAGGCTTCAAAGGTTTAACAAAAATTAGTAGATGGAGATTGAAATTGGCAATGAAGAACTAGTATTTCCAGCCTTGCCTGGTCCCTTCCAGTCTTTAGCTTCCCATCTTCTTCCCTTATTCTCAGTGGATAATCTTGCTTCCCACCTCATAAGAAAAGAGATGCGAGAATGGAATTATAATTATGCTGCTTCCAAATCCACAAACGCCTGTTCTCCCTTTAGAATGCTGGGAAGGATTCCCTTCTCTCCCACTGCTGCGGGGATCCCTCCATCGGTTATTCTCCTTCTTTCTTATATTTTCAGTATGTCCTTCTCCAGTGGTTTCTTTTCCCATCTGCATCTAGATAAGCTGGAGTCTCACTACATACACACACAAACACACACACACGCACACACACGCACACACATACACGCACACACATACACACATACACATACACAGACACATACACACATACACACACGTGCACACATACGTGCACACACAGACACACGTGCACACACACAGATACACACGCGTGCACGCAGACACACATACGCGCAAGCACGCAGACATGCACACACATACACACACGCACACAGACGTGCACGTACACACATACGGGCATGCACACAGACACACACGCATACACGCGCACACACACACATATACACACATACACATACACAGACACACATATACACACACACATACACACACGCACACACACGTGCACATACACACATACGTGCACACACAGACACACGTGCACACACACAGATACAGACACGCGTGCACACAGACACACACACATACGCACAAGCACACAGACACGCACACACATAGGCACACGCACACAGACATGCACACACACACTGGCTTGCACACAGACACACACACACATACATGCATGCACACATACACACACGTGCACACACATACACACATACACACACATACACATACACACACACACGCCTTTCCTTAATACCAGGGCCCCTTGCAGCCAACGACCAAGCAATCTCCCCCTTTCTATTCATAACCAAACTTTTTTTCAAGTCTACTTTTGTATTCTTTAATGCAATTAAAAAAATTTATTATTAATATTATTTTTGTTTGACAAGTCATAATTGTAGACATGTATAGCATACAACATGATGTTTTGATATATGTATACAAGGTGACATGATTAAATCTAGCGAATTAACATATCCATCATCTTGCTTCCCTACTATTTCTTATGGTGAGACATTTGAAATTTACTCTCTTAATCTCTTAGTTATTTTGAAATATAAACTACATTATTATTGATAATAGTTGTGCAGTAGATCTCAAAACCTTTTTCTCCTGTCTTTGTATCCTTTGATCCACAATTCATTCCCTCCCTCTCCATGCCCCACTCCAGGCTCTGGTAACTGCTGTTCTACTCTCTGCTTCTATGAGTTTACCCTTATTAGATTCCAAATGTAAGTGAGATCATGTGTTATTTTTCTGGACCTGGCTTATTTCATTTAGCATAATTTCTTCCAGATTCATCCATGTTGTCACAATTGACAGGATCTCCTCCTTTTTAAAGGCTAAATAGTATCCCATTGTGTATACTTACCACATTTTTTTAAATTTACTTTTTATTTCGCTAGGTTTGGGGGTTACGGGTGGTGTTTTGTTACATGAATAAGTTCTTTAGTGGTGATTTCTGAGATTTTGGTGTGCTCATCGCTTGAGCAGTGTACATAGTACCCAATGTGTAGTCTTTTAGAAAAAATTATTTTGGGAGGCTGAGGTGGGCTGATCAGGAGGTCAGGAGTTCAAGACCAGCCTGGTCAACATGGCGAAACCCCGTCTCTACTAAAGATACAAAAAATTAACCTGGTATGGTGGTGCATGCCTGTAATCCCAGCTACTTGGGAGGCTGAGGCAGGAGAATTGCTTGAACCCGAGAGGCAGCGGTTGCAGTGAGCCGAGGTCACGCCATTGCACTCCAGCCTGGGTGACAGGGTGAAACTCCATCTCAAAAAATATATATTATATTCCTTTTTTTTTATTTCCATAGGTTTTTGTGGAACAGGTGGTATTTGGTTACTTGAGTAAGTTCTTTAGTGGTGATTTCTGAGATTTTGGTGCACCATCACCCGAGCAGTGTACACAGTACCCAATGTGTAGTCTTTTATCCCTTACCCCCTTCTGACCCTTTCCCCTGAGTGTCCAAAGTCCAATGCATCATTCTTATGCCTTTGCATCCTCATAACTTAGCTCCCACATATGAGTGAGAACATACAATGTTTGGTTTTCCATTTCTCAGTTACATCACTTAGAATAATAGTCCAATTTCATCCAGGTTGCTGTGAATGTCATTATTAATATTTCATTTCTTTTTCATGGCTGAGTGGTATTTCATGGTACATATACATATATATATAATCACATTTTCATTTTTTTTGACTTTCCAACTGTATATCAATCAGGCACTTTCAATAGATTTTTATCATTTATTAAAATTTTTTTTGACTTTCCAATTGTATATCAATCAGGCACTTTCAATAGATTTTTATCATTTATTAAACTTTTTTTGACTTTCCAATTGTATATCAGTCAGGCACTTTCAATAGATTTTTTATCATTTATTAAAATTTTTTTGACTTTCCAATTGTATATCAATCAGGCACTTTCAATAGATTTTTATCATTTATTAAAATTTGGCTCTATGTTATAATGTCTGGTGGCTTTTTTTTGTTATACTTTAAGTTCTGGGATACATATGCAGAACATGCAGGTTTGTTACATAGGTATACACGTGCCATGGTGGTTTGCTGCACCCATCAACCCATCATCTACATTAGGTATTTCTCCTAATGCTATCCCTCCCCTAGACCCCCACCACCCAACAGGCTGCAGTGTGTGATGTTCCCCTCCCTGTGTCCATGTGTTCTCATTGTTCAACTCCCACTACAAATAAGAACATGCAGGGTTTGGTTTTCTGTTCCTGTGTTAGTTCGCTGAGAATGATGGTTTCCAGCTTCATTCATGTCCCTGCAAAGGACATGAACTCATCATTTTTTATTGCTGCATAGTATTCCATCGTGTATATGTGCCACATTTTCTTTATCCAGTCTATCATTGATGGGCATTTGGGTTGGTTCCAAGTCTTTGCTATTGTGTGCTATTGTGACTAGTGTCACAATAAACATACATGTGCATGAGTCTTTATAGTAGGATGATTTATAATCCTTTGGGTATATACACAGTAATGGGATTGCTGGGTCAACTGGTATTTCTAGTTCCAGATCCTTGAGGAATCGCCATAGTTTTCCACAATGGTTGAACTAATCTATACTCCCACCAACACTGTAAAAGTGTTCCTGTTTCTCCACATCCTCTCCAGCATCTGTTGTTTCCCTACTTTTTAATGATCACCATTCTAAATGGCATGATCTCGTATTTCACTGTGGTTTTGATTTGCTTTTCTCTAATGACCACTGATGATGAGATTTTTTTCATATGTTTGTTGGCTGCATAAATGTCTTCTTTTGAGAAGTATCTGTTCATATCCTTTGCCCGCTTTTTGATGGGGTTGTTTTTTTCTTGTAAATTTGTTTAAGTTCCTTGTAGATTCTGGATTTAGTCCTTTGTTAGATAGATAGATGGCAAAAATGTTCTCCCATTCTGTAGGTTGCCTGTCCACTCTGAGGATAGTTTCTTTTGCTGTGTGGAAGCTCCTTAGTTTAATTAGATCCCATTTGTCAATTTTGGCTTTTGTTGCCATTGCATTTGTTGTTTTAGTCATGAAGTCTTTGCCCATGTCTATGTCCTAAATGGTATTGCCTAGGATTTCTTCTAGGGTTTTTATGGTTTTAGGCCTTACATTTAAGTCTTTAATCCATCTTGAGTTAATTTTTGTATAAGGTGTAAGGAAGGGGTACAATTTCAGTTTTCTGCATATGGCTAGCCAGTTTTCCCAACACCATTTATTAAATAGGGAATCCTTTTCCTATTGCTTGTTTTTGTCAGGTTTGTCAAAGATCAGATGGTTGTAGATGTGTGACATTGTTTCTGAGGACTCTGTTCTGTTCCATTGGTCTATATATCTGTTTTGGTACCAGTACCATGCTGTTTTGGTTATTGTAGCCTTGTAGTATAGTTTGAAGTCAAGTAGCATGATGCCTCCAGCTTTGTTCTTTTTGCTTAAGATTGTCTTGGCTATACAGGCTCTTTCTTGGTTCCACATGAAATTTAAAGTTGTTTTTTCTAATTCTGTGAACAAAGTCAATGGTATCTTAATGGGGATAGCATTGAATCTATAAATTACTTTAGGCAGTATGGCCATTTTCACAATATTGATTCTTCCTATCCATGAGCATGGAATGTTTTTCCATTTGTTTGTGTCCTCTCTTATTTCCTTGAGCAGTAGTTTGTAGTTCTCCTTGAAGAGGTCCTTCACATACCTTGTACTTTGTATTCCTAGGTATTTTATTCTCTTTGTAGCAATTATGAATGGGAGTTCACTCATAATTTGGCTCTCTGTTTGTCAATTATTGGTGTATAGGAATGCTTGTGATTTTTGCACATTGATTTTGTATCCTGAGACTTTGCTGAAGTTGCTTATCAGCTTAAGGAGATTTGGGGATGAGATATATATATTTCTAAATATACAATCATGTCATCAGCAAACAGAGACAATTTGACTTCCTCTCTCCCTATTTGAATACCCTTTATTTCTTTCTCTTGCCTGATTGCCCTGACCAGAACTTCCAATACTATGTTGAATAGGAGTGGTGAGAGAGGGCATCCTTGTCTGTGCTGGTTTTCAAAGGGAATGCTTCCAGCTTTTGTCCATTCAGTATGATATTGGCTGTGGGTTTGTCGTAAATAGCTCTTATTATTTTGAGATACGTTCCATCAATGCCCAGTTTATTGAGAGTTTTTAGCATAAAAGGTTGTCGAATTTTATCAAAGGCCTTTTCTGCATCTACTGAGATAATCATGTGGTTTTTGTCATTGGTTCTGTTTATATGATGGATTATGTTTATTGATTTGTGTGTGTTGAACCAGTCTTGAAGCCCAGGGATGAAGCCAACTTGATTGTGGTGGATAAGCTTTTTGATGTGCTGCTGGATTTGGTTTGCCAGTAATTATTTGAGGATTTTTGTGTCAATGTTCATCAGTGATATTGGCCTGAAATTTTCTTTTTTTCTTGTGTCTCTGCCAGGTTTTGTTATCAGGATGATGCTGGCCTTATAAAATGAGTTAGGGAGGATTCCTTCTTTTTCTATTGTTTGCAATAATTTCAGAAGGAATGGTACCAGCTCCTCTTTGTACCTCTGGTAGAATTTGGCTGTGAACCCATCTGGTTCTGGGCTTTTTTTTTTGGTTGGTAAGCTATTAAATACTGCCTCAATTTCAGAACTTGTTATTAGTCTATTCAGGAATTTGACTTCTTCCTGGTTTAGTCTTGAGAGGGTGTATATGTCCTGGAATTTATCCGTTTCTTCTAAATTTTCTAGTTTATTTGCATAGAGGTGTTTATAGTATTCTCTGATGGTAGTTTGTATTTCTGTGGGATCAGTGCTGATATCCCCTTTATCATTTTTTATTGTGTCTATTTGATTCATCTCTCTTCTTTATTAGTCTGGCTAATTTACTTTTAAATTTTTTTTTTCAATTTCATGTAGTTCTGCTCTGATCTTTGTTCTTTTTTTCTGGTTGGTTTGGTTTTGGATTGTTCTTGTGTCTCCAGTTCTGTGAGGTGTTGTTACCAGTGGAAGGTGTCCAGGTTCTCGGCATCTTGAACAAAGAACTGGACAAAATGCACAAACAAAGTGAGGAAAGCAAAAGCAGAAATTTATTGAAAATGAAAATACACTCCACAGTGTGGGAGCCGGCCTGAGCATAGGGGCTCAAAAGCCCCGGTTACAGAATTTTCCAGGGTTTCAATACTCTAGAGGTTTCCCATTGGTTACTTGGTGTATGCTCTATGTAAATAAAGAGAATGAAGTGAAGTTACAAAGTCATTTACTTGGAATGTGCCCTATGTAAATGGAGAGGATGTTACTTGGTGTGTGTGATCCATGTAAATGCAGAGGATGAATGTGAAGTTACAAAGTGTAAATGGAGAAGATGTTACTTGGTGTGTGTGGTCTATGTAAATGGAGAGGGTGAATGTAAAGTTAGAAAGTGTAAATGGTGTAAATGGAGACAATGAAGTGAAGTTACAAAGCCATTCACATTCCTGTCATTGCTGAAGCGCTTCCATTTGATTTAGTTCTAGGAAGTCAGCATGGATCAACCTTACGTTCCCTGTCTCCAGGCCTTACTCTCCTGCCTCAGTGTGACCTTAGATTGTCTGTTTGTGCTCTTTCAGACTTTTTGGTGTAGGCATTTAATGCTATAATTTTTCCTCTTAGCACCACTTTTGCTGTATTCCAGAGGTTTTGATAGGTTGTGTCACTATCATCATTGAGTTCAAAGTTCAAACTTTTAAATTTCCATCTTGATTTTATTGTTGACGCAATGATCATTCTGGAGCAGGTTATTTAATTTGCACGTATGTGCATGGTTTCGAGGGTTCCTTTTTGAGTTAATTTCTAATTTTATTCCACTGTGGTCTGAGAGAGTACTTGATATAATTTCAACTTCCTTAAATTTACTGAGACTTGTTTTGTGCCCTATTATATGGTCTGTCTTGGAGAAGGCTGCATGTATTGATGAATAGAGTATATATTCTGCAGTTGTTGTGTAGAATGTTCTGTAAATATCTGTTAAGTCCATTTGTTGGAGGGTATAGTTTAGGTCCGTTGTTTCTTTGTTGACTTGCTCTCTCAACGACCTGTCTAGTGCTGTCAGTGGGGTATTCAAGTCACCCACTATTACTGTGCTGCCATCTATTTCATTTTTTGGTCTAGTAATAATTGTTCTATAAATTTGAGATCTCCAATATTAGGTGCATATATATTTAGGATTGTGATATTTTCCTGTTGGACTAGTCCTTTTATTGCTATATAATATTCCTCTTTTTTTAACTGCTGCTGCTTTAATGTTTGTTTTGTCTGATATAAGAACAGCTATTCCTGCTCACTTTTCATGTCCATTTGCATGGAATATGTCAAGGATGAGCCCAAAAGCTCACCAACCAAGCAAGTAATTACTCTGAACCCCCTTGGGCACTCTCTAATTGGATGTCCTGAGTCCTCCCAATTCTTAGTCCTTTAATACCTGTTTTTCTCCTTCTCTTATTCAGACCTTGTGTCTTCATTTTAGTTTCTCAATTCATACAAAACCACATCCAGGCAATCACCAATCATTCTATATGACAAATGCTCCTTTTAACAACCCCACAATATCGCCCCTTACCACAAAATCTTCCTTCAGCTTAATCTCTCCCACTCTAGGTTACCACGCTGCCCTAATCCTGCTTGAAGCAGCCCTGAGAAACATCGCCCACTATCTCTCCATACCACTCCCAAAAAATTTTCACCACCCCAACACTTCAACTATTTTGTTTTATTTTTCTTAGTAATATAAGACGGCAGGAATGTCAGGCCTCTGAGCCCAAGCTAAGCCATCATATCTCCCGTGACCTGCAGGTATATATCCAGATGGCCTGAAGTAACTGAAGAATCACAAAAGAAGCGAAAATGGCTGGTTCCTGCCTTAACTGATGACATTACCTTGTGAAATTCCTTCTCCTGGCTCAGAGGCTCCCCCACTGAGCACCTTGTGACCCCTGCCCCTGCCTGCCGGAGAACTCCCCCCTTTGACTGTAATTTTCCACTACCTAACCAAATCCTATAAAATGGCCCCACCCCTATCTCCTTTCACTGACTCTCTTTTTGGACACAGCCTGTCTGCACCCAGGTGAAATAAACAGCCTTGTTGCTCACACAAAGCCTGTTTGGTGGTCTCTTCACATGGACTCGTGTGATACAATATCCTTTTCCACCCCTTTACTTTAAGTTTATGTGAGTCCTTATGTGTTAGGTGACTCTCCTGAAGACAGCAGAAACTTGGTTGGTGAATATTTATCCATTCTGCCATTCTGTATCTTTTAAGTGGAGCATTTAGGCCATTGACATCCAACATTAATATTGAGATGTGAGGTACTATTCTACTCATCATGCCATTTATTGCCTGAATACCTTGTTTTTATTTTTTTCATTGTGTTATATAGGTCCTGTGAGATTTATGCTTTAAGGAGGTTCCATTTTGATGTATTTTGAGGATTTGTTTCAAGATTTAGAGCTCCTTTTAGCAGTTCTTGTAGTGCCAGTTTGGTGGTGGTGAATTGTCTCAGAATTTGTTTGTCTGGAAAAAACTGTATCTTTCCTTCATTTTTGAGGCTTAGTTTCACTGGATACAAAATTCTTGGCTGATAATTGTTTTGTTTAAGGAGGTTAAAACTAGAACCTCAAACCCTCCTAGTTTGTAGGGTTTCTGCTGAGAAATCTGTTGTTAGTCTGATAGGTTTTCATTTATAGGTTACATGACGCTTTTGCCTCACAGCTCTTAAGATTCTTTCCTTTATCTTGACTTTAGATAACCTGAAGACTATGTGCCTAGGCAATGATCTTTTTGTGATGAATCTCTTTGAGCTTCTTGTATTCTGATTTCTAGATCCCAGCAAGGCTGTGGAAGGTTTCCGTTATTATTCCCTCAATATGTTTTCCAGATTTTAGATTTCTCTTCTTCCTTGGGAACACCAATTATTCTTAGGTTTGAACACTTAACATAGTCCGAAACTTCTTAACTTCTTGGAGGCTTTGTTCATTTGTTTTTGTTTTTGCTTTTGTTTTTGAGATGGGGTTTTGCTCTTGCCACCCAGGCTGGAGTGCAATGGCACAATTTTGGCTCACTGAAACCTCCACCTCTCGGGTTCAAGCAATTCTCTTGCCTCAGCCTCCCAAGTAGCTGGGATTACAGGTGCCTACCACTGCGCCCAGCTAATTTTTGTATTTTTAGTAGAGATAGGGTTTCACCATGTTAGCCAGGCTCATCTTGAACTCCTGACCTCAGGTGACCCATCCACTTTGGCCTCCCAAAGTGTCAGGATTACAGGTGTGAGCGACTGCACCTGGCCTGTTTATTTTTTTTTAAATTCTTTTTTCTTTGTCCTTGATGGATTGAGTTAATTCAAAAGCCTTGTCTTCAAGATTGAAAGTTCTTTCTTCTGCTTGTTGGATTCTATCACTGAGATTTTCCAGTGCATTTTGCATTTCTCTAAGTGTGTCCTTGATTTCCAGAAGTTGCAAAGTTTTTTTATTTATGCCATCTACTTCACTGAAGGTTTTTCTTTTCATATCCTGTATCATGTTTTTGATTTCAAGTTGTACTTCATCTTTCTGTGGTGCCTCCTTGATTAGCTTAATAATTGGTCTTCTGAATTATTTTTCTGCCAATTCAGAAAGAGCCTGAGAGCCGAACTGCTGTGATTGGTTTTGCTCTTCTGGGTCTGGCCCCAGCACAGCTACTGGGCTCCTGGCTGGTACTGGTGAGTGTCTGCAAAGAGTCCTGTGGTGTGATCCATCTTCAGGTCTTTCAGCTGTGGATACCAGCACCTGCTCCAGTGGAGGAAGCAGGGAAGTGAAGTGGACTCTGTGAGGGTCTTTGGTTGTATTTTTTTTCAGTGCACTGGTTTTGTGTTGGTTGGCCTCCAGCCAGGAGGTGGCGCTTTCAAGAGTGCATCAACTGTGGTACTACAGGCAGGAAGCAAAGTTGCCCTAGGGTGGCCTGGTTACATATTCAGGTTTCTGAGGCGGTGGGCAGGGCCATAGAGCTCCCAAGAGATTATGTCCTTTGTCTTCAACAACCAGGGTGGGTAGAGAAAGACCACCAGGCTGGAGCAGGGATACATGTGTCTGAGCTCAGACTCTCCTTGGGTGGGGCATGCTGCAGCTGCTGTAGGGGCTGGGGGCGTGGCTCCCAGGCCAATGGAGTTTTGTTCCCAGGGGGATTATGGCTGCCTCTGCTGAGTCACACAGGTTGCCAGGGAAGTGGGGTAAAGCTGGCAGTCACCGGCCTCACCCTGCTGCCACACAGCCTGTAGTCCTAAGGGCTGGTCTCACTCCCACTGTGCTCCTCCAACTGCATCAAGTCCAGGCAGCCAGTGACCAGGCCTGAGAACTTGCCCCAGACCATGAGCCTCCCTGCTGAGAAAGCAAGCAGACTCACAGCTTTTTGGCATCTGGGGAGCCTGCAGAGGTGATCCAATTCCTTCAAAGGGTCTGTGGATTCTCTTGGCTTTCCAGGTATGTTGCTGTGGTAGTTCATGGAGCAAAAGTTCACAATATGAGTCTCCACATGCTGCTCTGTCTGTCCAAGAGGGAGCTGCAAGCTAGTCCTGCCTCCTATCTGCCATCTTAATCCTGTACCATATTTTCTTTATCCATTCATCTACTTACAGACCTTTAGGTTGGTTTCATATCTTGGCTATTGTGAACAATGCTGCAATGTTCACAGGAGTGCAGAGAGTCCTTTGACACATTGATTTCAGTTCCTTTGGGTATATATCCAAAAGTGGGATTACTGCATTGCATAGTAGTTCTGCTTTTAGTTTTCTGAGGAACCTCCATACTGCTTACCAAAGTGGCTGTACCAATTTACATTCCCACCAACAGTATATAAGGGTTCCCTTTTTGTACTTCCTTTTCAATACTTATCTCGAGCTTTTTGGTAAAAGCCATTCGAAAAGCTGTGATGTCTCATTGTGGTTTTAACTTGCATTTCCCTAATGATTAGTGGTGCTGAGAATTTTTCATATACCTATTACCATTTGTATGTCTTCTTTTGAAAATTGGTCAGTCAGGTCCTTTAGCCAATTTTCAGCTGGCTTATTTATTTTCTTGCTGTTGAGTTGTTTGGCTTCCTTATATATTTTGGGTATTAACTTCTTCTTAGATGTATGGTTTGTAAATATTTTCCCTCATTCTGTGGGTTGTCTCTTCACTCTTTTAATTGTTCTCTTTGCTGTGCGGGAACTTGTTAGCTTGACGCCATCAATGTGTCTACTTTTACTTTTGTTCCCTGTACATTTGGAATCCTATCCAAAAAATCACTGCCCGGACCAATGTAGTGGAGCTTTCCCCCTGGGTTTTCTTCTGGAAGTTTTAAAGTTTCAGGTCTTAGATTTAAGTCTTTAATCCATATTGAGCTGACTTTTGTATATGGTGTAAGGTTCTAATATCAAGATAAAGGTCTAATATCATTCTTCTGTATGTGGATATCTAGTTTTTCAACAACATTTATTGAAGATATTTTCCTTGCGCCATTGTGTTTTTTTTTTTGGCACTTTTGTCAAAAATCAGGCTGGGTGTGCTGGCTCACACCTGCAATCTCAGCACTTTGGGAGGCCAAGGCTAGCGGATCACCTGAGGTCAGGAGTTCGAGACCAGCCTGGCCAACATGGTGAAAACCAGTCTCTACTAAAAATACAAAATTAGCCAGGCATGGTGGTGCATGCCTATAATCCCAGCTAATTGGGAGGCTGAGGCAGAATTGCTTGAACCCGGGAGGTGGAGGTTGCAGTGAGCCGAAATCATGCCACTGTACTCCAGCCTGGGTGACAAGAGTGAAACTGTCAAAAAAAAAAAAAGCCAAAAGAAAAAAAAAATCGACTGTAAATTTTTGGGTTTATTTCTGGGCTTTCTATCCTGATCAATGTGTCTGTTCTTACACAGTTTCATGCTGTTTTGATTATAATCCCTTTATAGGATATTTTGAAATCAAGGAATGTAATGCCTCCAGCTTCGTTCTTTTTGCTCAAGGTTATTTTGGCTATTTGGCATCTCACAATCAAACTTTTTAAAGAATTGTCTACATTTGCTGTTACCATTTCTACACTAAGGATAAGAATATGCGATATCCTTGAACCGCCAGGCTACTGAAAATTATCTTGCCCAAATTCTTGTTGTGAAATCTTAAGGACATTTTTCAGTTGTTGCTTTGCTCTATTTTTTCAAAAATGTTTTTCTCTTTTCTTTTAGCTACAGTTACCTGATTTTTCTTTTATATCTTTGACTGCTTCTTCTCACACATCATTACAATCTTTCCTTTTCTACTCATTCCTTAAATATTAGTAGCCCTAAGAAATCTTTTCTTGGCAGTCTGATATTCTTCCTCTAAACTCTATAGACAATGTCCCCTACTTTCAGCTATATGCTGATGGCACCAAAAGCTAAATCTCTAATGCAACCCTCCTCCTAAGTTCATTGCCCATATAGCAATTGCCTGTTACACGTCTCCACTTGGATGTCTTTCTGGCACCATAAATTTAGCATATCAAGGCAAAACAAATGAGCATTTCCCCTAAACCACTACACACACACACACACACACACACACACTCGCACACACACACACACACACACACACACACACAGAGTACCAGAGTTGACTTTCTCAGGGAATGGAACCATCATTCACCCAGTGCCCAAACCAGAACCCTGGGGATGTTATCTTTAAATCCTCCATCTCCTTTGTTCTCTACTTCATATCAATTACTTTTGATCTTTCTTCCATCTCCAAAATGTCTCTTAAATCCATTCCCTTGATTCAGTTCTTTCTGTTCTACCTGGCCTTTATTTCTCGCCTGAATTACAGCCACTGCTTCACACTTGGTCTCCCATTTTATGTTCTATACGCTAACCTTGGAACATCTTTAAATATTACAACCTCCTTGAGTCTCTTGCTTAAAATCCTTGACGAATTTTCCATTGCCTCTAGGGTTAGTACAAAAAGGGCTTTGCTTGGGGTTTTCCAGGCTCTGGCCCCTGCCAGTGTCTCTAGCCTCCTCTCACCACTTCCCCTTGAGCTCTGTCCTATAGGCATAAGAACTTCCTTGGGCTTTGCAGACACAGCTTGCCATGCTCATATGTGGCCTTCCCAGGTGCTGTTCCTCCTGCTTTGAACACTGTCTCTTAGCCTATGAATTTTTTTCTGGCATATTTTTTAATCTTTCAGGTGTCTAACCACTAGACTAAACGTTTTTTTGAGTACAGGGACCATTCCCCTCCTCTGCTACCCACATCTGCACCACCTTTAGCATAATGCCTGACATATAGGAGGTACTCAGTGCATATTGGTTGAAAAAGAAATGGATAAACAAATGTAAGAATTGTGGGAATTCATCTTTTCAATTGTCTCTGATATCTCAGATCTTATCAGGAGTCCCATCCATGCCTCTATCCCATCTCAAAATTCAACTTCTCTACCCATTTCCTATGACTTCCCATATTTTTTATTTTATCTTTTTATTTCTTATAGTCCAGAGACTGCAAATGACTTGTCTATGGAACAAATACAGCAGGTGAATTTTGTTTCACCTGCATAATATTTTAAATTTTGAATTAGTTGCCAACATTGAAAATGCAGGAGGTTTTCACTTTTCACAGAAGCAGGACAAAAATTCTAAACTTTAAATAAAACCACAAAAGATCCTGAATAGCTAAAGCAATCTTAAGCAAAAAGAACAAAGCTGAAGACATCACACTACCTGGCTTCAAAATTTACTACAAAGTTATAGTAACCACATCAGCATTGTTCTGGCATAAAACAGACAGACACACAGACCAATGGAACTGAATATAGAACCAGATATAAACCCAGCCATTCATAGCCAACTCATCTTCAGTAAGGACACCCAGAACATACAATGGGAAAAAGATAGTCTTTTCACTAAATGGTGCTGGGTGAGGCCGGACAAGGTGGCTCATGCATGTAATCCCAGCATTTTGGGAGGCTGAGGCTGGCGGATTACCTGAGGTCAGGAGTTAGAGACCAGCATGGCCAACATGGTGAAACTTCCTCTCTGCTAAAAATACAAAAATTAGCCACACGTGGTGGTGCACGCCTGTAATCCCAACTACCTGGGAGGCTGAGACAGGAAAATAGCTTGAAGCTGGGAGGCGGAGGTTGCAGTGAGCCGAGATCGCACCACGGCACTCCAGCCTGGGCAACAGAGTGAGAATCTGTGTCAAAAAAAAAAAAAAAAAAAGAAAGAAAGGAATGTTTTTAAAAATTCAGGAAGTTTTTTACATAAATATCCAGCTTCTCTTGAACGAACAAGAAAAACATCAAAGATCTCACTACACTTACCAGCATTCCATAAGCAGTTGGAGTTGAGTAAAAGACACGTAGTTTCCAGTTTACCTCGTCACACCAGACACCCTTCATCACTAGATTTCTTTGTAGTGCTTGCTGTACCTGTAAGCATCTAATTTGCAACACCTGGTACAGATTTGCTCCTCAACCGTCGATTCATCAGGCAGTATATTCAATCTAAGAAACATTTATGGAGCTCCCAAACATGCACAGAATTGCATAGCATTTCTGTGCTGGCTCCCAGACAATGGGGTCAATATTGATATCATCACGCTGCCCAGTGTGGATCCTCTGCTGTCTATGTGCATTGCCTACTGTAGGGCAGGAGTGAGCTCAGAGATGTGCTTCACAGATGTCTCCTCCATGGACTACAGACAGCGACAGAGACCCTAGCTACAGCACTTAAATGTCCAGCTTCCATAAGCGTCCCACAGCCATCCCACCATCCAGACCATCAGCCCACCCTGGGTCCTGCACATAAGTAGTGCGCATCTCTGCCTCTTCTGAGAACCTCCAAACCACCATCCTCCTTCAGTGTGCAGGAAGCTGCTGCCTGGACTTGAGCCAGACGCCCAATTTAACCCAGGACACTAGCCCTGGTTCCTCCAGTGCTGGCATAATCTGGGTGGCCAGGAACAAAGGAAGGGAAATCCAAACCTTTCAGAGATATGATCCTGGCATCCTGCTAGTATACATTTTACTCCTCCCTGGTTAACTCATTGTAGCAAAACAGTAACAAAATAAGACGCCAGTCAGCACTTTCCTCAACTCTCATCATGTTATATTGATTATTTCAGTTTCTTTGTATTATCTTCCTCAGTGGTCTTCGAGTTTCCCGAGGATAAGCCATCTTTTACTCATGATATCTACCCCCAGTACCTAGCATAGGTTCTTCCATATCACATTTGCTAAGTAAATATTACTTCAATAAATGAATATATTATAGGTCAATGTTCTGATGTTCTGAGTCTCTTACAAGTAAGTGGTTAAGACTTAGGAGAACACAAACCCTAATGCAGCTATTTTCAAAGACCCCTTTTCAAGAAGAGTACAACACTGTAGAAATCCAAGGAACTCCAGAGACAAGCAGTTCAATTTATTCTGTTCAACGTAAATCCCCCTTCCAACTTATTAGTGATAACTGGAGATGACATTTCTGAGTAATCATTTCTTTTTCAGTGAGTCAGGGCCGGGATAGTTTCAAAGCTATAATCCTTACTTAGCTGCACTGATTTCTGTCATTAAAGATTATCCTTGAAATAGTGAATGAATGCACATTTCTTAACCTGGGGCTAAAATGCATCTGAAAGTCCAGCCATTCTTTGTTCGCTGTGGATGAAAGTTCACATTTCTCTGTAACACAAGTTACATGAACAGGTAAATTAAAACAAGTTTTGCACTGTGATTTTCCATTAATCACGATTATCAATTCATGAATTCCTGATAAGCCTGTTTGGTTAAATCTGATCTTTCACCTCCATGTTTAGAAGTTGAATTAAGGATAATTGCATGCATTATACCACTTGTGACAGTATTTGAGCTGATTAGCTTGTAGAGACTGATTAGATGAAGGCTATAGTCGTATAAAAGTGTGCATTATAATAGGCTATGTAGATGAGCTTGTAGTGATATCGTATATGACATGAAACTGAAAGAACAGATTTTTATTCAAATTAGAGACTCTCTTAATTGTACTCCACAAGCGTCACGGTACATGACAGTCACTGAATGACTATGTAAATTTAGCCCCACATTTTCATCAACTACTCATCATGGCTTTCCTGCTCTCTGCTGAAGAAAAAGAAAAAGCATAAATAGAAAGTCCTGGCAGGTGGGATAAAAATGCAAAACAAAGAACACAGCACAAAACATACTAAAGTGTGAATCCCTACAACATGACACGCACTGTAGCATTTCATTCCATCTATTGCCAAGCCTTATGAGACATTACTGATTTTGATAAAGGTCTTAGAGAGACTCCAGACTGTCCCACAATACATAAAGACTCTTGCCTCATCCTCACACCTCCTATTCCCATGAGCTTTCCTTCTTAGTATCTTTCGATTCTGTGGTGATATCTTGCTTGGCTTTGGTGCTCTAGTTTGCTTTATGTTTTTCCTGTTGACCTGTTTATCGTTGATAATTTCATCATAGTTGCTGCTGGCAGCCTCCAGGTTTGTGTATCCTGCTTGGTTTCTGCGTGTAGCAATTACCTGATATAATCTGGGCTTCTAATATTCCTGGAGAGCATAATGCATCAGCAATAGCTATTCTGAAAAGTAATAACATAAACAGGAATGTTTTCTACCCCCATCTTTTCTAGACAAGCCTTCCATTTAGTGGAATATTTTAAAATATCCCATCTTTAGCAGACAAGATAAAGCAAAATGTGATATTCTGGTGTGATGGTGACAGAGGACTCTTGAATTATCTCAATCTAGCCAATTCAGGGCATTTACAGAAGTTGTTGTAGGAAATGTGATTTTCTTGGAGAAGCATTGTGAAGACAACTTGCAGAAAAATAAATAAATAGATAAATAAAAAACACAAAACAAAAAACCACCAAATTTTACAGAAAGATGGCCTAATAAAAACATAAACCTAGCTTTCTTTTTTGATCCCAGATACTTATTATTGAGTTGTTTTTTCTAAGAACATACATTTTCTGACTTGTATCTTTTCTAGTACGACTTAATTGAAAACATTCTAAATATATGCAGCTTAATAAAAACATTTGGTGGGCAGGTCAAAAAGCTTGGTTATCATATGACCTTCCTACATATTTGATCGTTCTACAGGAATCATCTATGGGCTGGGTATATAGACTAGATCAAGAGGAGTACAATTTTAGGTTTAACTTGACCCTTGGTTTAGCCTGTATTATGGAAGGACCTCCAGTTCTTCCATATGGAGATGCCCTCATCTCCGCAGACACCTGCCTTCCCATTTATGAAACAACAATGAAATTTACCACGTGTGTTAGGCAGAATAATGCCCCCCTCAGGATATGTATGGAGTAATCCCAGGACCTGCAGATATGTTACTTTACATGACAAAGGAGACTTTGCAGATGTGATGAAGAGTATGGATCTGGAGATGAGGAGATTATTGGGGTGAGCCTTTCCAAATGGCGTAAAGAGATGAGATGAGCCTTTCCAAATGGCGTAAAGAGGAAAAATTCAAAGCATGAGAGGGACTCCACCTGCCAGTTGCTGGCTTTAAAGATGGAAGAAAGGGGCTGTGAGCCCAGAAATGTGGCAGTCTCCAGAATGGCCCTTGGCTGGGAGCCTGCAAATAAACCAGGACTTCAGTCCTACAACTGCAATGAACTGAGTTTTGCGCATAACACCGATAAGCAAGGAAGTAGATTCTTCCCCACAGCCTCCAGAAAGCAAAGCAGCATATTGACACTGTGGGTTTTAGCCCAGTGAAACCCATACAGGTCTTCTGACCTACAGAGCTACAAGATAATATGTTTGTGTTGTTTAAACTACTAAATTGGAATTATTTATCGCAGCAGCAGTAAGAAACTAACACAGCATGTGATGGGCAGATAGCATCATTATGGGGGATGAGGAAGGGGTCAGTCTTTTTTGTTTTCTTCCCTAAACTCTGCCAGATACAGAGTATTCTGGGGTTGCTCACTCAGCTACCCCTACCTTTCTGAAGAGAGTTCTGGGTCAGCTCCATCTTTTGAAACTTTGTGAGGTGGAATGAAATAAGAGAAGAGGGAAAAAGGAGAGTTAGGATAGACCAAAGCCTCAGAGGAGGCTCTTGCACAAAGCTGTTAATGAAGGGAGGTACTAAATTCCCTATGGGGCTGAGTAGGCTAAGGGTCGGCAAGTGCTCAGGGAGCTGTATGGAAATGTGGAGGTAGGAGAGGCTGTCTAGAGAGTGGCAGGACGCAAATCTAATGGGCTGAAAGGAGTTGGTGTGGAGGGAGGGGAGATAGGAGAGAAGGAGAGGGAAGAGGGCCCAGGAGATACAGAATTTTTAAGAGTTGTTAAGGATTCTGTGTTCATATTCCGTAACTATATTTTTCAGAGATATAGGCAAAGATTGGATATTTTTATTTAGACTATACTTCTTCAAAAACAATTCCATTCTGGACTGAGCCAAGGGTCTACGATGAACACATGATAAGGACAAGAGAAATAACTGAACTGAAAATGAATTAAATATTCAGACAAAAGAAAATATGTAAAATCTAGATCAAGCTGGCACTTTCTTGTCACTTTTCTCAAGAGTCTATGTATAGATTTAGATAGATTGGTAGGTGGATAGGATAACTAAGACTAACTACTTTATAATAAGGTTCTTTTTCTATGCCAGTAGCTAAGCCTCCTTGGACAGAACATTTTTATTTCACTAACTAAAACTCCAGCTTAAACTGATGTTTGCTCAACATTAAATAGGATTATAGTTAGACCTAGGTTCAAATTATAGCTCCCTCTGTTCCTAACTATCTGACATTAAGGGTGAAATTACCCAGTCTTTCTGAGTTCCGGTTTCCTCACCTCTAAAATGGGGGTAATAACATTCATCTTTCAATGTCATTGTGAGAATTAGATACACTGTCTAAAAAGTGTCTTGCAGAGTCCTTGTTACATGGTAAGCATTTAATAAAAAGCAGCTACTGTTATGATCAGGAGCCTGGAGGATATAATTGTCATAATTTAATCCAAGATATGAAAGAGGACAAGTGGATGACAGTTGGTAAAACTTAGT
The DNA here is from genome assembly GCF_000001405.40 of Homo sapiens. NCBI lineage: Eukaryota > Metazoa > Chordata > Mammalia > Primates > Hominidae > Homo > Homo sapiens. Next base: position 200,190,966 of record NC_000002.12, on the reverse strand, counting down.
AGCAATTTTCCTTGGAATTGTTGACATAAATAAATGCATGAGTCCTTGATTATACATTTTCCAACAACTTCAATTAATTGTGGTTTCATTTCTGAAACTCTCTCTTCAACTCCAGGACTTGCACAAGTGAAAAACACTTAGCATCAAATTTAGAGTTAAAAAAAAAAAGCAATATAGAATCCAAGTGTTTGCTCCTCAGCATGTTATAATCATAACTAACCCCATGCCCTTACTTGTAATCAAACTTTCTTTCCTTGATTTCCCCTTTATTTATAAGAATGTAGATTAAAGCTCAGGCTGCAACACAGACCTTGGCCAAAATTGGGAAGTGTTAAAAATTGATATTTGTCAGTTTTCCCTTTAGTTTGATACTTAATCAAATCTCCAAGGCCAGTCTTCAAGCTGTTGTTTAATGCTTGGGGTATCTGCCACTACCTCTGCACTCTGCCCATCTGTCTCTCCTCCTTTCAGAGTCCAGGAAATTCTTCTGTTGAAGTCCATTTCTTTTGAATATTGGTGAACAGACACCATCTACTCTTGTTTTAGTTGCTTTCCCTAGTTCAATGCATAGATGACATATTAGTTAGCTATAACCTACCATCTACTAACAACTTCAAAATCTCAAGGGCTTACAACTAAAATAACTGTCTTCATATTCACCAGTCTGCAAGTAGACTGAAGTGCAGTTTTTATGGGCTGGGAGGTTTTTTTAAGGCTGCAGGTCTGTTGGGCTTAGCTGCAGGCTGTTGACTAACTCCATGTCTGCTCCCAATGTATTTTCATCCTTCCTGGACTCGTGACCACCCAGGGAATGTCCTCGTGGTGAAGGATTGGTGCACAAGCCAAAACACAAAAGCATGTTTCAAGTCTCTGCTCACAACATTTACTAGCATTCCATTTACCAAGTCAAGTCACATGGTCAAGCCCAACATCAATGGCATAAGGAAGAATGCAAAGTTACATGGAAAAAGGCATGGGAGTATAAGGTGAAACCACAGGGAATTGCTGATATTTGACCATTTTTACTTAATCAAAAATGGAAATTTTATATAGCCTGACCTTATATTCCTATTACCCAAGGAAATGAAGAACTAGATAATCTTCATTTAATCCAATCTACCACAGATGGCTTCCATTTAACACACTGACTTTCACAACCAATATATTAATTTTTTAAATGTTAAAACCTTAATATCTTTGATCGGATTATAATATACCTACCTGTGACTTTGTGGCCTCTATCATTTTAAAAAATATACAATTTAGTAGTTGTTAGTATATTCATGTAGTTGTGCAATCATCACCAAATCTAATTTCAGAACAATTTTATCATTCCAAAAAGAAACCTGTACCTGTTGGCAGTCATTCTATGTTTCCCCTCACCCTAGTCCCTGGAAACCAATAATCTTTTTCTGTCTCTAAGCACTTGCCTGTTCTGGACATTTCATACAAATAAAATCATACAAAATGACATTTTGTGACAGGTTTCTTTCACTTAGCATAAGGCTTCCAGGTTCATTTATGTTATAGCACGATCAGTACTTCAATCCTTTTTATGGTCATGTAATAGCCCATTGTATGCATATACCACATGGTTTTTTTTTTTAGTTTTTTTTTTTTTACCGTTTGATGGATGTTTGTGTTGATTCCACTTTTTTGGCTATTATGAATAATGCTGCCATAAACGTGTGCGTACATGCTTTTGTGGGTACATACGTTTTCAATTCTCTTGAACATATACATAGTGGAATTTCTGGGTTGTGTGGTAATTCTATGTTTAACATCTTGAGGAGCTGCCAAACTCTTTTCCAAAGTGGCTGCAGCATTTTACAATCCCACCTGCTATGTATGAGTTTTCCAATTTCTCCACATCCTTACCAACATGTGTTATTGTCTGTCTTTTTAATTCAGCCAACCTAATGGGTGTGAAGTGGTTGTGTCTCATAGTGGTTTTAACTCACATTTCCCTAATGACTAACGACTTAGAGCTTTTTTTCTTGTGGTTTTTGGCCATTTGTATATCTTCTTTGGAGAAATGTCTATTCAAGTCCTTTGCCTATTTTTTAACTGGTTGTCTTTTTGTTGGTGAGTTGTTAAGAACCGGATACTAGATTTTTATTGGATATATGATTTGCAAATATTTTCACCCATTCTATGGGTTTTCTTTTGACTTTCTTGATAGAGTCCTTTAATGCAAAAATGTTTTTAATTGTGATAAAACAGAAATGTTTTATGTGAAGTTCAATTCACATACTTTTTTGTTGCTCTTTCTGCCTGTGCTTTTGTTGTCATATCTAAGAAACCATTGCCTAACCAAGGTTATGAAGATTTCTACCTCTCTTTTTCCTAAGAGTTTTAGCTTTAGCTCTTACATTTAGGTCTATGATTCATTTTGAGTTAATTTTTGTATATGATGTGAGGTATGGTTTCAACTTCATTCTTTGCATGTGGATATCAAGTTGTCCACAGGCCATTTGTTGAAAAGACTATTCTTTTCCCCATTGAATTGTCTTGGCATGCTTGTTGAAAATCAATTGACTATAAATGTAAGAATTTATTTCTGAATTCTCAGTTCTATTGCATTGACCTATGTGCTTACTGTTATGCCAATGTCACACTATATTTTTTATTGAAACTTTATTGTAGTTATTTTTTTGAGATAGGGTCTTGCTCTGTTGCCTGGGCTGGAGTGCTGTGGTGTGATTACAGCTCACTACAGCCTTGACCTCCCAAGCTGAAACGATCCTCCTGCCTCAGCCTCTCAAGTAGCTGGGACTACAGGCATGAGCAACCATGCTCAGCTACTTTATTTTTAACTTTTTTTTGTAGAGATGGGGTAACACTGTGTTACCCAGGCTGGTCTTAAACTCCTGGGCTCAAGTGATCCTCCTGCCTCAGCCTCCCAAAGTGCTGGGATTACAAGGGTGAGTCACTATACCTGGCCTATAGTAAGTTTTGAAATAAGGAAGTGCAAGCCTTCAAACTTTGTTTTTCTCTTTCAAGGTTGTTTTGGCGATTCTGTGTGCTTTTCATTTTCATATTAATTTTAGAATCAACTTGTCAGTTTCTGCCAAAAAAAAAAGCTAAACTTGGATTTTGATAGAGATTGTGTTGAATCTAAAGATCAGTTTGGAGCATACTGCCATTTTAAGAATATTATGCTTTCTGATCCATGAACATGGGATGTAGTTCTAAATATTTAGGTCTTGTTTTGTAGTTCTCAGAGTACAAGCATTGCAGTACTTTTCTTAAGTTTATTTCTAAACATTTTGTTCTTTTTGATGCTATTGTAAGTGGAATTGTTTTCTTAATTGCATTTTTGGCATGTTCATTGCTACTTAAAGAAATATAATTAATTTTTCTGTATTGATTTTGTACCGTGCAACCTTGCTGAACTCATTTATTAGCTCCAATAGTTTTTTTTTAATACAAATTAATTAGGATTTTCTACATACAAGATTCTATGTGAATAGAGACATCTTTATGTCTTCCTTTCTAATGTGGATGGTTTTTTATTTCTTCTTCTGACTAAATGGTCCTGGATAGAACCTCCAGTGCAATGTTAAATAGAAGTGGCAAGAGTAACCTTCCTTGTCTTGTTCTTATGGAGAACATTTTTCATGTTTCAGACTAAATATTGGTTTTTACAGATGTCCTTTATCACATTGTGAAAGTCCTCCCTATTTCTAGGTTGTTGAGTGTTTTGATCATAAAGGGCTGTTTTTAGTCTCTTTGTGCTTATTTCACATACCTCCACAATGAGGAATCAATGTTAGGGTTTAGTTCTTGATGAAAGAAAGACCTTGTTCCCTTTAATCTCAATACTTAAGAGTATATTCCTTGACCCAACAACAGCTTTTATATTTATTGTAACTAATATACTCAATTCTAAAATATACCCATTAATCCTTATTTGTTTAACTTTTAGAAAACATTCAGGTTAAGATGAATGCACACAGATTAAAAATTTCAATGACTGCAAGGCAGCCTGCTTAGAGCAAGCTGTGTTAATAATTTTTTCCATCAAAATCTTCTGACCTGAAACAAATGTGCAACTCTATAATTTTCCCACTTTAATTAACTTTAAAAAACTAACACCAACTGAAGAAATTTTAAATGAGTTCATTAGTCCAAATATGCACATTTTTTCTCTTAACAATTGAAATAAGAAGAATTTAAAAAGAAAATTCCTAAAAAGCTTTAAAAACAACCCCAAAATCCATATACTGTGCATTTTAAGTTTTGTCTGAGTCTGTACTTATTAAATAAGCAAAAAATATAAATCTAATATACTTCACCCTATCCTCTTTTGTCTTGTAGTTCAGCATCTCTTTTCTAGTTTACTTGGGTTTTCTTGTTTTTCTCTTGGCCCAAGTAAGTATTTCATAGATATAATTTGTCTCCAAACCCTTAATCCAAAATGACAGCAAATATACCCTCTGCAATTGAGGAAATAAACATAAAATAAGTAGTACATACCTTATTGCAGTCTTTTTTAACTTTGTGGGTCATAAACTATTTTTAAAAACTGATGCTCACTGTGGGTCCTCTCCCGAGAAAAATGCACACATGCATAGATAAATAAAATTCTGTATACAATTTTAGGAAGTCCTCATATGTGCACAGAGAATATGAAAAAAATTCAATATGTGTTTGAGCCTATATGTGCATTTAATTAAGCAAGTATACTAGGAAAATTCCAAAGACATAGGAATTACAAGTATTTTTTCACATTTTGCCTGTCATTTTTGTGTCCAGTTTAGACTCTTGCATTCCAGACTATCACACTGGACATCTCTGATGTTTCAAATGCTTCAGTCATTTGCAGACAAATACTAGAAATGTTCCTGCCTCACGGTGCAGCAGACAACTGGTTAATGCTCTGTGGACTGGAAAGAAAAAGAGCAATACAGAGAAACAATATTTCATTTTGCCTAGGATCTCTTTTTTATTGAATTCCTTGCCCCTTTGTTCCCTTCTCTCCCGGCTAAGAGCTTCCCGTATTGTCTCGAGGATGGGAAAACACAAGTTGGGGGAAGGAGGAGGCTAATTTTTCAGTGAGACTCTTCAATGCCAATGACATGACAGATGGATTTGGAGGTTCACACAATCACTTTTTCTTTAATCATGCTGGCTACCACATGGTGCAGAGACACAATTGAAAATGAAGGCTCATCCAGGAGGGATGTTTTAAAGTACATTACCTATGCATAAACTATGTACAGGCAGTTTGCAGAGCATGGAGCAGCCTCGCATTCTAGGTATAGAGCCCTGCTCTGAAATGCTGCAGTGTGCATGTGTGTGTGAGTGAGCATGCACGTGCACATACACTCACACCCTCCTAGTTGAGCAATTGTCTTATAAAGATCCTCTCTGAAAGAAAACACATTTTATCTGAAGTGCCACAAAGAGAAGAAGATTCATGCCATCCATCAATCTCTAGTAACTGGCATTCAGCTCACAGATAGACTCCCCTCTTTTAATTTTTAAATCACCATATCAATCAAAGCACTGTATTGTTCTCAGTCTCATTTCAGCTGTTCTGAGTAGATCCTATCTCCTTGTCTCCTACTTGCTTCTTGGAGTTTCACCTATTGTCTGTGTCTTATAGAAAGCGTTCATGGGCTTCCGAGACACATGGTTAAAAAAAAGGTATTCATTTTTCTTCAGTTAATAAATACACGAGTCTTCTTAGGAAACTGTTTGTGTTGGCTCAGTGAGGTTCAGGCTATCAATTTCCAACTTTGGGTCATTGTGACATGAGAGCGAGGCACTGGCAGTGAACCTATGGCTGAGGAAGAGAGTTCAAGTTGAAGCTGCAACAAACGAATCCTAGAGGCAATTCCTTTAGCCCTGGTGCCTGGTGTTTTCAGAGAATGCCCTGGGGAAATAAAACTTTATGGTGGCTTTGCCTTCATAAATCCTGGAGGAAATTAAAAGGAAGAATACTTAACTTTTAGTAAACCATCTTAGCCCCACTTCTGATCCCCGGCGATCCCTTTCTGTGCTGTTCATTTCAGAGTTTTCCAGGGTTGAGCTGCAGAGCTCTAGTATCAGTTTATCTTAAAGAAAAACAAGGTGGCAGAGTATAATTACTCTCTTTTGTGACATCAGACGGTAAACCCTACACTACTGGCAGAATGGAGCATTGTTTCTAATGGTAAAATGTTAGAGTCTGTAATTGTCTATCTGACAGTTATGAGGACAAAGAAGAAAAGTTAGTGGTTCTTTCCTTTTTCATCTAAAACTGTTTCATTTGAAGCAATATTTTGATCACCTTTTATGAGGTGCATTGTCCTTTTTTTCTTTTTTGAGATGGAGTCTCGCTCTGTCGCCAGGCTGGAGTGCAGTGGCACGATCTCATCTCACTGCAACCTCTGCCTTCTGGGTTCAAGTGATTCTCGTGCCTCAGCCTCCCGAGTAGCTGGGATTACAGGTATGCGCCACCATACCCATCTAATTTTTGTATTTTTAGTGGAGACGGAGTTTTACCATGTTGGCCAGGATGGTCTTGATCTCCTGACCTCATGATCCACCCGCCTCAGCCTCCCAAAGTGCTGGGATTACAGGTGTGAGTCACCCCACTCGGCCACATTGTCCTTTCTAAAAGAGAAACCAGACATCTACTCAACAGTAAAATTCTCGCCATATTTAGGAAAGCAAGAGACAGGCAGAGGAAGTGGGCAGTGCCAAGCAGAGCAGGGCTGAAATATTGGATACAGTGTTGGGAACCTCCAAGCTCTCCCACAACACCCGAAACAGTTCTCTAGCAACCCAAATCCATCAACCTGCCTCTTTGGTTGTGTCAAACTCACTCTCAAGAAGCACCATAGAGGAAGGATAATATCTATTATTTAGAAATTACATGTAGCAAAAACCCATGTGTATTATCACATCTCATTTTCTTTTAAACAATGCAGAAAAATAAGGAAAATAATTTGGCATCTATTATACTTAAAAGCTTATTTAAATTTATTTATATTAATTGAATATGTTTTGAGATTCTACCAGGACATTGTAAGCAGATGCTAAAGAGGATGCAATGGCTAAAAAAATATAATTCCTGCTTTCGGGGAACTTAAAATCTTGTATATAATTTAAATAATATTTGTAACCAAGTCATTTGCAAGTCCTTTATTTGCATATGCAAATTAAGAAGTGAAAAAATTCAAATGGCAATTTGAAGATAGGTGATTACATCTTGAAATACATCTTAGGATTCATCATGTTCAATTGTACTTTGATACAAGAACCATGACAACTTGTTAGAGAAATGTGCTGCTGTCATGCTATCTAGTCATTTTCTCTCTGTTCACTGTCCAAACTTCCAACTGTAAAAAGGTTGACTTGTAAACAAATGGTTGCAGTAAACTTTCAGACAGGCAACAATTATTCCTTCAGATCTTGTCTTATCTGGTATTCTTGTCACTTGGGTTATATAGCATGTATCCCACAGCTTGCATTACACATTTTGCTCTAGGCATAATTAATATACACACTTGACTATTAAATGAAAAAATGCTAACATGTCACATCACCATGTTCATACTGGAATGAATAGTTTCTTACATTGTGTAGCTACTGGCTAACTGCACATGGCTACAGGAAAAGACTTCCTTCCCAAGGACCTCATCATCCATTTGTCCTTAAATCTTGAGTGTACTTGTTCTAATCTTATGCTCTTAGTACCTGGCTTAAGAGAAAGGCCTTAGAAATGTTTTTAATTTTTTTCTCCCACTCTTTTTAACACTCAGCCTTGGTGCCTCTGTAATTCAACACTGGTAGTGGTCTGTCCAGATTTCTTGGTGGATAAGATCATCTAAAAGTATAAAAGTAGAAGCTAAACTTTCTTAAAGCATATGTTCAGAACTGGCACAGCATCATTTCTGCCATATTCTACAGGTAAAGCACCCAGACTCAAGGTGAGAAGACCACACAAGGGCATGAGGACTTGTGTTATGGCATCTTTGGGGTGTCGATTTTCTGGCTGGAAACCTCTGTGGCTAGTGGTGCCTTTGCCCAAGTTCTTGTCCTGCATCCAGGAAGAATGAGGTACGCAGACTAGTAAAGGGTGAAGAAGATGAAGAGGAGCTTTATTAAGTGTACGACAGCTCAGAGGAGACCTGCAGTGGGTGGCTCCTCTCTGTAGGCAGGTTGTCCCATCAAGTATCAAGCTCTCACCAGAGAGGAAGCCCTGGAGAGGGTTGTTCCTCTCTGCAGCTGGTAGTACCGACATCTCTGCAGGTCTCTGAAGCTCTTAGCAGAGAGGGTAGTTCCTCTCTGCAGCTGGTTTTCCCATTGTCTCTCTGTCCTCTCCATCCTCTGCTTGCTCTGGCTGAGCTGGGGGCTTTTATGGACCTCAGAGGGGAGGAAATTTGTGCCCATTGGTCCATGGGCAGCCATGGGAGCTGGAAAAGGCACCGCAAGTCCCCACTCTGGTCTGTGGGACTGGCAGCCCAGCCCCCAGCCTTCAGGCCCTTTTGGGCCTGAAGGTGGGACCTTACCGGTCCCAAGAAACTGTCTGCCTCCTGCTGCCGTTCATGGAACTCAGGCTTGGCCCTGACTTCTCCCAGATTGGAATGAGTGTCAACAGCAGAGAAGGAGGAGGAAGAACAGGCACTTCCGAGCCTGCAAGGGCAAGAGGGCCTTCCCTGGGCCCCCAAGAGTGCAGGGATGCCTGAGTCTGCAGCTACATTTTGGGAGGGGCTCTTTCCTGCTCAGTGGAGTGGGAGCCTGAGTGTACAACCCCTGTTTGGGCAGCTGCAGTGGCACGTGGGGAGCTCCCCAAGAGCACAGGGAGGCTTGGATCCACAGTGGTGGTTTGGGAAGCTGCAGCCCTACCCTGGAGTAGGGGGATCCCGCCTGCTCCATAGAGCAGGAGGTCTGGGTCTACAGCTGCAGTTTGGGCAGCTGCAGCAGCACCCAGGGAGCTCCTACCCCATCTTGGAAGGGGGAAGGGGCAGGGTTCTTGCTTGTCCCAGCTCCCACCAGCTCCACTGAGCGTGCAGTCCCAGCTGTGCTTCCTGGCTGCAGCTAGCATGATGGCAGTGGCAGGCTGTCTGGAGCAGCCGCTGCCATCACTGGGAGGCGTGGTTCAACGGGCTCTCCTTTGGAGATAAGCTGCTTCATAGACTTCAATTTGTGTATAGTACTGGTCTACAACTCCTTCTTCAAAACTCTTAGATATTTTTCATAATTCAGATGTTTTTAGATATTAGAGAGTTCATCTAATACATATACTGCATATGACATGCCCATCAGTTAGAAGCAGCATCCCATAACCAAGCACATTCATATTTCTGTAATAAATGTATTTAATATAAATATGTTATTTATAATTTATGAAGTAGAATAATTGCAGATTTGAATAGCCTCATATACGGTCAGATCAAGTTTTGGTGTTTTCGAGATTTTTGAGTTTTAAATTATGGGTAAAACATTATGGAGCTGTATTTTGAGTCAAAATAACCTCTTAAAGTTAAAATACATTTCTCCTATCTTGAGCCTATAGCTGGTGTCAGCTCAGGTCCTCTGGGAGGCAGACACCAAAATAATCAGAAGTGTGAGTGATTTGGGAGGAGGGAAATGACTGTGAAAGGGGAGGGAAAATAGAAGCAGGCAGGGAAGGGCTTTAGGTCATGTAGTAGGTCTGATGCCTGTGAAAGGGGATGAGGAAGCAGGGAGGGTGGAGCAGGGAGAGCCTCTGCTGCAGTGTGATGCTGAGAAAGTCCAGCCAGCCCCATCCGGAGCTCCATGCAGAGCCAGGCTGTCCTGCTGGAGGAGTACCATGTTGGGCAGAAATGGCCAGACCCGAGTACCCCTGCTGTTCTCAGTCACTGGCTGGAGTCGCCTGGGAAGAGGTGCTGCCCTGAGGCCAGGAACTCACCACACAAAGTTCTCATGAAAGGAGACCTGAGCTCATGCCTCAGTGGCTGCCTTGCCTTCAGCCCTCAGCCCACAGACTTCCTCTGGTCCTACATTTGTAGTTAACACAGTGTGTTTCAGGAATGTGTCCTCTATGTAACTGGGTGGGGTCAGGGGGGTTCGATCCTATGTCTAATCCATCAGCTGCACTAGGTTGCAAAAAAAAAAAAAGAGATATCTCTGAGAGAAGACTCAGAAAGCCTAGAAGGACTGAGGCAGGCAGGGAGACTATGCTGTGCTTGGCAAACGTGGGGAGGGTGACTGTTAGTTGGGTGAATCTTCTCCATGGTATTTAGGATCCTGTCCCGTCTCTCCCTCCCTCAGCAAACCTCTGACCCACATGTAGCTGTGGAATGGGCTACACCTGGGCACTAATTAAATGGTGGCCCCTCTGACCCTCCCAACAGAACTTAGCTCATGACATTCACCTCCATGGTCCCTTTTGTCGCTCTCCGTGAATTCAGAAGACCAGCAGCTTAAGGCTTAAATGAAGTGCATCCAGGAGCCCAGTGGGCAAACGTCCCAAACCCCCAGTTAATGACAGAACTGGGGCTGCCTCCCATCCCAGATCTTTCCATGACCCCCCTCTTCCCCTTCCCTCTCCATATTAGGAAGTTTGTTCCAGGTGAAATTTGCTTCTACCCTAGGGCTAAGGTGCTAATGGCAGAAGTGTTATTTTAGCAGTATCTGGAAAGTCCAAAGGTAACAATTAAAATCACATTTCCCTTAAATAATTATTCAAAGGCTCCTTTATAAATGTGTCAGTCTTCCTGCCAGATGAGAAGTCCTGGGGAGTCTTCCAACAGCTTCTTGGCCACTGAGCGTTCTGCAGGCTCTTAATGTATTCTGGTGAGCTCCACGTTCTCTCAATAAGTAGACTATCTTTGCAGATGTTTATGAAGTCTTCCAACATGGCCACAAAGCATGGGGGCAGGTGTTGCAAAGGGTGCAGAAGAGGTATCAAAAATTACTCTCACCAAAGCTCTGACCAGTTTTTCTAAAGTATGAGCAGATAACTATCCTCTAGGAGTGATCAGCCATGCAGAGTGGACAAACTGGCTGAAGTCTGAGTGTGCTTTTGTAAGTTTAATGTGATAATCCAGTAAAACATATAATCCAGTAAAACATAAAGTTAATCTCACACATGCAGTGGTGTACATAACAGTTCTCATACTACACAGTGATTAGGCATCAGTGAAAGCCGTTCCCATAAATGCCTATAATTAGATCTGGAATTCCTCCATGGGTGAAGGAAAATGGATAGAGAATCTAGGAAATGCTATTGCATGTTTAATATATTATGGAGTTTTTAAATTTTTTTTTTTTGAGACGGAATTTCGCTCTATTGCCCAGGCTGGAATGCAATGGTGCGATCTCGGCTCACTGCAACATCCACCTCCCGGGTTCAAGTGATTCTCCTGACTCAGCTTCCCAAGTAGCTGGGATTACAGGTGCCCGCCACAATGCCTGGCTAATTTTTGTATTTTTTTTTCTTTTAGTAGAGGCCAGGTTACACCGTGTTGGTCAGGCTGGTCTTGAGCTCCTGACCTCAGATGATCCACTCGCCTCGGCCCCGCAAAGTGCTGGGATTACAGGCATGAGCCACCCTGCCTGGCCTTGGAGTTCTTCTTAAAGAAAAATTCCCCTTGGCTAGCAGTTCTGATGTTCATTTTGTGACAGAGTTCTGAGTACATCTGAGTGTGTGATTTTTTTTCTCCTTCCAGCTGCTTCTCTAGGATTATTAAAAAAAGCAGGAAGGGGGTGACTTGCACTGTAAGGTTTCTTGGCATCTGAGGACGAAATTCTGCTATTACAATAGAAGGATTTTTACAATGGCTAAGAAAAAAAATATTTTGAATATGGAAGAACGTGCCTAAAGTGAGTATTCTTTTTAAACAGTTGAGTTGTGTTTCTAGTTTGTATCTTTGGTTAATCCTCCAAGAATCTCTGATCAGGGCCAGCACTGATTAGGATCTTGGTCCTGGGAGCATCTTGGTTCATTTGGCTGTGCTCATGGCCCCACGGTGGGAAGACCAAGTTCTCTTTTTCTATTCTTCTGCAACTGGGGCTCAACATCCATTTAAGAGACGTTCATTGAGTACCTATCCTATGCCAAGTGCAGGCTGGGCGCTGCAGTTCAGGGTGAATCAAGCAAGGTCCCTGTTCTCAAGTATCTTCCACCTAGTGGAGGAGCAAACCATGCAAACAGATGGCTATGAGGAGGTAGTGAAGATTGCCATGGAGGTATGAATGCTGCAGAGGCTCAGGGCAGAGAGGCAAGGCCTAGGCAAAGAAGGCAAGCCTGAGATGGGTCTTAGAGACTGTGTCAGAGTTTTCAATACAGAGTAGGATGGAAGGACCTTTCAGATTGAGAGGAGCATGATCACATGGAGGCTGCTCAGGAGATGATGAGAAGCTGACCTGGGGGAAGTGGCAGCAGCCATGGGCAGCAACATGGGCAGCAACATGGGCAGCAGCTATGTTGGGAAGAGCTCAGGATACCATGCAAAGGGGTTTGGACTGCCTGCCATGGGCCACAGGCAGCAGCAGGGTGTGAGTCCCTGCCAGTGACCCGGGCTGAGTTCCCTGGATTGGTCCCAAGTACTCAGATCTTGGAATAGCCTTTTCTGTGGGAGCCTTGCAAGAATCCAGCTGCTCCTGGCTCTTCCCTCTCTTCTCTCCACCTGTTCCTCACCCAGACCTCTGTAGCCAGCTGGAAGGGGTGGGGAAATCAGTGCAAACAACCCTCGATGCCAGCACCTCATCCTCCACACTCCCAGTTCCCAGGCAAGAACCTCCAGCAGCTGCCACCGCTTCCCAGGGGAGCCCAGACAGTTGTCTTTTTTGGCATATGGTGCAGGGAGCTGGTGGAGATTTGCCATTTCTTCCCACTCAGGCTTTTCTGACTCACTGGCTTCCTAGAAAAAACTCAAGTAGACTTAGGCACTGACTTTGAGGAAGTTCGAGCTCAAAATCAGGAGAGATGCTCCAGCTTAGCAAAAGAATTCTTCTTGCCACCTGCACCCCACATGCTTGGGATTCTTTGTAGAATAGTCAAAGCCTTCCACAGTCAAAGATGAAAGCTGGACCCCACAGAAGCCTGGGGAACCATCACACAATCCAAATGAGTTTTAGTCTCACCACGCCATTTCCTTTCCTTTAATGTGAAGGAAGAATTAGAATTTTAAAAGCACGAGGCAATAAAGTCAAAAGGAAGAGAAAATTGCCAATATATGCCAGGCACTGTGCTAGTAAGTTGTACACATTATAAAAACTAATTCTCACTGCAAGCCCAGTAAGATGGATATTGTAATCTTCAGTTTATGAAAGAAGAAATTAATGCTTGGATAATGTAGATAACTTGTCCAAGTGAGGCTTAGGATTCCACAGTTGTCTACCTGGATAATCCTAGGGGAGAGAAGGAGAGGCTGGGATCATTGGAGACCAACTTCACTGGTTTTGCTTTGTGTAGGCAGTGAAAGATGGGTTGCCCCAGGAGCTTGGGGAGTACTTGTGCCCTAGCCTAGAGGAGTTTATATTCTAGTTGGCTATAAAATCTTAGGAACAAATGACTCCTGGCATTTAGTTAGGTACAAAACTGTCAAAGAGTAACCATAGAAACTTAGAACTAGAGGATTTGTCTTACAAATTATCTTAACCAATTCCTATTTTACCAATGGGGAAACTGAGGCCAAACGAATGGAAGCACTTGCCAAGGTTAGCTCATTTGCAGAAGGGTGGGTCAAGAGCCTCAGTTTTTAATTACCAGCTGAGTGAAAGCTTCACTTCCTCTCAACAGATAATCTCCTCATTGTACCATGCAGTTTTTGTGTGATCTTTCTGCTTCCTTCATGAAAGCTTCCTTCATGGCAGACCCAAGCCTGGCTGAGGTGCCTTGTGGAAGGGATGTGTGCGTCTTGGGTGCCCTGGCAAGGTCAGGGGAGGGGGAGAAACAGGAGCAAGGAATAATAGCTGTATTTTTTTCATGAACTTTAGTTCCAGCTATGAAAACTACAAAAAGTAAATGCCCTCCAAAAACAGTAATAACTCTCATTTGACAAGTATTTAAAACTACCAAAATAATTTTGATGTCCAATGAGGGTCAATTAAGAGGATTTTTGACTATATTTGTAAAACTTGTAAGACCTAATCACTCAATTGGGGCATTAGAAGGGAATTGTGGGATATACACTGAAACCATTCTGTATGTCATTGAATTTGATATTCACATAAGTTATTTATAATCGTGGAGTAGGTGAAGTTGTTTTCCTTGATGCCAATTGTCTCATGTTGTTTTCCTCTACCTCTGGGGAAATTTCTCAGAACAAGATATAAAACTCACTCATTCTGAAGTGTAAATAGCTAACGATGCTTAAAGTAATATTTCTCCTAGGAGTATTTTCATTGTAACATTTTAAGTCAGATAAGTGAAGCTTTGTTGGAGAAACAGCAGGCTTTACTTCAAGGTAGAAGAGAAACTCCTAAGGGTAAACAGAACATTCTTAGGCCTCTGAAATCACACTAAGTTCTTTAGTTTTTCAGCTAGAGGAGTCCTTTCTCCTTTTAAAAATAATAGCTATGGAAGCAACCAAGATGTCCCTTCAGTAAGTAACTGGATAAATAAACTGTGGTACACCCAGACAATGAAATATTATTCAGCACTAAAAAGAGATGAGCTATCAAACTATGAAAAAATATGGAGGAAATTTAAATGCAGATTACTAAGTCAAAGAAGCCAATCTGAAAAGGCAACCTACTGTATGATTCCAACTATATGACATTCCGGAAAAGGCAAAACTATAGATCAATAAAAAGATAAGTGGTCACCAAGAATTATGCGTGGGGGAGCTGTGTGGAGGAGCACAGAAAATATTTAGGCCAGAGAAACTACTCTGAATGATGCTGCAATGGATAGATACATGTCAGTATATATCGATCCAGGCCCATAGAACATACAAGGCCAAGAGCCAAACCTAATGCAAACTATAGACTTTGAGTGATTGATATAGTTTGGATACCTGTCCCCTCCAACTCTCTTATTGAAATGTAATCCCCACTGTTGGAGGTGGGGCCTGGTGTGACGTGACTGGATCATGTGGGTGGATTTCTCATGAATGGCTCAGCACTGTGTCTGTAATTGGTGGGTTCTTGGTCTCACTGACTTCAAGAATGAAGCCGTGGACCCTTGTGGTGAGTGTTACAGTTCTTAAAACGCGGCATCTCCGGAGTTTGTTTTTTCTGATGTTCAGATGTGTTCACAGTTTCTTCCTTCTGGTGGGTTTGTGGTCTTGCTGGCTCTTGAGTGAAGCTGCAGACCTTTGCAGTGAGTGTTACAGCTCTTAAAGTGGCACGTCTCGAGTTGTTCCTTCCTCCCAACAGGTTCCTCGTCTACACTGGCTTCAGGAGTGAAGCTGTAAACCTTCATGGTGAGTGTTACAGCTCATAAAACAGTGTGGCCCCAAAGAGTAAGCAGCTGCAAGATTTATTGCAAAAACCAAAAGAACAAACCTTCCACAGTATGGACTGGGACTGCTGGCTGGGGCAGCCTGCTTTTATTCCCTTATCTGGCCCCACCCACATCCTGCTGATTGGTCCATTTTACAGAGAGCCGATTGGTCTGTTTTACAGAGAGCTGATTGGTCCATTTTGACAGGGTGCTGATTGGTGCGTTTACAATCCCTGAGCTAGACACAAAAGTTCTCCATGTCCCCACTAGACTAGCTAGATACAGAGTGCCGATTGGTGCATCCACAAACCCTGAGCTAGACACAGGGTGCTGATTGGTGTGTTTACAATCCCTTAGCTAGACATAAAGACACTCCAAGTCCCCACCAGACTCAGGAGCCCAGCTGGCTTCACCCAGTGGATCCCGCACCAGGGTCACAGGTGGAGCTGCCTGCCAGCCCTGCGCCGTGCGCCCGGCACTCCTCAGCCCTTGGGCGGTGGATGCGACTGGGCGCCCTGGAGCAGGGGGTGGCGCTTCTTGGGGAGGCTCGCCGTGCGCAGGAGCCCACAGCGGGTTGGCGGGGGAGTCTCAGGCATGGCGGGCTGCAGGTCCGAGCCCTGCCCTGCCGGGAGGCAGCTAAGGCTCGGCGAGAATTCGAGCACAGCAGTTGGCCCAGGTGCTAAGCCCCTCACTGCCCGGGCTTGCCGGCCGGCCGGCTGCTCCGAGTGCGGGCCCGCCGAGCCCACGCCCACCCGGAACTGGCGCTGGCCCGCAAGCGCGGCGCGCAGCCCCGGTTCCCGCCCGCGCCTCTCCCTCCACACGTCCCGGGAAGCTGAGGGAGCCGCCTCCGGCCTTGGCCAGCCCAGAAAGGGGCTCCCACAGTGCAGCCGGGGGCTGAAGGACTCTTCGAGCGCGGCCAGAGTGGGCGCCGAGACCGAGGAGGCGCCAAGAGCGAGCCAGGGCTGCGACCACAGCCAGCACGCTGTCACCTCTCAGCACCATCCCCCATCATACTGTCCTCACCATAGTAAGTGAATTCTCCTGAGGTCTTTCTTTGAAAGTGTGTAGCTCCTCCCCCTCACTGTCTTGCTCCTGCTTTCACCATGTGATATGCAAGCTCCTGCTTTGCTTTCTGCTATGATTGTAAGCTTTCAGATCTTCCTGTACAGCTTGCAGAACTGTGAGCCAATGAAAACTCTTTTATTTATAAATGACACAATCTCAGATATTTCTTTATAGCCATGCAAGAACGGCCCAATACAGTGATGATGTGTCAATGTAGGCTTATCAATTGAAACAAATGTGCCACTCTGGTGGGGGATGTGGATAATGAGGGAGCCTATGCATGTGTGGGGGAAGAGGGGACATGGGACATCTTTGTACTTTCCTCTCTATTCTGCTGTGAACCTAAAACTGCTCTAAGAAATTGTTTTTTAAAAATAGCTATCAATTAGTTAATATAAGTCACATGTCTAGAATTTACCTAATTCTATGAGTGAATAATAATAGTGGATTCAACACATTGAACGTTTACTAAGCGCCAGCCATTTAAATAAGTAATTTGCATCTGAAACTAATTTCATCTTTCAGCTCCTCTCCTGGGTAGGTATTATTATTACCGTATCAGTTTTATGGATAAAGGAGTCAAGTGTATAAAGGCCAAGTAAGTTGCCAAGAAAGATTTTAGTGTGCCCACTTCACAGCTGGGAAAACTGAGCCTAAAGAGAAATAAAAGCTCTTAACTACTCTTTGTTTCCTTTCCCTGTATTCTCTAACTCTAGTTAACACAGAAAACTGTATTTGCTTCTGTTTTTTGCTTTGAGATTCTGCTTTTTATGTGATGTTTAGTAACAGGCTAAGTTATTACATCTGAAGTGAATAGAAATAAGTCCAATTTGGCTCATGTTCCAAAACAAAATGGATAAGGGCAGATTCTATGCGGGTCATTTATGGACATATGCGGCTATATTGTTTTCTGAATGGACATGGAAACCATGATGATTATGATCTTTTGAAAAATTCATGATTGAAACAGATCCAAGTTAATTATGAGATGTGCCTTATGAGGTTGTGTGTAGGAATCATCAAGGAAAAGAAAGAACAGAAGGTCACAGAATTCGTATCCGTGCAAGCATATGGATCAGTGTCTAAACGCACACACACACACACACACACAGACATTTCCACACATCTGGCTTGATTCACAAAGAATCAGGAAATTCAGTTGAAACACAAACCATTTTTATTTGTGTACTGTCTGGAGAAATATCATGGAATGTTATGGAAACAAAACCGCAAGCAGGGCCATAGGGCCGCTCAATTAAGATCAAATAAGTAGCAGTGCCCAACCCCTGTGTAGGTAATTAAGACCCAGGGTCCGAATCCTCTGCCATCCCCATGTCTTCCCTTTTCATTTAGGACGAGTAACTGGGATAGGAAGATGACAGAGATTCAGACTGCGCTCTTATTATGACAGAGACAATAACTTTTTGTACAATGTCCAAAAAGAAATGGAAAAGATTTTTTTTTATTGTGGTTATGGGCTAGACCCTTGACTTTTTATTTCGATGAATCACACATGTGGTTTTCTCTATGGGTACAGAGTGTTTAGAACACTCTGGAAAATCAGTTTTAACAAGACTTCAGTGTGGCTACATTATCCTGCACATAGTAGGCACTCAATAATATTTATGGATCACTTATTTGACAAAATAATTCTTCAACAAATATATATTGAGTTTTTAACAGATGCCAGGGACTTTACTAGGCTCATGGGACACAACAACAACAAAGAGAGCACTCTTTTCTCTGATGAAGACTATGTTCTACTAAACAGGACATAAACAAATATGTAAAATATGTAATGTGTCAAATGGTGATTAACTGCTCTGGTAGGCTGAATAATGGGCCCCAAAGATGTCCACTTCCTAATCCCTGAACCTATAAATATGTTCCCTTATTTGCCACAAGAGACTTTACGGATGTAACTAAGTTAAGAATTTTGAGGTGGAGAGTTTACCTGGATTATCCAGGTGGGCCCAACATAATCTAAAGGGTCCTTATAAGAAGGAGAGGTGATGATGGAAGCAGAAGTAAGAGTGATGTAAGCCCACCAGCCAAGGGATGCAGGAAGCCAATGGAAGCTGGGAAAGGCTGGAATCAAATTCTCCCCTATGGCGCCCAGAAGGGATGCAGCCCTGTTTACACCTTGATTTTAGCCTAGTGAAACGGATTTCAGATTTCAAACTTACAGAACTGTAAGGAAATAAATTTGTGTTGTTGGAAGCCACTAAGTTTGTGATAATTTGTTACAGCAGCAACAGGAGACTAATACAAATGCTCTGGGGAAAATAAAGGAAAGGGAGTAGACGGTGTTGAGGTGGAAGAGGCTGAGGGCTGAGAGTGGTTGCAACTTAAAATAAAATGAGTAGGGAAGGTGTGCCAGATTGTAATGTCTAAAGATGGCAACATGATATCACCCATCCCACATGCTTTCCTCACAGTGTGACTTTGAAACTTCTCCCATTAGATGGTGGGTTGGGGGAGGAGTGGGGTTCTCTGTTCCTCTCCTTCCATCTGTGTGCGTTTATGGCTCTGGTGAAAGAGATACTGTGTCACTTCTGAGGCTGGGTCATAAAAGGTGATACAGCATCTGCCTGCTGCTCTTTGAGACATACTCTTGGAACTCAGCCACCATGCAGCCAGGAAGCCCACAGAGCTATGGAGAGGCCACATATAGGTGTTCTGGTTGAGGTATCCACTGACACAATTGCTAGACTTGTGAGTGAGTCAGTTTTCAACTCCCAGCTGTGATGTCACCCTCAGCTATTCTCACTGTGCCCTTGCTGAGTTCCTAACCCACAGAATCCTTGAACATATAAGAATGATTGTTTTTTTAACAACTGAGTTTTGAGGACATTTGTTATGGCACAAAAGTAACTGGAACAGAAGGCCATATTGAGAGGGCGACATTTAAGCAAAACCCTAAAGGTAGTAAGGGAGCCATCACAATGTCTAGTGAAAGATTATTCAAGGTAGGAGAAAATGTAACTGCAAAAGCCCTAATGGGAAGGAAGGCCTTGTGTACCTGGTATGAATCAGGAACAGTTAGGGGGCTGTTGCAGAAATATAGATTGTGTAGGGGCTTGTAGACCATGGGAAGAATTTGGGCCTTTCCTCTGAGTGAAATTGGAAAGTTCTGAGTGGGATGGGGGATGATCTGACTCAGATTTATGGAGCATCAATTCAACTGCTACATTCAGAATGGACTGTAGTGGGGCAAGGGTGGGAGCATGGAGACCAAGAAGGAGGATATTTTTCTAATCAAAGGGAGAAACTTGGACTAGGATGGTAACAATATGAATGGTAAAACATTTGGGAATATTTTGAAATAGAGTCAACAGGTAGTTAGGATATGTATTTTTAAGAGTGCGATATTGTGATAGATTGGATATGAGTGAGAGAAAGAGAATGATTGTAAAATTGGCTTAAACAGCTGAAAGAATAGACTTGCCACTTACGAGATGGAGGACTGCTAATGGACAGACTCAGAGAAAATCACAAGTTCAGTTTTGGGCATAATAAGCTTGAGATGCCCATTAGACATCTAAGAGCAGGCTGTTGGATGCACAAGTTTGACACTCAAGAAGGTGTATAGGCTGGAGACATACATGTATACAATAAGACTCAGCTTTGAGATTGGTCGAGATCACCAAGGACATGATTGAAAAGAGAGGAGGTTCAAGCACTCTGATGTTTAAAGGTCGGGGAGATGAAAGGAGCAAGCAACAGAGACTGAAACATTATATAGCCCAAAAGGTAGGAGGAAGACCGGGAAGGTGTGGTTTCCTGGAAGGCTATTAAGGACAGTATTTCAAGGAGGAGGGAGTGACCAGCAATGTCAAGTGATGAGGTTAAACAAGGTGAGAACCGAGAAGTTGCCGTTGTCTTTAGCAACGTTGGAGTCGCAAGTATCCTTCATAAACCCAATCTCATTGGTTGTGGTGGTAGAGAATGAATGAATGAATGTTAATCAGATTTCATGAGGGTATTTTTTCTTTGAAAGAATATGGAACATTTTCCTGTTACAGCACAAGACAAAGGACGGGAAAGTATGCTGAGATGTCCAAAGCATTAGCTGGAGTACATTCAGATGTTGTTAAGCTCAGTGCTCTGGACACAATGTTACTGGAAGGGTTCAGAGCTTCCAGGGCTGGACTGTGGTGAAAATTATAAAGTCCTAAGCAAGCATAAGGCATATCCTTTGTTTGTTGCCAATTAAATACATCTCAAACTTCCTTCCAAGATGAAGATAATTCACTTCCTGGTTAGAAATGCAGCCTCTGAATTCGTCTGTCTATATGTGAATCTTGATTCTAACTGTTAGCCGAGTGCGTGGCTTATTTAAATCTCAAATTCCTCATGGGTAAAACGAGGCTAATAATGGTATACACCACATAGGATGATGTAAGGATTGGATTATATTTAACATGAACAGTGTCTGATGTGTGGTAAACTTTCAGTGACTGTTAGCTCTTATTACTATTAATTACGTAAAATGGGGGGAGAAGAGAAGTCTTTTGTTTTGGCTCAAGGTAAATCAGTGCTACACAAATAAATATTTAATAAGCCGATCTTCATAAGGGTAACTCTGTCTGTTTAGCTGGTTTAGCTGTAATGGGGATTGTCTGTAGTTGCAAGAGTTTACAGCCTCAGGTAACTCCATGCATCCTTCATTATGTTAGAATCAAACTAGTAAAGAGGGGTTGCCATTTTTAACCTTAGTATTTTATTGTCAGGATCAAAACACACAATAAAAGAACTTTATAAACTTTATAAAGTATTATGAGGTTGTAAGTCCGTGTTGGTTTATGACCACGACATTGCAACTTTGGTGTGGACCCTCTGGAGTCCAACTGTCCCAGGCTTTGACCACTACTGCCCTCCCCCAAAACCTACCACTAATACACATGCACACTTAGAATGGGCTATTTTGGTGCTGGGAATTCATACATGATCACACTCCAAAAGGAGCAGATGAAAAATGCTTGAGAAGGCTAAAAAGGAACACTCAGAACTGAAAAACCGTTCCTTAAAAATCTCAAAAGTCTGAGTTGTTGTCAAATTTGGTATCCCTAACACGTCCATGTGATGTGATCTGGACCTATATGAAAGTATACATTTCCCTGATGAAATAATGAAAAGGGAATGATAAATGCAGCAAATAGAGAATCCTGACTCAACTTCCGCACATGGAAACAATTGTCTAAATTATGGCAAAACGTGGCAATCCCACACCGGCCTCATTATTTACTTGAGAACAAAATCATAGAACACAGCAAAATCATCCTCGTGCAAGTTTTGCTGCTCACTTTTCTAAATTACTATGTGCATGCTGTAGTATTTGGGATTAAAAGCTTCACTCTCCTCTCCTCCCACCCCGCAAAAAATCAGGTCCTTAATACCAAAGTAAAGCACAAGACTATTATCTCAGTGATTCAAATAAATTCTTTGAATTCTTGCCTTAGTATCTTTGCTTTTTACAGAAAAACCTTCTGTGGTTGACAGAAAAAAATATGAATGAATACGAAGGATGAATCTAAAAAGCATCTACCAGCTTGGCAGGAGACTGGCAGAAACCCCAGTATCCCAGTCCTTGCTGCCATATGTGCAAAGAAACTTGGGAAACATTCTCCTCTAAGCCTTTGTTACTCAAAGTGTAGATAATGGACCGGAAGCACCAGCATCACCTGGAGGCCTGCTGGAAACGCCTAACTTCAGGTCCTACCCCAGGCCTTCTGAGTTGGAATCTGCATTTTAACAACATCCCTGGGTAATTCGTATGCATACTGAAGTTTGAGAAGCAATTTCTAAGAAACTCGCAGCAGTTCAGGTGGAGGGGAGCTTCCAAACTGCTTGTTCAGCTTAGTGTGAGCCTACATTTTTAAAACTCATCTTAGATCCATGCAGGTGACTGACAGCATTGAGGACAAGTGTACAATGAGCCTCATACCATTATGCAGAAATGTTCCTCCTTACCCATTAAAAAGGTTCAAAAGATACTGTGCTGTAGATATTCCACATAATGACCTTCCAAATTTCTTGGCACCAGTCACCTTCTAAGAGACTCTGGTGCCTGCACATATTAAATTAAACCTCCTCTCTTTGCAAACTGTCAGTTCTCTGCTACTGACTTTTGAGCTATGCCCCATAAATGAGGTTATTGGAGAAAATACATCAGGTATAACATGGACAAACTGTAGACAGATGCTTAAGGAAGTAAGAAGATTAAGGTACCTTCGAGAAACTGGCCTAATTATCAACTGTGGTATAGTTTCTGAGTCATTGAAATTCTGTTTTTCATATGTTCTGATAGTGTAGGGGAGAAAAACAGAAATCTGCTTTAAGATGTGATTCACAAACACACAGCTGTTGCCTTAACTATAGGGTCATGCACATATTTTTCTTGTCTTTCAGGTGTTTTCTGAGGATGCATTAAGTAGAATTTCAATGAGTTGGAGAGCTCTATCCAATGTATAAATTAAACTTAAAGCTTCTCAAAGCAAGTTCAAGCCAAATTGCCCTCCTCCGCTTATTTGAGGCAGTTACTAAGGAAGCAATGGAAATTACGCTTTTTAAGCCAGTCTTTTATAAATCAGGTGTTTCCACACTTCTTGAAGTGAAATAGAAAGCCAATTGGAAAACATAATAGCAAAAGACACTGCTCCCAAACTGTCGGCAGACTTTAGAGTGAGTATAATGTTTGACAGGAAAGATTGTGTGTGAACATTATTCATTGCACCAAGAACCACCCAAAGGCACCTTCCGAGCAAAGATTAATGAAAGAGCATTCTCAGGAAGTAACATAATACAGAATCTCTTCCTCTTCTCCACCCACTTCTCCTTTGGGGAGATCCAGATTTAGTTTGGGATAAAATTTAGAATTCTGAAGGTGTGATGAAAGGCAAGTCATAGTCTACAAGGCTATTACAGCGTGAGGGTCTCACCTCTGGACATATGGTATGGCATTGCTTAACCCAATTCAGGTATCCCTTAGGAGACTGAGAAGATTGCATTGATGAGGAGCTAGATATTCAGTGTCCCGTCTACACGGAAAACTAATACCCCAACATTAATGGGATTAATGATGCTCAGTTTGATTTTAGTTTGTTGTTCTCCTGGTGCCACTCTGAATTCATCAAATTTTCAAACGTCAGACCCACCTTCTTGACACTCTTATTAATATTCTTTGCCTGTCAGAATTGATCATGGGCTCTTTGAAGAGTCAGTGCAGAGTTATTCCTTAAGATAAAAACATAGAAGAAAGACTGATTTCATTTGTCAGTCTACACTTACAAGCAGCTGAGATTTTCCTTTGAAATATGGAACTTTAAAAATCTTTCTAAGTTCTGTGGCTGAGGAATCATGTCCCTAGGCATTCTAGAAACTCACCTCCTTGAAAAAGTGGCTTGGTGATCTAAGAATGGGAGGCTCCAAGTTTTCAGAACTGAATGCTCCCTGACTGCCAGCTAAATAGTGAGGGTCATTTTCCAGTCAACAATGAAGTTTGTAAACTTGTAGACACTTTTTAGAATTGAAGTGTACATTTACTGTGATTCAGCCTAAAGAAGGCTTCCACTGGAAGTATGTTAACTACTCACACTTTGAACTTGGTGGTTCTCAATTTTGTTGAGCATTAGGATTCCATTTTAAAGTATTTTTAGAAAAGATTTTTTATGTGGAAATAATTTTAAACTTACAGAAAATTTGCAAGAATGAGAAAATAAAGAACTATACTTACCTGGATTCATTTATTGTGAACATTTTATCTCATTTACTTTATCATTTATGTCCTGCTTCACTCTCTTTCCCAATATAATATTTTTATGAACCATTTAAAGATGTTACATACATCATGACCTTAATCTTTAAATGTTTCAGTGTATATTTCCTAAGAATAGGGGATATTCTTATGTAAAACCACTGATACAGTGATACATCGATACAATGCCTTTTAGTTAATCTATATCATACTTAATGGATCCAGCAATGCCTTTTGTAGCACATTTCTCCCTTCTAGTATAGGATCCAGGCTAGGCTAAGGTACCGCATTTAGTCGTCATCTCTCCTTTAACTTGGAACATTTTTACAGCCTTTCTTAGTATTGTATAATATTAACATTTTTGGAGAATATAGTCCCCACCCCTATTTTTAATAGAATGTTCCATATTTTTAGTTTTGCTGTTTGCATTCATGATTAGATTCAGGTTTTGCATTGTTGGCTTGACTGGAGCACTACATAGATGATGTGTCAGTCAGGATTTCTCTGTCTAAGTAAAAAGATAATTTGCTAGCTATCATGTGATCTGAATTTTTCTTTTATTTATTTGATTCATAGACAGTGCTTCAAGCAGTTCATGGTGCACGGATATCAATACCAAGGGAGGACTCTAAATGCCTGTCCACTGCACCTTGAGCTGCGCCAATTTTATCACTTGAGTGAGTCCAGTGAGATAGAACGCTTGCACACAGGTTAAGGGAAGCAACTTTATAGATAGGCAGTGAGGGACAGTAGAAGCCTAGAATTCATGGTGAGCCAGTCCCTTGAGGCTCAGAAAAGCTGTGCAGGGCAACTGGAATCTCATCTGCATGTGCACTACTTGGACCACAGTGGAGGAATGTGGAAAAGCATCCAGCCTTGGGTTTTATACCCCAGGGTAATTAGACTTGCTGGGCTCAAGTGTTGTAGGACACCCTGTTCTAGAAGGGACAGAAACAGAGCCCAAGCTCTTCCAGCCAATTCATCCTTATCTCAGGTTGTTGCATTCCCTGCACATTCTACAATTATTCTTGAGAACAAGTGAGAAAGGGGAAGGTTTGAGGCCACCCAGAGAGCTGTCCTGCAAGTGTTTAGTGTGCCTGTGGATATGTGACTACTTTGAAAATTCCATGTGTTAGTGGCCCATTGAATGCTGTGTTTTCTGCATTTAATCTTGCTTTTTTTTTTTTTTTTTTTTTTTTTGAGAAGAAGTCTCGCCCTGTTGCCAGGTTGGAGTGCAGTGGCACAATCTTGACTCTCTGCAACCTCCACCTCCTGAGTTCAAGTGATTTCTCTTGCCTCAGCCTCCCGAATAGCTGTGATTACAGGTGTGTGCCACCACGCCTGGCTAATTTTTGTGTTTTTAGTGGAGATGGGGTTTCACCATGTTGTCCAGGCTGTTCTCAAACTCCTGGCCTCAAGTGATCCACCTGTTTCAGCGTCCCAAAGCACTGGGATTACAGGCGTGAGCTGCTGGTGCCTGGCCCTGCATTTAATCTTGTTATTAATTCAGAAAATTAGAAAGGAATATGTCCAGATGTTATCTTTGTTCCTTATGTTGACATTTTAGAAGGTAGATGCAGGAAATGTTCATTTGAAGAATGCCTTTGTATATTTTGTAACCAATAACACTATACATTATATTTCTCAAAGCCCCCTTTAGTAAAATCCAGTGATACTTATTTCTAGTATAGCTTGCTTCTATAAAATAACTTAAAGATTTCCTTTTATTGAATAATTAGGAGGTGAAGGTTTCAATGAGATTTTTCTTTCCTCTTGGTTTTCAGAAAGTTTGGGGGCAAAGTTATGTGCCTAATTATTCTAATTCAACTAGAATATATGTAATCTTTCTAAAGTGTTTTCTGAATTTAAAAACTTTTATGTTAAATCGCTCTGCCATATTTCAATATCATGAGACTCATGGCTTGGAAGGCAGAGTGTGGGTTGGATTGGGTTGGATTTCAGTCTCACTTGTGTGTCTCCTCTGACACCTTTGTGTAGACACAATGAAGCTTAGCCCTGGCCAATATCCCCATCTCCTGTTTTTTATTTAGAGAAAGGGTCTCATTCGTTGTCCAAGCTGGAGTGCAGTGGTGTGATCATAGCTCATTGCAGCCTTGAACTCCTGGGCTCAAGCGAGCCTCCAGCCTCAGCCTCCCAGGCAACAAGAAGTACAGGCCTGAGATATGACACCTGGCTAGTTTTTAAAATTTTTATAGAGATGGGGATCTCACTATGTTGCCCAGGCTGGCCTCAAACACCTGGCTTCAAGTGATCCTCTTGCCTCTGCCTCCCAAAAGGGTGGGATTACCAGTGTGAGCCACAGTGCCCAGCCTCAATTCTCCTTTTAATCTCTGTGGCTGTTTGCCATATTGCATATCTTCAGTCTTAGGGCAAGTCCTGGTATTGGTCTACACAAGGCGCTTGCTGGCCCCTTTCCAACCATTGGGCCAGAGATGTGGATTTAGCTTGGCCTGATGATCTTCAAATGTCACTCATTTCCCAGCAGGTGAGCTGTCTCCTTTACACTGTCAGGGACGGGTGCTCCTGGGTGATTTTGTCCCTCCCTGCTTCACCTTTGGTTGCCTTCTGTTCCTTGGTTAATTCACATAAACTTACACGCACACGTGCACATTATGTGCGCAATGCTTTTCGTTTTCTTTTTTTGAGACAGAGTCTCGCTCTATTGCCCAGACTGGAGTGCAGTGGCGCAATCTCAGCTCCCGGATTCAAGCAATTCTCCTGTCTCAGCCTCCTGAGTAGCTGGAATTACAGGTGTCTGCCACCACACCCAGCTAATTTTTTTCGTTTTAGTAGAGAGGGGGTTTTGCCATGTTGGCCAAGCTGGTCTCAAACTCCTGACCTCAGGTGATCCACCTGCATTGGCCTTGCAAAGTGCTGGGATTACAGGCATGAGCCACCGCGCCCAGCTGGGTTGTGAACAATGCTTTCACAGTGCTTTTCATGGATAAGTAACATTTGTGTTTTATTCTCTTTATTTCCTCCTTTCTCTTTCCTAGAAGAGGTCACAGCCTTTGTACTTCTTGCTTCAGGGTTATTTGAAGAGCTGAAAGCAGAAACTGCTTGAAACAACTTCTCTTTCTGGCTTTCCTGAAAGTCTGTGAAAACTAAGCAAGTGTGTCCCCTGACAAGGAAGAGACTGGAGAAGAGTAGGCCAAAGACTGTCAGAGAGGGTGAACATTCTGTAAAGCAGGGCAAGGTCCACAGTCTCTCTTGTTCCCCTCTGGGAAGTAGCAGGGGTTTTGTTTTGTTTTGTTTTGTTTTGTTTTGTTTTGTTTAAGGGAAATGCCCTCTGTGCCTAGGGAGACTGACCCCAGGCACTGGAGCCCCAGAACCTGTAGTTTTGCACCCAAATATGGCATAGAAGGAACATGCCCTTGGATAGGTTTTGTTTTTACGTTTTATTAAAAAATGATCATATAAAAATCTTTTTAAATAATAAAAAATAAAAATTATTTTATAGTAAAATCAACTGTTTTGTTCAGATCTATACATTTTAACATAGATTAATGTGTCCTAGAGATTCATGTAATCAAGATACAGAACAGTTCCGTCACCCTCTCAAAGCCCCCTTTTGCCCCTTTACAGTCACAGCCTGCCCCCACCCGTAACCCCTAGAAACCATTGATTCGTTTTCCATCACTATAGTTCTGTCTTACAGAGAATATCAAATAAATGGAATAATACAGTGTGTATCCTTTTGAGACTGACTCCTCTCACTTAGCATGTCTTTGAGATTCATCCATGTTGTGTGCATCGCTAGCTATTTCTTTTTATGGCTGAGTAGTATTCCATAGTATGGATGCACCACAGTCTGTTTATCCCCTCCCCCTTTGAAGGGCATTTGGGTTGTTTCCAGCTTTTGATGAGCACACATAAAGTTGCTATAAACATTCATCCACAGATTTTGGTGTGAACATAAGATTTTATTTCATGGTAATTATCCAGGATTAGAATTTCTGGTCATATGCCCTCCTGTTTAAGTTTATAAAAAATTGCCACACTTTTCCAGAGCTGCTGCACCATTTTACGTTTCCATCAGCAACGTATGAGGGTTCCAGTTGTTCTGCAGCCTCAACTGTACTTGGTATCTCAGTAATTTCCTATTATTGCCATTGTAATAGGCGTGTAGTGTTATCTCTTAGTGGTTTTAATTTGTATTTCCTTAATAAAGCCCCTGGATTTAAGGACTCATGTGGTCTCTGACAGTGAATTTATTAGTAGTTGCTAGTATGGGGCAGATATGGGGATGGCCTCACAGATATTTTGTTGTAATGACTCTGAGGGTGGGGAGTGAAGAAAAAGGTCTGATAATAAGCAAGAATTAAATTCTCTACAATGGGGTCAGTGGATGGGGTTTCTAAGTCAGATTTAAATAAAATAAAATAATATGACAGCTCTTGCAAGCCCAATTGTGATGAAAAGTCATGCCCATTTCATGTGCCTTATAGATATTTCAAATCTATGTAGTCATAACTTAGTACATCCTATGTTGTGGTACATCATATGCTTGATTGCATTTGTATCACTTGATTATGAAAACCTTAGCGAAGGATTTTAAAAGGATTGCAAAGAGAATTGCCAACACAAGTATGTACCAGAATTCTGGCTGGACATATAATATTTCTGTGGATTTAGCACAACGGAGAAAAACTGCAAACTAAGTATAATAAAAACGGTGAGCATATAGGCCCTACTGTTGGTTTGTCAGTGTTGAAATAATTAAAGAAGGCTACCCGTCAATACCTAACTGATACAGACAACCCAGTCTCAAAGGTGCTAGAACTAAGAAATGGTCAAATGTGAGTATTTTAGTAAGTAAGCCAAATGTCTCTCTTCTCCTGGCCCCTAACCGTTAATGGTCTCTAACACTCTACTTTCAAGTATTCATTCTCTACATTCTCTTCCTTGGGGCTCTGTGAACCTCCATTGTGGGAATATCTGCTGTTTCATGATTCAGGAGCCTCTTATTGTGTAAGGAAGAACGTGTCCGGTCTTCGTCCCAGGTTCCTGGCACAGAGCTTCTAAAACCCTTGGAATTTGCCAAGTGGTAGAACAGTCTTTGTTATTCATGAATCCCCTGGATCCCACCTGAGTTTATGCTAATGAGATGACTCAAAGTGAGCCCCTAGGTAGCTTCAGGATGGGGACTAGTCATTGGAAAGACCAGCCAGCCATGTGATGAGAGGGTTGGAACATTGAGCCAGTTCAACCTCTGAGAAAAGGAGAGCCAGAGATTGAGTTACATCCTTGGCCAGTGATTTAATCACTCATGCCTGTGTAATGCTATACCAATTAAAAAAACAACTCTGGACACTGAAGCTCAGCGGAGCTTCCTGATTGGTGAATACATTTTCATTTTATTTTATTTTATTTTATTTTATTTTATTTTTGAGACGAGGTCTCACTGTTGCTCAGGCTAGAATGAAATGGTGCCTTCATAGCTCACTGCAGCCTCAAACTCTTGGGCTCAAGGCATCCTCCCACCTCAGCCTCCCACATAGCTAGGACTACAGGCTTGAGTCACTGTGCTCCAGGCCATGATTGGTGAACACACTGATATCTCAGGAGAGTGATACATCCTGATTCCATGAGGAGCGGACATAGAAGCTCCGTGTTTAGGACCCTCCCAGACCTCTCCCTATATGTTTCTTAATTTGGCTAGTCTGATTTATATATTTTTAAATAAAACTGTTGTAACAGGTAGCTAGTCGGGAAGACATAAGCAGGGCAGGAGAGCCCTCCACCGACCCCCCATCCAGGAATGTCAGGTGACCATCAGGTGATGGTCAGGCAGTTAACTGTCTCTCTAAAATAATAATAGGTCACAACCAGCACCAGGGAAAGGCAGTTTCCTAATAGATAGAAACACCTGAAACTGATCATCAGCTTCCCAATAAGATCTCAGGAGTTGGGCAAGTGGGCTCAAAATGGCGGAGTTTAACTGGTATATGACCTTCTGGGGCCATTCCACCAGAAAAGGGAATGCCTTAGGTGAGCATGCTTACAACTCCGGTAAACACACTGCACATGCTTACTTCCCAAATGCTATCAGGCCACTGTGTGTGCACACAGCCCACTCCAAGGGAAGAATCAGTAGAGAAAGGATGCGAGACCCTGGAGGTATGCCAACATGTAAAACCCCAAGCCGAAAGGTCAAAGCTCACACTTGACCTCCAAGTTTCCCCACTGGCACTCTTCCAAGTGTACTTTACTTTCTTTTCATTCTTATGCTAAAGCTTTTTAATAAATGTCCACTCCTGCTCTAAAACTTGCCTCGGTCTCTTCCTCTGCCTCATGCCTCTCAGTCGAATTATTTCTTCCGAGGAGTCAAGAATTGAGGTTGCTGCAGACCCGTGTGGATTCACCACCAGTAACAAAACCATAATTGTAAGTGCAGTGCTTTCCTGAGTTCTGTGAGTCATTTTAGTGAGTTGTTGAGCCAAAGCAGTGTTATGAGACTCCTCTGGAGTTGTAGCCGGTTGGTCAGAAGTGTGGGTGGCCTGGGGACTCCACTTGTGGCTGGCTCCATCTGAAATGGAGACAATCTTGTAGAGGACTGAGTCCCTAACTTGTGGGGTCTACACTAACTCTGCGTGGTTAGTACCAGAACTGATTGCAGTATACCCATTTGGGGTAAAACAGAATATGCGATGAGTCAGTGGGCAGGACCTGTGGGCAGAACTGTCGCTATTGCTCCAGACCCCACCTCTCATGTCCCTCCTCCCCTGCCACAATAGACACAGGCAGGCTGTCAGCACAGAATCCTGCAATCCACTGAAGACCTGGGCCAGATGGTGTTTGCCTGATGTTCTAATAAGAGAAAAAAGCCCCAGCTACTTCTCTGGTCCTTTAGGGAAATGCAAATGTGACACCCCTCTATTTTTTCTCTTTCCATGGCCCCTTATTTCAGAAACAGGGGAGGGCTTCCTCTGTCAGGCTGGTGATATGCTCCTTCTACAGCAGAAATATGCTGTGGCTTTTTTCTTATTCTTTTGGCCTTCGGAAGAAAGACTGCTGAATGCCAGTGTCTTCAAGTGGATGCTTGTGAGGCTCTTCAGAAAGAGCAAGAATGGATCCAGAGAGCCACTTGGCCTCAGGATGCTCCTTTGGTCCATCTGTATTCACCAGGGACATTCTAGTGTTGTGGCTTTTAAAGGGTGAGTTCACTAACCCTGCATTCTCTCCTCCATGTCTCAATTGGTGCTTTCCCTTGCCCTTGGGCAGTTTTTCCAGGCAGTGTGACACAAACACTACATTCCTTATGAGAAGGAGGTGGGGTGATCAATGAAAACTCCCTGATAAGTTACATGTACTCTGAGCAGTGCTGTCAGGCTTAAAGGTCACATATTTCTGCAGTATGAAAATCACAAAGCACAGTGGAAACCTCATGCATAAGCAAAGCTTCTCATTGCATTCAAAAGTAATTTAAATGGCTGAGAGCTTATCTCTATGATAAAGGCTGCACCTTTTTATGTATGTTAAAGCTAAGAAAGTGCTTAAAATCCTCCCTGGCATTTGCCTTGCAGAGCTCTTGTGGGAGTAATGGGCCATGACATGCTTGGAGCTCCTAGAAGGAAAAGTGTGATGCAAGTGTCAATGTATTATTATTGCCATTAGGAATGGTGATCTGGGGGGAAGATTAAATGCTAAAGAAAAAAATCACCAAAATCTCTGAGAAATGCAAAAATGGGCCCATGAAGTTCCATACTTCAATTAAATTAAATGACCATATAATGCTACATTCTAATCCTGTGAGCATAAATTAACATAAAAACAAAATGACAGAAAATTGCCAGCATCAGCAGGAAATAGAGGGGCCATTAGTCATCACCCTCTGAAGCCCCCTCTCATTATTATTCAGTGCCTAGGAACTTGACAACTGCAAAGTGCTTAGCAGTCGTTTGTTGGTAAATGTGCTTCCTCAAAGCTGGTTCTCTCCCAGGCACTCTGTCTAGCCATTGGCCCAGATTTTCCTCTTAATGCATGGCCTGAACTGGGGCACTGGTCTTCATGGCCTGTTCCCTTAAGCAGCTGCAAATACTCCCCAGTGCTTTGGGTTCTCTAGGATTCTGCAGAGCTCTAGTAATTAGCTGATACTTGATTGATAAAGGGGGCCAGTCCTGATTCATGCCTGTTCCACTGCCACCTGGTTCCTAGTATGAGGTGACAGAGGGTTAACCCTATGGTTCCTGGTGCCAGACTTGTATAGGAGCAATTTTTGCTTTGTCTATAAACTTTCCTAGAAGGAACTCTAGAACTAGAGCAGTCTGGCAGTTCCTTGAGTCCTGTGATCAGTGTGAATAGACATGTTTTGGATTTCTTGTTGTGCTGTGCTCTGTCCTCTCATATAGCTTCCTAAAAGGAAACCTTAGGTTCCCATAAGACACTTTTAGTAATGTTGAAAGAAAACAATAAGTGAACTTTTTTTTTTCCGGAAGTATGGGTTGTGACCATTGCAGAGTAAGGTGTTATGTTGATTTTCAAACCAGCATTTAGCTACATAGCAGGACTTGGGCCTTGACCCAATATTGTGTCCAATTACAGGAGTTCAGAAGTGTCCTAGCATGTCTCATGAGCCACCAGGGCAGTCCTGAGCAGTACCTATTTTCAAGAGGAGCTGAGCTGCTTCCTGAAAGTAATTCATCCTACAGAGGAAGAAACCAGGCTCTAGACCTGATGCACAGAGCCTCAGCCAGAGAAGGGAGCTGATTTCGAATATGGCATGGTGCTGTCTCTCTACTCCTTCCTGAGCGTACACCCAGTGCCTCATGCTGGTGCCAGTAACATTGATTCCCAAGCAGCACTACTTTGGAGCCCTTCTTTTTTTTTTTTTTTTTTTTTTTTTTTTGAGATGGAGTCTCACTCTGTCGCCCAGGCTGGAGGGCAGTGGCACGATCTTGGCTCACTGCAACCTCCGCCCCTCCAGGTTTAAGCAGTTCTCTTCCCCAGCCTTCGGAGTAGCTGGGATTACAGGTGCATGCCACCATGCCCAGCTAATGTTTTGTATTTTTAGTAGAGATGGGGTTTCACCATCTTGGCCAGGCTGGTCTTGAACTCCTGACCTCGTGATCCACCTACCTAGGAGCCCTTCTAATGGAAACAATACTTAATGGAGAGAGGCACCCCAACACCACTCTGCATCAACTGCTGTGGAGCTTGGTACCTTCAGGGCTTTGGTACATTGGCTGATGACAATGGAGGAGGAACCCTGCAAAATGAAGCTTCTTTCTATGCACATATGAGATAACCCTGGAGACACACAGAAATGTTCAATAAGCATATTTTAGGAGACTAGAGAGCTGTATGAACAGGTGTGTAAAAGTCAGTAAATCTTGATTATTTTGTATCCATAGGCTGGCAGGGCTTGAGGAATCTGGAGTTCACAGATGCATAGTGCATATGCCAAATTTTATGTATGAATTATTTTAATAAATAATTATTCGGTGCCTAGTATGTCTGGCATTATGCTAAGTCCTGAATTTATAGGTCTCTAAATCTAGTGGTAATGAAGAGGTATCAATAAATAACTTCGATGATGATGAGGAAGAAGACAATGATGACAACTGTCATTTGTTGAGTATTAATTATATGCATGCATTGTGCTATGTAATTTACATATATTATTACTAATCTTTGCTACAGCCATACAAGATAGTGCTTGATAAGTCCATTTTAAAGGAAGAAAATTGAGGCACAGATGTGTCATATGGTTGGTAGATGTCAGAGATGAAATTCAAATACAGATTTGTATGACCACAATCTGACGTCTATTACATGATAGACTACTAAACAATGGCATAAGAGGGAAAAGAGAAATTAATGTGACTCTTGACTACTGAGAACTGAACATCTGGTTTCAGATAAGCACTTTCAGTGCTTGATCATACAAAATGTGATAACAGTGACTCTAAGACTTTTTACATATATGTGTACCATATAGTAGTCCCTCATCATTTTACCAGAAAGACAAGAAGGAGAATACTAAAAGTATCAGAATATTGACCTTTTCCTAGCACCTTGAAGTAGCAGCTTGTTCCAAAGTGATGGTGATTGAGAAATGCCTGTGACATCATCTTGTTCTCTTAGGATCCAATGGGAGTCCCCAATGACTCAGCCACAGCCAGCACAGAGAATACGGCACATTCACTCCCCGTTCACTCAATTTACTTTCTCCAATAAAAACCAAATGTGTTTATTATTTATAGGAACACCCTCCATCCAAAAAAAAAAAAAAGAGCAATATTTGTCTGAATAAAAGGATGCTCCAAGTTGTGAAGTTTCCTGGCTATTTTTGTGTTTTTAAGATCACCAAGATTAATATGAAAACCCTTTGGAAAGATTTCAGGAGTAAAGAGAAACTGAAAGTTAAAGTGTGAGAAGTGAATTAAAGTTCAACCTGGAAGGAAGACATAACATCTTTGACAAGATAATATAAGCCAATAGGAAAATGACTCAATTTATACGTAACCTTTCAGGAACACGTTTATTTTAGCATGTGAAGCACACCTGTGCGTGCAGACTAGCACTGACTCAATTTTGTCAGAAGAATATAGTGTTCTTTTACTAATAGGAGCTACTTCATTATTTCCACAAAGATAAACACCGTTGATGACCCAAAAGTAAGATGTATAGATGGTCCACTTAAGATTTGAGAATTGTGAGGAAAATATACCATCACCCTAAATAAGCTACTCAGTGACATCTAATCCTGAAGAAAGACGTTTCCTGACACTTGTTTATTGCTACAACGATATACTGGGCATGAAGTATGCCTTCAAATTATTTGCTTTCCAAGAAACAGAAACCTATCCCTCTAATGCTATTACCATAATAGTCTAGACAAATACATGCAATTTCATGTCATTTTGTCTTGGCATATCAGCTGGATTTTATGCTGTCATTTCTCCCAGGCGAAGCTGATATCATTACCATATGACTATAGCCAGCAAACAGTTCTGCTGTTATCTCATATCCTCAGAATCTTTTCCCCCAAATGTCAATTTCATTCAAATGCATTCCATATGAACAACATTCAAAGGAACAGTTCTCTAATTCTGCCACCCACCCATTCTCCCTTCCAAAAATCAGCCTTACAAGAGAAATTCGGGGTTTTTCTGGCAAGAACTTAAAGATACCCGATTTAAGTGCTTAATTCTAGGATGTCGAGTGGAGCAGAGCACTAGCTGTAAAGACAGACACGTGTTTTTATTGTAGGCCCCACTCTGCTACACTGTTCACACTTGATTATGCATCATACCTAAAATTCCATTTCTCAGCACAACCGTAGTCCCCAACAAAAGCTCAGTGAGGGATCCATTCCTTTCTCCTCAACATGTACCCTTGGCTCATATTAATTTTAATGTAACTTACATGATAGTAACAATATTCATAAATTCAAAAGATAACCACTGCCACTTTTGGAGCTTTTCCATTTCAAAACATTAATTTCATGCCAAGTATGATTATTTGGGCAAAAGAAAAAAATGTTTCTTTCTATAACTTTCCTCCTAAACAGACAAGCAAGAATGTCCTGTATTGTAAGTATAATTTCAATCATTTTGAAGCCCAGCTGCCTCCACAGATTACTTTTCATATGTGTATCTATGAAGTGACATGATCGGCTTACTTAAATACTTCTTGTCTTAGTTTTTTAGGGCTACTACAACAAAATACCATAGACTGGATGGCTTATCAACAACACAAACTTAATTCTCGCAGTTCTGGAAAGTGGAAGTCCAAGATCAGGGTGCTAGCATGATCACTGGTGCAGGCCTTCTGGATTGCAGACTGCCAACATCTTGTATCCCCATGTGGCAGAAAGAAGGAGAACTAGCTCCCTGGCCTCTTCTTATAAGGGCATTCATCCCTTTCAGGAGGGTTCCACCCTCATGGCCTAATCACTTCCCAAAGGCCCTACCTCCAAATACCATCACATTGGATTAGATTTCAACATACCAATGTGTGGGGAATGAGGGGGGCACATATCACTTCTCTAGAGAGCAAAGGCCCCCAGGGAACCCAATGTCTTACAGGGCTGTTAAGCTTCACCTGGTCAATCTATTAGACTGTAAGCTCAACGAAGGCACAAAGCTAGTCTGTCTCATCTACCACTAGCTATTTAGTAGACCCTCTGGGAAGGCCCTGTCTGTCTTCCCCCAAATCCATTCTCTGCTCTGTGTGTGTGTGTGTGTGTGTGTGTGTGTGTGTGTGTGTGTGTTTGTGTGTAGGAAGGGTCTGAGGTGGGTACAGAGAAATGAGGGGGTTCTCTCTCTCATTTTCTGCCAGCCCAGGGCAGCATCCTTTGTGGAGACTGCATCTCCTCTGTGGCTCCAGTTCCATCAGACAGGCCCCACTGCGGTTCTGGCTTCGCCAGGGCCCCTTTCCTGAATTCCAGCAACACTCCCTCCTCCTACTGTCCTGGAGTTCTAGGATTGCTAATTTCTTCCTGTTGCTATTTTCTGGGATGCCTCACCATCCTGTTTGGCTACAGCCCCTCTATCACCTGTATCACTGATTCCTCGTAATTAAATTACCCTGTTCTGTTTTCCGAGTTGGACCTTCAAAAATTTTTTGTTGAATAAATGAACCTTATAGGAGTTTCTGTGGCTGGACACTATAACTGGGGTGACCCTGCAGCTCTCAGAGGACCAGCTCACTGCTGCTCACCCCCAGGCTTTTCTGTGTTCTCAGAGTGTGGCCCCAGACCAGCAGCAGCACATGGGGCTGTAATCCCAGCATCATCCAGAAATTTGTTAGAAACGTAAAAATGGAATTCTTCAGACCCTACACCAGACATTCATTCAGAATCAGAAACTCTGGAAAAATCTGAGTTTTT
Organism: Homo sapiens; assembly: GCF_000001405.40. Taxonomy (NCBI): domain Eukaryota; kingdom Metazoa; phylum Chordata; class Mammalia; order Primates; family Hominidae; genus Homo; species Homo sapiens. The sequence continues at coordinate 200,153,919 of NC_000002.12, read as the reverse complement.
AAGCTCCCCATGGGATTGTGATACAAGCTAAGTTTGAGCACTACTGCCCTACAGGCTGTGGTACCTCACCCCAGGACCGGAGAATCCTTAGCCCCAGACCTATCAGTGCACCTGCAGGAGGCTTAAATGTTCCGTAAGTGAGACCATCCCAACTTCTAAGCTACATCAATTAATAAGATAAGGAAAACACTACATCATATTGATGAAACTCATTAAGAATTTTTTGCTAACTCCATTTAATTCTTCCTATGATCAGTTGAATGTCAATTGAATAGCTTTTCATTTTAACCTGAAATTATCGTTTTCAGACAGGCTAATTTAGCAAGGTTGACAATATTCAGACTTTAAGAACCTTCACCTAGTTTAGTATACATTCCACATCCTAAATTTATTATTAAAAGTGGAAATGGTAGAGTTGTTTTCCATAGTGATATCATAAATAATAAACAGAAAGATGGTTTGAAAATTATCTAGGACAGCTATGTAGAAGTTTTAATATTAATGGCACTTATTGTATCCCATTCAAGGTGCCAGGTACTGTGTTTTCTCTCTTCTTCATACCTATATTCTTACCTATGTTATGTAATTTATCCCTCGTAACAAAACTAGGAGGTAGCCAGTTGTATTCCTGTTTTACAGATGAGGAAATGGAGATTTAGAGAAGTTAAGTGGTAACCTGAGGTCACAGAGCTTAGGATGTAGTGTGGTAATCCTCTGTACTACACCGCTTGAATGTTCATTTATTCACTAGGATCTAGGATGTGCTATGCTCTCTGATGGGTGCTGGGGATAACAGTTACCTAGACAGATACAGTCTCTTACCCTCCCTTCTTCCCCATGAAGTCTTTAGCAAGGGGGATACATAGACACAAAACAAGTTAACAAAAACATAAATGCAATTATTGTGAGTGCAGTGGCCACCAAGGAGGAAGCAAGCATGGGGTTGAGATATAGCCAATGGGAAGAGTAACCCACCCCAGATAGGTGGGCAGGAAAGGTTTCCATGAGGAGGACAGATGCAAGCTGATCGCAGAATGAGCAGTAGCCAGCCATGCGGAGCAAAGGGAAGATCAGCAGGAAGAGAGGAACGTGTGCAAGGAGCTGTAAAGAGAGAAAGAGCTTGGGGCATTGGAGATACAGAAAGGAGGCCAGCTGAGCTGGGAGGTCAGGAAGAGAGGGCGAGAGTGAGACAGAGGATCAGGGAATGATGTGAGAAACAAACGCACAGAGCCTGATGACAAGTCCAGGTACAGAGATTGAGTTGTTTTTCCGGTGCAATGAGTATTCATTTTACACAGGGTGTGGCAGCCTGTGTGTGTTTTAAGAAGCTCTCTCTTGTTGTCTATGGAGCATGGAGTAGATGGGGATGACACAGGAAGCAGAGCAATCATTTGGAAGGTTATGCCGGACCAGCTCGGTCAGGGAGACCCTAACCCAGTGGCGCTAGAGGAATTAAGGACACACACACACAAATATAGAGGTGTGAAGTGGGAAATCAGGGGTCTCACAGCCTTCAGAGCTGAGAGCCCCGAACAGAGATTTACCCACATATTTATTAACAGCAAACCAGTCATTAGCATTGTTTCTATAGATATTAAATTAACTAAAAGTATCCCTTATGGGAAACGAAGGGATGGGCTGAATTAAAGGAATAGGTTGGGGTAGTTAACTGCAGCAGGAACAGGCCTTTAAGGCACAGATCGCTCATGCTATTGTTTGTGGCTGAAGAATGCCTTTAAGCAGTTTTCCACCCTGGATGGGCCAGGTGTTTCTTGCGTTCATTCCTGTAAATCCACAACCTTCCAGTTTGGGCATTAGGGCCATTATAAACATGTTACAGTGCTGCACAGATTTTGTTTATGGCCAGTTTTGGGGCCAGTTTATGGCCAGATTTTGGGGGGCTTGCTCCCGACAGGTTATTACAAGACAAAAGATGACAGTGACTCAGTCTAGGGAGATGGCTGTGGAGGTGTAGATAAATGGACGAAATTGGAATTTGAATTCGAGGAAGAGCCAACAAAATTTCCTGATAAATTATTCATGGAAGGTGGGTAAAATGATGATTTCGAGGTGTTTTTATTTAGCAGCTTTATTGAGGTATAATTTATACCACAAAATTCACCTATTATGTATGTGCAGTTCAAAAGTTTTTAGTAAATTTATAGAGTTGTGCAACCATACCCACAGTCCAGTTTTGGAACATTTTCATCATCGGAGAAAGCTCCCTCAGGCCCCTTTGTGGTCAATCCCTACCCCCATCTCCAGCCAAGGCAACAAGTTTTCTACCTTCTCTTTCTAGATTTACCTTTGTGGAAATTTTATATACATGAAATCATGCAATATGAAGTCTTGTGCCTGGCTTTTATCACTTAACATAATGTTTTTAGAGGTTATACATGTTGTTGCATGTATTAGTAGTTTGTTGCCTTTTTTGATGAATAATATTCATTGTTATGAATATAACACATTTTATTTTTTCTTTCACCAGTTGATGAATACTTGGATTGTTTCTAATTTGAGGTTACTACTAATACTACTACTAGACATAATCTGGTTCCCTTTATCTTCATAGCAATGAAATTATATCACAATCTTAAATCAATATTCAGCATTTACATTACTATAAATTATAACTATCCATATTAAGCAGGATTTATCTTCTTATTCAACTTTCTGGTTCCTCTGAGTTAATAATTGCCTTGACTTTTAGATCTATTTGTCACTAAGTGCTTCCCAAACTCCCTAATGAGGAACTGTAAACCTCCATTAGCTTATTTAGAGATACTGCTCTTGGAACCCTTTATCCTCCTGTCCTGATCTTAACTGGTTACTCTCTAAGCCTGCTGCACAGTTGTTGTCCTGGGACTTAGCCCGTTCTCTCCTGTGCTGGATTGTAATTGCTGGATCCCATGATTTCCTTCATTGTGGTGAAGCCAATAGTTTTTTGAGAAAGAGTGAATGAGAGATAAAACTTTGTAAGCTTGCATATGTGAAAATGTCTCTATTCTGACTTCATGATTTCCTGATGTATAGTTTAGCTGGATATAGAATTCTAAGTTGGAAATATTTTTATTTATCAGAATTTCAAGTCCATTGTTTTCAGTGCCTTCTCACTTCAGTGTTGCTCTTCAGCAACTGAACATCAATGTTATTTATGATTTGCCTCTTTGTTTTTTTATTTTTATCTCAAGTGGCTTTTAGGATCTTCACTCCTATCCTTGATATTTTGAAATTTCATAGCTATAAGTTTTAGAGTGATTATTTTATCTTTAATTATGCTGCATATTCAATAAGTCTTTTCAATTTGCAAACTCATCACTTTCATTTCTGAGAAATGTTCTTGAATTATTTTATTAGTAACTCTTTCCCCTCTCTTTTCTCTGTTCTTTCTATTTCTATTTCTCTGTTCTATTTCTTTCTATCCATTAATTGGATATTAGACTTCTTGGATTGTACTCTAATTTTCATTTCATTTCTTATTCATTTTGTTTCCTTTTTGATTCTGCTGTCTTTTAGATTTCCTCAGTTTTACAAACTTTTCCGTTGTCTTTAAAAAAATTCTTCTTTCTTTTCTATAGCACCTGTCCTTGTTTCATGATTCAGTATCTCTCTTATCAGATGATAATATTTCTATTATTACCTAATTTTTATTTTGTTTCCTATATGTCATGTATTCTTCCATTTTCATTGTTTCTGATTCTGATTTGTTTGTTTTGCACTTCGTCTTTTCATGTTGGTGGCTTTCCTCTAATGTCTGGTGGTCCTTAGTTATCTCATATTTTAGAGTGAGTCACTTATCTTTTGAAATTTGATGTGTGTGGTGAAACTTTCCAATTGCTGAGCTTCATTGTCAGTTGATATATTGGAGAAAAAGAGTGTATCATTGGTATTTCACCAATATCAGCATCTGTAGGAACTTTCTCTTTAGGATGATTCCTGCAAAGAAGAAATCCATTATCCTGACAGGAGGTATGATCCTAAAGTCTAGCAACTGAGCAGGTGAAAGGGGCAGACTGTCTGGCTTATTAGTATGTAGATTTTCTTGCAGTGCCCCAGGTATCTGAAAGGTGTCCCTCATCCACTCTCAGCTGTGCCGTGTCTTCAGGTCTTCATTTTATCCAGAGGATAAATTTTCTCTTTTCTGAAACATTAAAGGAGTCACATGAAAAAATTTTAGAAGCTCCTACCAAGTTTTTATTCATTTAATGTGTATTGATTGAGCTCCTTACTCTAGTCTAAGCCATGTCTATACAGTGGTAAACAAAAAGATGTGATCCCTGCCTGCATGGCATTTATCTACACTCTTTGTCTTGTTAGGCTTCATGAGGTTACAAGGAACCAAGATAGGTTTCTTCAGATCGCCAAAAAAAGGTCCCCCCACCCTGATACTGTGGTTTATTGTAAATATGCAGAAAATGTTTAGAAAATGTAGGAAAACAAATAGCCATGGTGCCATGTCTTAATTGAGAAATTGAACAATGGTATCTCATCATTCAGAATCCAGCCATTCTAATTTCCACCCCCAACGCAGAGGTTGTAGAAAGATGCCCAAAATAACAGCTCTTCCAGATTTAAAAAATTTGAGATTGTCTTCTTCACCAGGCCCCCATTATTGATGGATGATTTTGGGTTGGTTGCTGGCCCCTGGCCCAATCAGCTTTAGCCAAGAAGTCAGGGTCAGATACAGCTCATAATGGCAACTCAGGGGGAAGGTATTGCCTTGGAGCTAATGATGGGACAGGCACAATACATTTCCTGTTGCAAGTATTATCATGATACAACATATGCTCTAAAACCAGGAGATTCTTCTTGAAACTTTTTGTTTGAATTTATCAAAACTTGCCTGACACGGAGAACACATCTATGCACAGTTTGGGATTTAGGCACCAGAGCTCAGGATGGCCAAGGGTGAAGGGTAAAGAATGGCTGGAATGTCATTTAAGGAAAGAAAAATGTAGAAATGTTAGGGTTTGTCCAGTGTAAATAGTTTCATTAGACAGAACTTTTCACATGCTATAATCGACAAGTTACTCTCTTTGCACTTGTAACACTGGCCCAATCTAGAGCTGCCTTGTAGATCAGCCTAAAGGGCCCATCAACCCAGAAAAACCTATTACAAATCTTATGTCCATTCAAATGAAAGAACATAGAAATAAACTTTCACTGCACAGAAAGAAAGGTAATTCTGAATGTTCTCATTTCAATTATATAACAGCGCTTGCTCCAGGGGAAAGAGGGAATCTTTTAGAGATATAACAAGCTAGGGGAGATTTTGGTGAAGAATTTCCTTAGTCACAGCAGGAGAATGCAGAAGCTTATTTGGAGGCATTACTAGACAGCTGCTTCTTATTCCATAGCTCAACACAATGCTCTCTTTGCCATGAATTTCATGGGGCTTTAGGAAAAATCCTACAGCAATTACAGTCTGTGCACAGGAGGTTACTGTGACATGCTCCCTCTCACACCCAGATCCCGGAGTTCCAGCCCTGGGGTTCTCTAATTTTGATACACCAAATCACTGTTATTAGGTAAATGAGTAGCAGCCATGGTAATCAGACCTTAATTAAAACAAAGTGTATAAAGCTAGCTAACATGCACCACCACTCTAATTTTGGTTCATTGCATAAAACTGATTTATCTCAGGATCATTCACTTACCATAATCATTTCCTGTTTTGAGATGAAATTTTCATTCAGAGAAATTTACAATGATGTTCTCTCTCATACCATCTAGTCAATATCACAGTCTGATGATATTTCCAGAAACAAGCATTCACCAACGGAAAATATTTTACATATTTCCAGAAATGTCTTAAGGGCATTTTTCAGGTATTGTCCATTAATACCTCTGAGCCTATTCTACACAATCCTGAGAACAGAGGGCCAAGTATAGAATCACTACTATTGCTACCATTTTTGCCCTAGTGTTCAGAGCTTCTGGTAGACAGAATGTATGCCATTGTTCCAGTATGAAGAAAAAAATATCTAAGTGCCTCAAGACCCAATTTCAACAAATTCCAATTTTCACTTTCCAAAGTGAAGGAAAACATCTCTATTGATTTCTGACATAAACAACGGGATCTAAAGAGCTTACTGTTTTTTGTTCAAAGTCCTCCTCCTCTCTCTCTCTTTTATGAGTATGTACTCCTTTGCTTTACTTGTCTGTGACTGGCTTGTTATAGAATGAACTCACACATACATCTTTTGTTCTGAGTGAATTTTTTCTCTATAGAATTTTCGGGCTATAAAGAGCTGCAATGGAGTGATGTGTGGGTGCTGTCTGAACCAGCTATAGCATCATCCAGATGTTCTCAGGAATTCTCAGCCCTGGATGCTGACTTGGTGGCCAGAGCCTTGGTGTGGGCTCACTGCTTCTATTATTGATGGGCTGGATACTGTCATCAGTGATGGTGCAGCTGGCTACCTTTTGACTAAGTGCAGGAAAAACTGTGGGAACTAAATAGTAGTATTTTGCCATTTCACGGTGGATATAGCATTCTGGGAATTCATATTTGTTGTATTTTCACAAAGTCTTAGTTTTCTAAGTTTTCTTATTTATGTACTCATTCTTTTTTTAAATTAAGATATAATTCACATATGAAAAAATCTACACTTTTATGGTATAAAATTCTGTGATTTTGAGTTCTTCACAAAGTCTAACCATCACAGGTATCTAATCCAGAATATTTTCATCATTCCAATAAGAAGCCCATACCCATTGACATTCATTCCCCATCCCTCCACCTCCAGATTCCTGGTAACTATTTGTCTACTTTCTGTCTCTATGGATTTGCCTATTCTGCACATTTCTTATAAGTGGAATTAAACAATATGTGACCTTTTGCATCTGGCTTCTTTCACATACCATAATGTTTTCAAGGCTCATCCATGTTGTAACATGCATCAGCACTTCACTTATTTTTGTGGCTGAATAACATTTAATTGTATGGATATACCAGATTTTCTATTTATTTATCAATTAATAGTTGAGTTGTTTTCACTTTTCAGCTATCGTGAATAATGTTGCTATGAATATTCACATACAAGTTTTGGATGGTTATGTTTTCAGTTTTCTTAGGAGTGGAGTTGTTTGATCACATAGCAATTCCATATTTAATTTTTTGAGGAAATATTAAACTATTTTCCACAATGGCTGCACGATTTTACGTTCCCACTCAGCAATGTGCTCTAATTTCTTTACATCCTTGCCAGCACCTGTTTTTGTCTGTCTTTTTTTATTGTAGCCATTCTAGCAAATGTGAAATGCTATTTCATTATGGTTTATATTTGCATTTCTCTAAGAACTATTGATCTTGAGCATCTTTTCATGTGCCCATTGGCCGTTTGTGTATCTTTTTTGGAGCAATGCCTATTCATGTCTTTTTTCCATTTTTATTTGGCTTATTTGTCTTATTGCTAAGTTGTAGGAATTCTTTGGGTATCTTAGATATATAAATATGTTTTAGGTACCTTATCAGATAAATGACTTGCAACTATTTTTTTGTTCATTTTGTATGTTTCCTTTTCACTTTCTGATAATGTCCTTTGAAACACAAAAGTTTCAAATTTTGATGAAGTTCAATTTATTTATATTTTCATTTGTTGCTTGTGCCATTCATTTATTTTTACAAACTTTTTTCAGTCCCTACAATGATCCAAAATACAAAGATGAATTAAGACACCATTTCTGCCTACAAGTCAATCAGACTCCTGCATTAAAAAAGATAGACATGTGAATAGATGCAGTGCAGAGTCTCATTCCTAGATAGACCCATCACCTGCTTCATCCAGGTCTTTGCTCAAATGTCACCTCCTCTGAGAGATCCTTATGGACTAGCTGATCTAAAAAGCACTTGCTGCTGTCACTATCTTTTGATCCCGCTCTTTATGGCTTTGTTACTTCCTGGCTTTATCGCTCTCCCACCTGAGTGTGAGTTCCACAGAGACAGGAACTTTGTGTATCATTAGTGCTGAATCCCAAACATCTACAACAGCATTTGGCACCTGGTAGATGCCCAATAAATATTGATAAAAATAATAGTTGTTATATCACAGATATTGATAAGGTTTGGGTCTGTGTCCCTGCCCAAATCTCATGTCAAATTGCAATCCCCAGTGTTGAAGGTGGGGCCTGGTGGGAGGTGGACTGGATCATGGGGGTGGATTTCCACTTTGGTGCTGTTCTCATGATACTGAGTTATTGTGAGATCTGGTTGTTTAAAAGTATGTAGCACCATCCCCTGCCTCCTTCCTGCTTTGGCCATGTGAAGACATGCCTGCTTCTCCTTCACCTTCTGCCATGATTTTAAGTTTCCTGAGGCCTCCCTAGCCATGTTTCCTGTACAGCCTGCAGAACTGTGAGCCAATTAAACATCTTTTCTTTATAAAGTACCCAGTCTCAGGTATTCGTTTATAGCAATGCAAAAACAGACTAATACAGAAAATTGGTACTTAGGAGTGGGGCATTGTTATAAAGATACCTGCAAATATGGAAGCAGCTTTGGAATTGAGTAACAGGCAGAGGTTGGAAGAGTGTGGAGCACTCAGAAGAAGACAGGAAGATGAGGGAAAGTTTGGAACTTCTTAGAGACTTGTTGAATGGTTATGACCAAAATGCTGATAGTGGTATGGACAGTGAAGTCTAGGCTGAGGTGGTCTCAGATGGAAATGAGAAACTTATTGGGAACTGGAATAAGGGTCACTTTTGTTATCAGTTAGCAAGGAGCTTGGTTGGAATGTACCCCTGCCCTAGGGATCTGTGGAACTTTGAACTTGAGAGTGATGATTTAGGGTATCTGGCAGAAGAAATTTCTAAGCAGGAAAGCATTCAAGTTATGGCCTGGCTGCTTCTAGCATCCTGTACTCATATTTGTGAGCAAATAAATAATGTAAAACTGGAACTTATATTTAAAAGGAAAGTAGAGTGTAAAAATTTGGAAAAGTTGCAGTCTGGCCACATAGTAGAAAAGAAAAACCCATTTTCAGGGGAGGAATTCAAGCAGGGTGCAGAAATTTACATAACTAAAAGGAAGGCAAATGTTGATAGCCAAGAAAATGGGAGAAACATCTTGAAGATATTTCAGAGACCTTTGCAGCAGCCTCCACCCCAAATCACAGGCCTAGAGGCTTAAGAGGGAAGAATGGTTTCATGTGCCAGGCCTAGGGCCCTCACTGCTCTGTGCAGCCTCAGAACATGGTGCCCTACATCCTGGCCACTCTTGCTCCAGCCGTGGCTAAAAGGGGCCAAGGTACAGCTTTGGCTGCAGCTTCAGAGGGTGCGAACCATAAGCCTTGGAGGCTTCCACATGTTGTTAAGCCTGCAAGTGCACACAGTGCAAGAGTTGAGGCTTGGGAACCCCCACCTAGACTTCAGAAGATGTTTCCAGGAAAAGCCTGGATGTCCAGGCAGAAATCTGTTGCAGAGGCAGAGCCCTTATGGAGAACCTCTACTAAGGTAGTGTGGAGGGAAAATGTGAGGTTGGAACTCCTACACAGAGCCCCCACTGCGGTACTGCCTAGTGAAGATGTGATAAGAGAGTGACTATCCTCCAGACCCCAGAGTGGTAGATCCACTGATAGCTTGCACAATGCACCTTGAAGAGCTATAGGCACTCAGCGTCAGCCCTTGAGACCAGCTGTTGGGGCTGAGCCCTGCAGTGCCACAGAGGCAGAGCTGCCCAAGGCCTTGGGAACCCACCCATTGCATCAGTGTGCCCTGGATGTGAGACATGGAATCAAAGGAAATTATTTTAGAGCTTTAAGATTTAATGACTGCGCTGCTGGGTTTTGAACTCACACAGGGCCTGTCACCCCTTTATTTTGGCCAATTTTCTCTTGGCAGACAGCCGAGTAATACAAGAGGGTATCTACCCAGTGTCTATACCCCCATTATATCTTGGAAGTAACGTAACTTGTTTTTTATTTTACAGGCTCATAGGCAGAAGGGACTTGCCTTGTCTCAGATGTGACTTTGGACTTTTGAGTTAATGTTGGAATTAGTTAAGACTTTGGGTTACTGTTGGGAAAGCATGATTGTATTTTGAAATGTGAGAAGGACGTGAGATTTGAGAGAGCCAAGGAGCAGAATGATATGGTTTGGGTCTGTGTCCCTGCCCAAATCTCATGTCAAATTGTAATCCCCATATTGAGGTGGGGACTGGTGGGAGTTGATTGGATCTTGGGGGTGGATTTCCCCTTTTGTGGTGTTCTTATGGTACTGAGTGAGTTATCATGAGATCTGCTTGTTTAAAAGTGTGTAGCACCTTCCCCACCCACCTCCTGCTCTGACCATATGAAGATTATTATATCATAATTCAGTACCTGCTTCCCCTTTGCCTTCCACTATGATTGTAACTTTCCTGAGACCTCCCCAGCCATGCTTCCTTTACAGCCTGTGAAACTGTGAGCCAATTAAACCTCTTTTCTTTATAAATTACCCAGTCTTAGGTATTTCTTTATAGTAGCATGAGAATGGACTAATACAGATATAGAGATGAATCAATTACACTGAAGAAAGGATAAAGAAAGCCCACTAAAAATGGGGAGATGTAAGCAGAGTCTTGAAAAATAAGTTGGTGATAGGAATGTGGTAGGTGAAACAAACTAGGAGAGAATTCCAGCAGAGGGGAGACATGAGCAAAGTTCCATAGGCCTCTTACTAGAATGTAGTAATTGACTGAAGAGCCCACTTTGGTGTCAGCGTCATTCTCAGGGGTACTTTAGGGAAGTGGAGTGAGGGAGAAGAAAGGGCAGGGTCATCAGAAGTCCTGGTGTCTGATCTTAACTTTGAGCCTAATTTGTTATTAGCTTTGAACAAGACCCTGTAAACTCCGGGCCTTGGGTTCAGCCATAAAATGAAATGGCTTATCTTTAAAGTAGCGTCCAACACCAGGGGTCTAGAATTCTATTTCAAAAAGGAGATCAACTTTTAATATCTTTAAGGTGAACAGCAATTTATTCCATTTCCTTCTTTGTTTTTAAAATTAAATATAATTTACATGCAGTTATGAAACACAAATGTCAAGTATATGGTCAATGAATTTTTATGTATGTGTGTAACCTTGTAATAGCCTCTCAGATCAAAATGTAGAATATTTCCTTCACCCTAGAAAGTTCCCTCGTGCGCCTTCCCATGAATAGCTCCCCAGAAGTAAACCACTATTCCAATTCCTACTTCTATAAACACAGATTAGCTTTGTCAGTTCTTGAAATTCATTTAAATGAACCCATCCAGTATGTACTATGCCTGTTTTTTTTTCTCAACATAATGTCTGTGAGATTCCTTTCTGTTGTTGCATGTATTGGTAATTTTATTATATGATTATATCATGTTTCAGTTACCCATTCTACTATTGAAGAACACTTTGATGTTTAGGGTTTTTTAGCTATTATGAATAATACATGTCTCTTGGCAGACATATTCACACACTTTTCCTTGGGTTTGCATCTAGCAGTGGAATTGCTGAATCAATAGGGTAGACATATGTTTAGCTTTAGTAGATATTGCCAAATATTTACCAAACTGGTTCTACTAATTTACATTCCCACAAGTAATATAGGAGAGTTCCAATTGTTCCACATCCTTTTCAACAATTGTTATTGTCAGTCTTTTTAAATTTTACTAATCCTGGAGTATGTGTTATGGTATTCCATCATAGTTTTGATTTGTAATTCTCTGATACAAATTATATTGATCTTTTCTTATGCTCATTGGTTATTTGGACATTCTTTTGTGAGGAGTGGCAAGAAATGCCTATTCAAGTCTTTTTCCTATTTTAAATTGGGTTGTTTTTTTTTTACTATGGATTTGTAGAAGCCTTTATATATTATTAGTATGATGATTATTATTATTATCATCATTTTTTGAGACAGAATCTTACTCTGTCACCCAGGCTGGAGTGCAATGGTGTGATCTTGGCTCACTGCAACCTCTGCCTCCTGGGTTCAAGTGATTCTACTGCCTCAGCCTCCTGAGTAGCTGGGACTACAGGCATGCACCACCATGCCCGGCTAATTTTTATATTTTTAGTAGAGACAGGGTTTCACCATGTTCGTCATGCTGATATCAAACTCCTGACCTCATGTGATCCACCCACCTTGGTCTCCCAAAGTTCTGGGATTACAGGCATGAGTCACTGTGCTAGGCCTATGTATTCTTGATGTTAGATCTTTGTTTTATATATAAATTTATATTAATTATATATAATTGTATGCATCTACATATATAATTGTATGCAATTAATTATATATAATTGTATGCATATTAATTATATGTAATTGTATGCATAATTATATATAATTGTATGCATAATGGCATGTAGATATGTATGAAATCGGTATGTAGATATGTATGCAATTGTATGAATATATATAAAATAACATGTATAATTATTATATATATATTAATATAGATATTACAAATATCACCTCTCAGTCTGTGCCTTGACTATTTGTTAATGATTATGAATAGGACTGAAACCCAATTTATCATTTAAAAAAAAAGCATTAGTGCTTTTTATGTTCTGTTTGAGAAATCTTTGCCTGTCCCAAGTTCACAAAGCTATTCCTCCTGTTTTCTTCTAAAAGTGTGATTATTTTAGTTTTCACATTTAGGCTTATGGTCCATCCTGAACTAGTTTTAGCGCACAGTGTGAGATAAAGGTCAAAGTTCACTTTTTTCCATATGGATATCCAGTTTCTCCAGCACCATTTGTTCAAATGACCACTTTTTCTTCACTGAAATGCAGTGTTGCCTTTGTCATTAATGAAGTGATTGTACTCGTGAGGGTTCATTTCTCTCTATTTTGTTCCATTGGTCTGTTTGTCTATCTTTGCACCAGTACCACCATGTGTTAATTACTGTAGCTTTAGAATAAGTCTTGAAATCTGGGAGTGTTGTTTTTCAACATTTTCTTCTTCAAATTTTCTTGTCTCCTCCCTTCTCTTTGCATTTCCATATACCTTTCAGAATCAACTTGTCAATTTACACACACATGTACAGGCGCACACATAAACATGACAGGATTTTGATTGTGATTGCATTGATTCTATAGATCAGTTTGAGAAGAACTGGCATCTTAACAGTCTTGAGTTTTCCAAACCTTACATTTGGAATATGTCTCTGTTTATTTAAGACTTCTTTAGTTTATCTTCTCAGTATATGATAGTTTTTAGCAACAATTAAAAAAAATGCAATTTATGATAGTATCAGAAAATCAAATACCTGTAGTTTACTGTGAGTCATCTCAGTAGCTGCTGCTTTTCCAACACACTTCTGTTTTGGGAGGATTTGTGGATTTTACTTGCCAGTACATGATGTATAAATGTGAATTTTGATGATTTTATTGATAAACATTAAATTTGATTCATATTTATTTGCTTTTCCTCAGGGGAATTGACACCATGTGTAAATGTATTTGAAAGCTACATGTCTTTTTAGAAAAATCTAAAGAGGATAAGGAAATAATGAAATTGTTGCTCTGCTTGTAATTTTTTTCTACTACAATTTTTAAACTTTCCCTCTGAGCCTTCTTACTCTTCTACATAGCGACTTTAATATTGACAGACATCTGAGTTATTGTTATTTATTATTATTCACTTATTACTTGTTGTCATGTTTTTAATAAATATTATTTCTCAAAACACTCTTACCATTATTATTCTACTCAATATTTAAGACAATCTTGTGAATGTAACAGAGCAAATAGTACCTCTACTTTACAGAAGATAAAATTGAGGGCAGAGATTAAATACTTGTCCAAGTATGTCCAGCTGATTAGTGAAATATCTAGAACTCATAGCCAGTACTCTTGGTGGGAGTAGTATTATTACTGCTTCTAGCAACAGTGGTTTTTTGTTGTTGTTGTTCCAAAATACAGCAGAGAGTGGAAGGATAATTGCCTCAATACTAAGCTTCATTTTTAAATCCGTAGCCTAATTTGGTACTGACTACACAAGTACAGAAAATTAGATCTTGAAAAGAAGATATGCTGTTATGAAGGAGTCCAATTTCCTATTGGTATAAATTAATGAGATAAAACTACTTTGAAACTACTTTAAGTTGCAGTGGAAGTAGAGTGACTTTGAAATTCCTTTTTGTGCTCATTTTAAAGTGAAACAAAAATCCACTGCTGACAAAGCCCAAGAGAAATTGGTACACTCACACCCAGCAGCCAGCACGGCTTATCACTGTTGTCTTCATGGGATGCAGCTTGGCAATAGGAACCAAACGAAGCATAAAGGCATTTATACCTTTTAGTTCAACTATCTCATTCCAGAGAATTTATCTTGAAGATATGATTCAGTTACTATTGATTTTTAAAAGGCAAAACAGAATTCTTTATGAAAATATTCTATCTACAATAGCTGGACGTCAACAAATGTGTATTCAGATTCACAGAATAATAAATGTATAGATTCGAATGCCTTCCTTCTGTAGACTTCAAAAATGATCAGTCTTTCTATAACCAATACTGACTTTACTTCCTAAGCTCACAGTTGAGTGGTGAAATAGGGCTTCCCCTGAGTCTGGTACTCTTGAGCTATGCACATAAAGATGGGGCTTTAGTAGCTTAAGGTGGCTGGGAAGCCCGCTGTTTGGACATACTGCTTCTCCTCTTCACAGATCAAAAATATTTAATCTGCTACTTCCTCTAGTCTACTACCCTCTCTACCCAAATTATAAGTAACACCAAAGGAATTAACTAGACTATATAAAGCTAGCATTCCAAATCCAAATCTATAAAGCAACAATAAATATCACCACAGCACTGGCTCTTGTACATTGTATGTTGTTTATTCTTCCATTTTATGATTTCCAGCCAGGTTTCTAGTGTCCCAGCCTGCAGTGAGAGACAGAAAAACCTTGATGTTTTGGCCAGAGCCTATTGAGAACCCACTAACTAAACAGCCTGTGCAGCTGACCATGAACTTTCAGCACCACAGGGAAAAAGGAAAAAAGAATTATTTCAAGGCCCTTCCCTAGGACAGGTTTGGCTTGACTTATAGAAATGTCTTCCAGGAAAGAAAATATCATTAATGAGTAAGTTAGAAAAAAACAGAGCTGATTCAAGTCTCAGATATTTTCCTACGTTGGATTAGGGGCACCACATTAGTATTTTCCTCCTGGATCTATAAGCCAAGTACACTTCCATGAATTTAAACAAATACCTAGATTTCCCTAACTTCTCAGGACTGGAAAAATGGATGCAAACAGCTTGGGGAGGAGACATCCCTTGCTTTCAGGTTCTTTATTACTGACAGGCATGTTTTTGTGATTGTTCACGCTTGAGGTTGTATTGTAGTTTTCACTTCCAAGGCCTGCTGGTATTTCTCAGCTGTCTACCTCCCTTTTTCAATCCCACTCTTGGAATTTAGTCTTACTGTGAGGAGTAAGAAAAGAAAAACATAACTCTGTGCTGAGCTCATTTTACCATATGTGACATTATAGCTAGAAGTCAGGGAGTTTTTGAAAGACTCAACCTGTATTCTATTGGCCTACAGAATATGTCAGAAAGAGCCAGAGGTTAGAGACCCAAACACCACAGTTTCTAATCCTTAATCAATCATTTTTTTTGCTCTCTGGAGTAACCAGTTTATTTCATTCCAATTCAAGATGACTCTTAGGGGGCACAATTGTTCCTTATACTTGAAGAGAAGCCCATCATTTCCCAAGAGCTTAATAACCACACCATGGCAATAGCCTTTCAAAGTATTATATGACCCTTCTTAAAGCATTTGCCTCCATTTCTGAGGTAATGAAAGACATCTGAAAAGAATTTTTCTCAGGCTAACAAGAAATAGGTAACTCTGTTTAGTCTTTGTGTTTTACTCCTTTCTGTAGACATAGGATGTTCTTGGTACATTCTGAGCCCCATGTTGTAACTACATGTTACTTGTAGTTTGTGGATGATCTAGGAGGAAAAAAAGAGACAGCTTTAAGGAATTGTTCTGCATCAATTAGGCTTTGAATAGAAAGCAAAAGGAGGAAAAGGAATTCAGCACTTTGGAACACATCTTATTTGCTATAGACTTATGAGGCAATAGGATTGTACTGTTTGCTCAGAGAACCAAGAAAAGTCTAGAAGCCATTTAAATGGGAACTTGTACTGGTACGCTTTTTCATCATCATGGCTTAAATGTCTGCAAAGAGCTGAGCACTGAACAGAACATATAAAGCATGTCATCTCTGTCTTAAAACACAAAGAGAGCCAGCTTCACAGAGAGCTGCAAAGAATGTGTGCATGGTTCATGTAAAATATGCACTCAAAGTGGTAGTCTCAGGAAATGGTGTGCATGTGTGTGAAGGGGTTACATACGTGTTTGTGGAGGTGGAAAGTAAGGGAACGGGGCAGCTTAGATGTTAGAGACTAAAACTGCCTCCACAAGGTTGTCAAGAATTGCATGCAAGGTTCTGGACAGAAATGTAGACATAACTAAGCACTAACCAGGCTGCACTTTGGCCTACTTCCTTATTGTTAGAAGTCATATATCAGTAGATACTGACCATTTTCATCTCCACTGTTCCTATAGATAGGATTTCTGACATGAAAAGCTAAGACTATTTAAGAATTGATTTGCAGCCAGACATGGCAGCTTATGCCTATAATCCCAACACTTTGGGAGGCTGAGGTGGGAAGACAGCTTGAGCCCAGAAGTTTGAGACCAGCCTGCTTGAGCCCAGAAGTTTGAGACCAGCCTGGGTAACACAGTAAGACCCCATCCCTATAAAAATTTTTTTAAAAAATAGCTAGGCATGGTGGCATGCATCTGTAGTCCTAGCTACTTGAGAGGCTGAGGCAGGAGGATTGCTGGAGCTGGAGAGGTTGAGACTGCAATGAGCTATGATTACACCACTGCACTCTAGCCTGGGTGACGGAGCGAGACCCCTGTGTCCAAAAAAAAAAAAAAATGTATATATATATAGAGAGAGAGAAAGAGAGACAGACAGACAGAATCTCTGACGTTAGAACCATACAGCTTTTATTTAAGTATTGCTTAAGATGTTTTTCAGACCCTGAATTCCAGCAACCAGTTTGAAGCCCCCCCGCAGAGGAACAGAATTAGCATGAGAATACAGCTTCTTCCTCTCTCTGTCCCATGACTTCACCCTGCACTCTTTGATTAATCAATGATCTCCACACTGTGGCCCACTCCAAAACTCTTAAAAACCCTAACTTCAAATTCCTCAGGGAGATTGATTTGAGGTTTTCTCCCATCTTTTAATTCAGTGACCCTACAATTAAACCTCTTTCTCTTCTGCAACCCGAAGTCTTGGCATATTGACCTGCTGTGTGTGTCAGGCCATGAATCTATTGTGGTTACAAGACAATGTCAAAAATCATTCACTCCTTTGGTTGACCCACTGTTCATTTACCTGGGATAGATTTTAGGAAAAGGAAGAGCATGGAAAACAAGAGTAAGAAAATGCCACAGCTGAAAAGAATATTAGCATAGTCACAAGATGTTGCAAATTGTCAAGTCATTTACAGAATGAGACCTGTATTTATGTGGTCTGGCAGCCTCGGTGTGCTTAACACCTTTAGAATCTGAATGCTTTTAGGTTGGGAAGAACTCTCAAGTTTATGAAAGCTTCCAAGCCTTTCTGTTCTCTTAAACCTGGCATACTTCATGTGTATTCCTTGCCTTATCTCTGAGGGCCTTGAGTTAGTGTGATATTGTGATATAATAAAAGATATATATTTTGTCTTTGTCACCAGTTCCTGTCACAGAGCTCTTAAAATCTTTATAATTTCCTGAGTAATAGGGGTAAGTGGAGCATCTTTTGTTATTCATAATGAGCCTATTTCAACCACACCTGAGTTTATGCTAATTAGGTGACTCTTGGTAGGCCCTGAGATAGCTTCAGGATGGGGTATGGTTGCCAGAGGAATAAGCCATGTGATTAGAGGGTTGGAACATTCAGCCCCACACCCCAACCTCCTGGGAGGGGAGAGGGGCTGGAGATTGAGTTCAGTCATCAATAGCCAATGATTTAATCAACCTTGCCAATGTATTGGAACCTCCATAAAGCCCCCAAATGATGGGGTATGGGGAGCTTCTGGGTCAGTGAACACATAGAGGTGCTAGGAGAGTGGTGGGCCTGGAGAGGGCCTAAATGCTCCACGCCCCTCCCCTATACCATGGCCTATGCAGCTCTTCCACCTGGCTGTTCTTGAGTTTTATCCTTCATAATAAATTGGTAATAGTAAGTGAAGTGTCTTCCTGAGTTATGTGGGCCATTCTAGCAAATTATCAAATTTGAGAAGGGAGTCATGAGATTTATAGCAGAAATTGTCTTTTCAAAAATTACAACAGTGAGAGAAATTTAACCTAACTGTCTCTATCTTGATTCTAAACTCATAAGCTAACTGCCTTTGTTAACCTTAAAAAAACGTTGATAACAGTCCCTTCCTACAACTAACCAATCCTTGCTTGGGGACAAAGACCACCTTTTTAGGACTAATGAAAGCTCAAAAGATTGGGATTGTGCGACGGGCCTGAATTCTGCTAAGATAACATTACTATTGTCAAAACCTAAGATTGGTCTTTGAAATATTTTTCAGACGTTTGCATTCTGGTAACCAGCTGACCCCAGGACCCATGACCCATACTAAGAAACTGATTCAACTGGTCCTATGACTCTATCTAGGAACTGACTCAGTGCAAGAAGACAGCTTCAACTCTCTATGATTTCATTTCTGACCCAACCAATCAGCATTCCTCACTCCCTAGCCCCCTGCCCACCAAACTATCTTTGAAAAACCACAGTCTCTGAATATTTGGAGAGGATGACTTGAATAATTACTCCCATCCTTTCTCTTGGCTAGCCCTCTGATTATTAAATCCTTTATTTGCTGCAATACTGCTGTCTCAGTGAATTGGTTTTATCTATGCAGCTAGCAAGATGAACCCATTGGGTAATAACATAGAGAGTCAGTCAGAAGTACAGGAGGCTGGGGACTTGCCATTGGTGTCTGAAGTGGGGACAGACTTATGGGCCTGAGTCCTTACCTTGTGGGGTCTGCACTAATTCTGGATAGTGTCTGAACTGAACTGGATTGTAGGACATCTAGTTGGCTTCTGGAGGGTTGGAGAACTGGTTGTTTGGTGTGGAAAAACACTGACACATTTAGTGTCAGAGTTGTAAATGAAAACAGCAGAGTTAGTGACCCCAAAAGATCTCCATATTTCAATGAGGAGATAAAGGCCTGTGGGAGTTGAGAGTCAATCTTTCCAACACCATGTAGCTAGTTGTGGCAGTTAGTGGTAGAACCTATATTCCCTAATTCCTAGCTCAAAGAACAACAGCTGCTGTTCATTTTTTTTTCTAGACAATATTCTAAATCCTATCTGTGTATTATTTTAATTCTTAGAACAACCTTAGGAGGCAAGTCCTGATTATTATCTCCATTTTATGGGCAGGGATATGGAAACTTAGAGAAGTGAAGGAAGTTGCCTAGGGTCACTCCGTGATGAAACCTGTTGGAAAAATGCTCATGTTTCCTAAACAGGGTGTTTTGGAGCAGACATTGGGTGGCTTTATTCCTGTTTTTTGGAGGATTGTTTTGAAGAGGCCAGATTCAGCAAAATAGCAGGTTTTCTGCTCATGTGGAAAACTAGGTGGAAGAGTTGCTCAAATTGAAAAATTCAGTAAGGCTGCTATCTTTGTTCAAATTGACTGTGAGAGCTGTATAATGCTTCAAATCTGCCTGATATTTTAAGTAGATCATAAACTTTAATGGGTATATTTACTAGAATTTGAAAAATTATCCTTTAAATTTATTATTGTAGATCCTTTAAATCTGTTATTATGATTATTTTAATTGTAATTAAAAATTCTAGTTTGATTTTTGCATCTTGAGGTGGCTTGGGACATTTACTTTACCATTGGGTTTGCCATATTCTCATTTCTTTTTCTTCAGTGACAGCCTAGGCTGATTTTAGATTTTAAATAGAGAGAAGTGATGGAATAATTTCTGGAATATTTTTAAAAAGGGCTTTGTTGAATTTGTAACTCAGATGAATATATAAATGGTCCTCACTTTATATAATAGATGAATCTTAAGAGGCTGTAATTATATCTTTTTCAGGGGGGCACTGAATCAAATTTCACAATGTTAGTATGAGACCTATGAGAAAGATTGGGATCAATGAATACTTTTGTAAAACAAAGAATCATTTTGAAATACCAATAGTCACACACCAGCACATCTATTTTACCAGTAACAATTTTTAGCACAGTACATTAAAAAAAAAAAATCACACCACAAAGAAGTTTTTAAACATTAAAATTTTTCCTAGACAACGCTATAATATACAACCAAAACATCCTAAATGTTGATATTAGTGTGTAATATTTATAGTAACTGAAGCAGCAAAAGAAATGTACATTTGGGATTGGTTTCCCTGGACTGATAGATAATAGTGAAGAAGTATTGATTTTTCACTTGTCCATTTCTTTTTCATTCTTCACCACATGCTTCAAAGAGGTCAGCTCTGAGCCACTTACTCTTTCACACCAAAAATTAGATCTTTGAAACACAGGAGAAGCTCTCACTTTCTCCCCTTTTCTCTGAGATAAAACAATGAAGGGCTAAAACCTTTGGCGAGTCGTAGAATCCTTTGTTTCTTCCATGCTTTGTGAAATGAAGAAAGTATGTATAGTTCATAGCAGAGAAAGCAAGCTCTGCAGAGATATTTAGACTCTACTGAAAAGTTAAGGAGATCGGAATTTGATACGAATGCCATCTTCTTGTCACCTAGTACTTTGACGTGGTTAACACAACTTCCTCCATAGCATCTCTGGGCTTTCAATGGCCCTCTCAAATGTACAGAGCCACTTAAACTTGGGGTGTGGGTTGTGGATGCTACACTTTGGTGATATGTGGGGCTTGTAGGATGGCTTATTGAAGTAGATTCAGATATGGGGGCCTGCATTCTCATCCAAGCTGAGTGACCCTGAATGACTCATTCGCGGCTCCAATTTTCCATGAATATTAACAATACCTGCTCTACCCATGTCAGGAGGCTCTTTGAGGCATCAAATGAGAAAACACATGAAATGGCTTTCAGCAATACAGACAATACAGCAGAAGAAGTGGAAAATGTGAGTAAATGGTATTGGGCCCCATGGTTGGGCTACCTCAGGTGCTGGAAATCTGAGTGCAAAGGTTGAGAATTTCCTCCTTGCCACAGTCTTCAGAGCCTTGCACTCCCACAGCAGGGTGAGGGGACACAGAAACAGCAATGGGGTTCCCAGGAGAAGGGAAGGGAGCCCTGAAGGCAAAAGTGATAGGGCAGGAGGCTGTCTCTGTCTGCCATTCTTTCTCCTTCCTTAGCTAGTCTTCAAGGAGAAAGACCTCACTTAATACTTAGAACTGGAGGATGAGAGAATGAGCCATTCTTTACATGGACACAACCATTTCTCCCAAATGTCTTTTGGCCATGGCATTCTTGCCATAGCCCCAAATTAATTAGGGCTACCAAGTATACATATTAATCTTCTCTCCCCTCTTTCTTTCCTTTCTTCTCTGCCTCTTTCTTTTTTTAAAAAAATAGCAATGACAACAAATCATTCTTTGTATTGATTAGTTTGTTTTTTAAGAAACTTTTTCTTTTTAAATACTTATGGGAGACGTGATATTCTGATACAAGTATTGAGTGTGTAATGATCAAATCAACATAACTGGGGCATCTGTCACCTCAAGCATTTATCATTCCTTTGTGTTTGGAATATTCCACTTCCACTCTTTTAGTTATTTTGAAATACATAATAAATTATTGTTAACTATACTTGCCCTATTGTGCTACTCAGCACTAGATCTTATTCCTTCTCTTTAACTGTATTTTTATACCTATTAACCATCTCCCTCCTTTCCCCTGATTATTCTTCCCAGTGTCTAGTAACCATTATTCTCTCTGTCTCCATGAGTTGCAACTGCCTCTTTCTTTGTCATATCTGGTTCTAATGTTTTCTTCCTTATTTAAGATTTTTATTGTGCAATATAATGTGCAGTGAGAAAAAGAAAACTCTCCCTTAAACCAGCTAAGTGGATATACTACTGCTACACGCCAGGACTCCCAATCTGCCCCTTCCAAAGCACAGGCCCCTTTTCTTCCCTAGAAGTAAACTTATCCTATCCTTTATCATAATATTATTTTTAAAAATGTATTTCCCACTTTTATTATGCATCCCTAAAGAGTAAAGTTTAATTTCCCCTGTTTTTCAATTTTATGTAAATGGACTATTACTGTATGTATTTTGTGTCTTTTTCCTCCTCAACATTAAGCTTGTGGTCTGTAATCCTATTGTCGTATGTGGTTACCGCTGATTTATTTTATTACTATATAGTAGTCATTGTATGACTATACCACAATGCACATAGCTATCCTACTATTAAAGGACATTTGAGTTGTTTTCTGGCTCTGAATATTAAAAACAATGTTGTGATGAATGGACCAGAATTGCTGGGTCATAGGAGATTATGTCAAAACTGTTTTACAAAGTGGTTGTACCAGTTTATATTCTCACCACACATGACATACAGAAGATTCTATAAAACCACTTTCTTGACAATACTTGGTATGGTCAGACTTAAAAATTGTTGCCGAGGTATTGACTGTAGAATAATATGTTACAGTGGTTTAATTTGCATTTTGTGATTTCTGGCTCATTGTATTAAATAGTAACTATCCCAAACCTTTTCAGCCTTATCACTCTCCAGTCCTCTTCTCAATTCCTGGGTTCCAGCCTGCTTACAGCCCCCACGCTGCCTGGGCCTGTGCACATACCGCTCCCTGTCTCTGTCTCCCTCCTGTCTGGCTCACTTCCTCTCTGTCAGGTCTGCCCTCAGATGTTGTGATTTGGCCCTTCCAACCCCCACATGTGTCCCCACAGCATGACTGTTGACCCCCATCACGATGTACTGCAATTGCCAGCTGGTCCAGCTTTATTTCGCACTAGGCTGTGAGGTCTCTGAGGGAGAGGTCATACCTCATTCTTCATTTATCTCCAACTCATAGCATATGACCCAGCTCACAGTGGGTGCCGAATAAATATTTGTATAATGTCACAACTTGAATGACCCATTAAAGTGATGACACATTAAATTCTAAGTGGAGCTGGATTCCAACCAAAATGAAAATGTGCTATAAATGGTTGAATTGAAGAACCTAACCTGAGTATAACTTTTTATGACAGTATGGCCCTGCTAAACTATTAGTGACTTTAAGTCTCCCTTCGTATTGACTTTTGAGCTGAAAAGGAACCTAGAGATTGCATGATATAATACCTGTCCTTTGTCATCTTACACGTAAGGAACTAGAGGACCAGAGAGGTTGACATGACTGTGGTCACATAGAGGGATGGAGCTGAGATTCCCACTCTCATCCCCTAAGTACATCTCTTTCATCTAATTAGAAATGACTTGTTGTCAGTTATGGGAAAAATGGTTTTGAATCTTAAATAATATAGTGTACATGCAAAGGAATTCATAAGGTATTGCAAACTTTTAATATCTGGATGTGACTACTAATGATAAGCTATATGAGAATAGGAGCCACAAATTGTAAGGCTTTAAACAACCTCTGAAGTATCCGGGTTCACTATGAACAGACATGGTTGTTGCAAAATCATTTGTCTGAAGGGCTGGGCTGTGAGCTCTAGACCAGGCTGCAATAGCTCCTGAAAGTGGCTCTTGGGTCACTGGGCCATTATTAAGGTTTCTGTCCATCTCCAGAGTACACTGCTGCCACTACTGGCTGCTGGAGTGAGGTGTGGTGGCCTGGGGAGGAGCCATCCTAAGCCCCCCTGACTATGGTGGCCCCTGAGCTGGGGCTTCCTGCTATAACTCTACCTTGCAGGTGACCTCATTTCTCACTCTCAAAACACACACAAAAAAATTGTGATGATATGAAAAGAAAAATGCACCTCAGTTGGACACTGGGATCAGGGGTGGGTGACTCAGAATGATGCCTGTCAGCTCCTATGACAAGTTCATTCTTGTCATTCAATTAGGGAGATTTCAAGCAGAAAGGAGTGTTCTAAATTATTAACTGAAAACTCAAGCACAGCTGAGCCCCTCAAACATGTTCCTTTACAGTCTTATTGAAATTCATATTTCTTTCCAACGAGATATTGTCCAGCCATCTTAACCCCAGGGAAAATGACTGAACAAGAATCTAAGGGGGAAGCTGACTTAGAAAATGCCAGGGGGTCTTTAGTTGTAGTAGAATATTATATTAGGAGTGCATTGAAACCATGCAATAATCAAGATGTGGCTTTAGTTACCTGCTGGCACTTCGACATTAGACACACTATTCTGCTAATTACTTCAATTGAGCACTACCTACTTGACTTTTTGACTTCCTTGACTTAGAATGTTTGAGATGGAGTGTTTTCCCTTCTAGTATCTACCTGTATCCTACAGCAAGCAGAGAAAGACACCGTAACCCAGAAACAATGCAAGGAGATATACTTTTTTCCCCAAGGGCAACAAAAAATTGGTGTGGATATAGTTTTGTTTTTTTTTAAAACAAACCATTATACTGTTTCATCCTTTGATTCAAGGCATTCTTGTTCTTGGAGATGGTCAGTAAAAACTAACAAGTACCACATCAATGTAGTAATAATATAGTATTAAGTAATAATGATTATTATGATATATAATAGAGATTGGATACACAAATTGCATTAAATGAAAAGAGTTTTTTTTTTTTTTTTTTTTTTTTTTTTGGGACGGAGTCTCGCTCTGTCGCCCAGGCTGGAGTGCAGTAGTGCAATCTTGGCTCACTGCAAGCTCTGCCTCCCGGGTTCATGCCATTCTCCTGCCTCAGCCTCCTGAGTAGCTGGGACTACAGGTGCCCACCACCAGGCCCGGCTAATTGTTTGTATTTTTAGTAGAGACGGGGTTTCACCGTGTTAGCCAGGGTGGTCTCAATCTCCTGACCTCGTGATCCGCCCGCCTCGGCCTCCCAAAGTGCTGGGATTACAGGCGTGAGCCACTGCGCCTGGCCGAAGAGAGTTTTTAAATAATTCCACCTCCTAGGTTGCATTTTGTTCAGGGCTTTAGAGTTTTATATTAAATCCAAATGATTGAGTTCCTCTCTACCTTCCTTGGATACCGCTTCTTGTGACTTAATGGGAACACCACACCATGTAGTCATTGGCATGATAGCCTTTGCCAGTGTTATCCAATGGTTCTTTCTAAGAGAGTAAATATACAGCAGAAGAACTGAGGTCTTTTTTTTTTTTCATTTTAGGGCACCCTTTTGATATTACTGTTACACCGAAACCCTTCCTCCTCTCTTGACCTGACCCTCGATGTTCGGTCTTGCTTTTCAGCATGCATATCCCTTTGCAAACCAGTTGGAATTTGGCCTGGAAAAAAGACATATGGGCCTGCATGAGGTTATAAAACCTGGCTTGGAAATCCGCAGCTTCTTATAAAAACACTATTTTTTTAAAAAACAAATGTACCATTTTAAGGAAGATGGTTACCAAGCAACCTGATTTAAATTATTATGAGAGACGGAAGAAATTCTTCCATTAGGTCTGTTTTTACTTAGGTCAAAAAGTTTTTTTGCCTGTCTTGGTTTGAATCTATTTTTCTGTCTTTCTTTTTAAAACACATGATCCTGTGTGGCCAGCTAAATATTGGATACTAGACTAGGAGGGTCCTGTGAACACAAATGGAGAATTATCCTACACACCATGCCCTTAAGAAGCTAAGGCAGAGAATCTTAGGACTCTTTGGGGCTGTAACAGAAACCCACTCAAACTGCTGAATTGCAAAGAGGGAATTTAATAAGAGTGTAGAAATCTAAGGCTGGGAATGCATTTGAGCCTCATGGGGGCAGAGTCCAGATCTTGAGGGATAGGAGAAACCAGGGCAGCCCTGTTCTCAGGCTTCATATTTCTCTCTACTCAATTGCTTCATCATTCATTCTTTGTGAATTGGCTGTTCTGATTCCCCATGAATGTGATGAAAAAAGCCACCCAAGCTGTCTGTAGTGAATTCTTATAATTTTATGTTGCCTCAGCATCCATTTTGAATATATTTACCCTTCTTATGCCAGAAGCAGGGCTCGGTCACCCTTGACACAGCTTCCAGTTCTCCACTACATCCAAATGGCTTAAGCGGGTGGCCAGAGACAAGAACTTAGAGGCATCTCTCCTGCCTAGAAGGCTGGGCTCCTTGTTTTACTGCTGCTTCCTTAAAAAGACCATTCAGGCATTTGCATGCAAACTTAAGGCTATCCTCACCCTATTATTCCCTTACATACATTGCTTGTTGTTCTGTGCTTCCCTCTCTCTGCCTTTTTATTCCTGTCTCACAGGACACTGGGGACCAAGGACTGCCCTCCCGACTTATTATACCCTACCTTCCCAGGATGAGCACATACAAATCCTTGACCTTATTTCCTATTGTGGTGGTGGAGTGAATGGTTGCCTTCCATCTGAAGAACCAGGGGCTGTCCCTGGCCAGTTTCCTCAAGGCTCTGGGCTGAACACAAGGTCAGGCTCCCAGGGTCAGAGAGAGAGTCAGGCAGGCATAAAATGGACACAGCTCAGGTAAGAGCCACGAGGGAGCCTTGCCGGTATAAACAAGTTTCCCATGTGAAGGACTCCCTGGTTGCAGGTCAGACAACTAGGCATTAGGTCATCTGCCAGGTAAAAGAAGCATCCCACGAAGGCATACTATAAACACTGACATCCCATTAGGGCAGAGTTGCTAGCTGCTCTGGTACTGAAACCCCAATTTAGCTGGGGGCTCTTAAAATACCCTTTAAATATCTTTTAAAAAATTACTGTGGCCAGATGCAGTGGCTCACGTCTGTAATCCTAACACTTTGGGAGGCTGAGGCAGAGGATTGCTTGAACCCAGGAGTTCAAGACCAGCCTGGGCAACATAGCCATCTGCCATCTCTGTTGAAAAAAAAAGAAAAATATTAAAATTCTTCGTGATAAAAAAAATAGCATAGCTCTTGCCTGCCACCTTGTAAGACATGCTTTTGCTTCTCCTTTGCCTTCTGCCATGATTGTGAGACTTCCCCAGCCATGTGGAACTGTAAGTCAATTAAACCTCTTTCCTTTATAAATTACCCAGTCTTGGGTATGTCTTTATTAGCAGCATGAGAATAGACTAATACAGTAAGTTGGTACTGGGTAGTGGGGTACTGCTGTAAAAATACTTGAAAATGTGGAAGCGACTTTGGAACTGGGTAACAGGCAGAGGTTGGAACAGTTTAGAGGACTCAGAAGAAGACAGGAAAATGTGGGAAAGTTTAGAACTTCCTAGAGACTTGGAGGGCTCAGAAGACAGGAAGATGTGGGGAAGTTTGGAACTTGCTAGAGACTTACTGAATAGCTTTGACCAAAATGCTGATAGTGATTCGACAATAAAGTCCAGGCTAAGGTGGTTTCAGATGGAGATGAGGAAGTTGTTGGGAACTGGAGTAAAGGTCACTCTTGCTATGCAAAGAGACTGGTAGCATTTATCCCTGCTCTAGAGATCTGTGGAACTTTGAACTTAAGAGAGATGATTTAGGGTATCTGGCAGAAGAAATTTCTAAACAGCAAAGCGTTCAAGAGGAAGCAGAGCATAAAAGTTTGAAAAATTTGCAGCCTGATGATGCAGTAGAAAAGGAAAACCCATTTTCTGGGGAGAAATTCAAGCTGGCAGCAGAAATCTGTGTAAGTAATGAGGAGCCAAATGCTAATTTCCAGGACAATGGTGACAATGTCTCCAGGGCATGTCAGAGATCTTCAAGGCAGCCCCTCCTATCATAGGCCCAGAAGCCTAAGTGGGAAAAATGGTTTCCTGGGCTGGGTCCAGGACCCGCCTTCTGTGTACAGCCTTGGGAATTGATGCCCTGAATCCCAGCTGCTTCAGCTCCAGCTCCAGCTGTGGCTAAAAGGGGCTAAGGTACAGCTTAGGCCATGGCTTTAGAGGGTACAAGCCCTGAGCCTTGGCAGTTTCCACGTGGTGTTGAGCCTGCAGGTGCACAGAAATCAAGAATTGAGTTTGGGTTTGATATGCAAATACCAGCCATTAGAAACCGGGTCCACCCAAACATGGTGATTACCACTGCCTTCTTGCCCTTGCCCCACATGTGCCTGGCAACATGGCCACCCCCACATATCCCCATGTGTATAGAACATCATGGCACCCTGTATTTGCATATTAAAAGGCTAGGGTGGGAGGGCCAGCTTTTTTGTGGGCTATGTGAATGACATGCCTGGTTAAACCAATCCCTTGAGCCCTGTATAAATCAGACACCACCTCCTGCAGCCTCTACGTATACCAGGCTGGTTTCTACCCCACTTGGGGTTTCCTCTTTTGGCTTTGGAGCCCCCCCCTCCTCTGTCTCTGTATGGGGGAGCCTATTCCTTCTGTCTTCTCTTTTCTTTCTTGCCTGTTAAACTCTCTGCTCCTTAAAACCACAAAAAAAGAAAAAAAAAAAAGAATTGAGGTTTGGGAACCTCTGCCTAGATTTCAGAGTATGTATGAAAACACCTAGATGTCCAGGCAGAAGTCTTCTGGATAGGCCTAAGAGAGGAGACCACCCCTCATATTGTCTTATGCTGCTCAATTTCTGCCTCCAGAGAAAGAAGAAGTAAAAACTAAAAGGCAGAAATGGAATCTGCAGGCAGATAGCCCAGCACCACGCCCTGGGCCTGGTAGTTAAAAATCAACCCCTGACCTAACTGCTTGTGTTATCTATAGATTCCAGACATTGTATGGAAAAGCACTGTGAAAAGCCCTGTCCTGTTCAGTTCCGTTTTGATTACCGGTGCATGCAGCCCTCAGTCACGTACCCCCTGCTTGCTCAATCACGACCCTCTCACTTGGACCCCCTTAGAGTTGTAAGCCCTTAAAAGGGACAGGAATTGCTCATTCGGGGAGCTCGGTTTTTGGAGATGTGAGCCTGCCAATGCTCCCAGCTGAATAAAGCCCTTTCCTTCTACAACTTGGTGTGTGAGTGGTTCTTGTCTGCAGCTCATTCTGCTACAGGCCGAGCTCTCATAGAGAACTGCTACAAGAGCAGTGCGGAAGGGAAATGTGGAGTCAGAGCCCCCACACAGAGCCCCCACTGGGGCACTGCTTAGTGGAGCTGTGAGAAGAGGCCACCATCCTCCAGACCCCAGAATGGCAGATCCACCAACAGCTTGCACGGTGCACCTGGACAAGCTGCAGACACTCAACACCAGCCCATGAAAGCAGCCAGGAGGAGGGCCATACCCTGCAAAGCCACAGGGACGGAAATGCTGAAGGCCCTGGATGCCCACCTCTTCCATCAGCATGAACCGGATGTGAGACATGGAGTCAAAGGAGGTCATTTTGGAGCTTTAAGGTTTAATGACTGCCCTACTGGATTTTGGACTTGCGTGGGGCCTGTAGCCCCTTTGTTTTGGCCAATTTCTCCCATATGGAGTGGGTGTATGTACCCAATCCCTGTACTCCTATTGTATCTTGGAAGTAACTAACTTGCTTTTGATTTTACAGGCTCATAGGTGGAAGGAAATTGCCTTGTCTCAGATGAGACTTTGGACTGTGGACTTTTGAGCTAACGCTGCAATGAGTTAAGACTTTGGGGGACTGTTGGGAAGGCATGATTGGTTTTGAAATGTGAGAACATGAGATTTGGGAGGAGCCAGGGGTGGAATGATATGGTTTGGCTGTGTTCCCACCCAAATCTCACCTTTAATTGTAATAATCCCCATGTGTCAAGAGCAAGGTTAGGTGGAGATAACTGAATCATGGGGTGGTTTCCCCCATACTGTTCTTGTGGTAGTGAATAAGTCTCACGAGATCTGACGGTTTTATAAATGTGAGCTCCCCTGCACAAGTCCTCTTGCCTGCCACCATGTAAGACATGCCTTTGCTTCTCCTTTGCCTTCCACCATGATTCTGAGGCCTCCCCAGCCATGTGGATCTGTGAGTCAATGAAACCTCTTTCCTTTATAAATTAAAAGAAAAATACACAGCATAAAATTATCACTTTAGTATCTACAATTTAGAGGCATTAAATACATTCACAGTATTGTACAACTATCACCATTATCTAATTCCAGAACTTTATTTTCACCCAAATCAGAAACCCTCTAATTATTAAATAACAGTCACTCCCCTTTCCCATCTCCCCTCAGCCCCTGGTAACCAGAAATCTATTTTTTGTCTCTACAGATTTGTATAGATTGGATATTTTATGTAAATGGTACCATATAATATGTTGCCTTTTGTGTCTGACTTCTTTCACTTAGCATAATGTTTTTGATGTTCATCCATATTGTAGTGTGTATCAGCACTTTATTCCTCTTTATGGCTGAATTATTTTCCATCTCGTGGGTATACCATATTTTGTTTATTTTTCCATTGACGGACATTGGGTTGGTTATACTTTTTGGCTATTATAAATAAAGTTGCTATGAATATTCGTGTACATGTTTTTATTTAAACACCTGTTTTCAGTTCTTTTGGATACGTATCAAGGAATAGAATTGCAGGATTGTATAGTAATTCTATGTTTAACTTCTTGAGGAACTACAAAATTGTTTTCCAGTAGTGCACCATTTTACATTGCCATTGGCAACATAAGAGGGTATTAATGTATCTACCATTTTTACAACAATTATTATTTTCCTTTTTTTTATTATGGCCATTCTAGTGATTGTGAAGTAGTATCTTATTGTGGTTTTGATTTGCATTGCCCTGTTGACGAATGATGTTGAGCCTCTTTTCATGTACTTTGTATATCTTCTTTGAGGAAATATCTAGTCAAATCCTTTGTTCATTTCTTACTTGAATTGTTTGTCTTTTGTTGTTGAGTTGTAGTAGTTCTTTGTATATTCTGCATACTGGGCCTTTATAAGATATATGGCTTGAAGCTATTTGCTTTCATACTGTGGGTTGTCTTTTCAGTCTTGATAGTGTCTTTTGATTCTAAATACCTTTTAAGTTTGAGAACCAACAGAAACTCATTTGCTTTTCCAGGTCCCTATTCTGATTGTGAAAGAGAAAACTGGCATTGCCTAACTGGAGGCAGATGTCCAGTCATGGCCAAGTTATCTATGGTCAAGAGTATGGGATTATGCAGCACAAATAAGGCTTCTGGGCCCACCTCTGCTGGTGGCAGAGCTGGTTCTCAGAGAATGGACAAAAATGCACCAACACCTACAGGAGAAAGTATGATGGCAAGGAACCATGCATGGTTCAGGGTTTTAGCAAATGAAAAGGGTTGTTCATGGTAGAGGCAAGAAAAGGTGATACAGGACTTCAAAGAAAAGATGCTTGACTTTCAACTGAAGGATCAAGAAAAATTTCCCTGGAGTTGACATCTAACTGGCTGACATGGATTGAAAAGATTTGTTCATACCAGGATAGAAAGAAGGGTATTAGTCCAGACAGGAGGCAAGGCAGGATTCAAGGTCCAAGTGGAAGCCACATTTGCTGGAGGCTCAGATTTAAGAGTGTACCTGAGAGATAGGATAATTGCAACCATGAGCATTAGTGATTTTGCAGAGAGGAAACAGAATCAAAAAATGGAATGAGGCCACACAAGACAAGTCTCAGTGAGGTGTGAAAAGATTTGAATAAAAATGAGAGATGGAATCATGCAGAATGCCTACTTTTCAAGTTCAACTTTTCCCCTATGGCCATGGGGTCTTTCCTCTTATATTTACTTTTGTTTATATCTTTTCTGCCTGGAAACTCTTCCTAGACTTATCAAGCTCTGTGTTCTCTCTTCTCTCTGAGCTCATAGAATGCCTTTCCTTAAGATTCATGTGGTCATTAGCCTTGTATTACTAGTGCAACTCTTCATGTTATTACTCATTCTTCCTTGTTGATTCTTTTATTCTTGACTCCTTAGCTAGAAGATGAGTTCTTAGAGGGTTAAATGACATCTGTGTTCTCTGACATAGTGTTTTTCATAAAATAATGCTCAATATTTTTTGATGTGTTGTGAATAAAAAGTTCTAATAAAAATTGGAATAACTTCATAAGCTCCTTATAAGTAGGCTTCTTTAAGCTTTTTTGTTCTGTACTATTAATTTTGTCTCTTTTTTTTTTGAGACAGAGTCTCACTTTGTTGCCTAGCCTGGAGTGCAGTGGTGCGATCTCAGCTCACTACAGCCTCTGCCTCCCAGGTTCAAGTGATTCTCCCACCTCTGCCTCCTGAGTAGCTGGGATTACAGGCACGTGCCACCATGCCCAGCTAATTTTTGTATTTTTAGTAGAAACTGGGCTTCACCACACTGGCCAGGCTGGTCTCGAACTCCTGACCTCAAGTGATCCATCTGCCTCTGCCTCTGCCTCCTAAAGTTCTGGGATTACAGGTGTGAGCCACCATGCCTGGCTAATTTTGTCTCTTTATGTCTTACATGAAACAGTTCTTGTGTCGACATAGATGGGGTCAAGTTATCTATGGCATAATCTTTTCTATAAGCCCATTCATTCATTACCATTAATGATTTTTCTCCTAAGATTATGAAGAGACTAGAGAGATATGACAAAAAGTGTCAAGGCTTTCTCAAAAAGAAAACAGCATTTTCAATCTGAAAGATCATTAGCAATACAATGATTAAAAGTAAAACTTGAAACTTGAGATAATGTATCATTACTGCTCTGAGAGGTCTAAGATAACAAATTTAAAAATTTGTCTAAAATAATTGCAGGAGTACGATTCTTATTATCTGCTTTTATGAGAGAAACAAAGGAAATTGGTATTCTTCTTGAGGTAGATATAATTTGTGTGTATCTGGAAATTAATGATATTACAAGATATAATTGCAGAATGTCTTAATTTCATCATGTAATTATCTTCTTCCAGCAATATAGTATATTAGCGCAGTAAAAAATTGAATCTGTGAAGTTCAACACAGACAAAAGATTTACTAAGATTGTTTTTCCCTTATGAGAAGGTGAACAATCAAAGACAGCAAAATACAAAGATGATCTTGTTACCAAGCCAAAAACTCAAGCAAACAAAAATCTATCATAAAATGTCAAAAAGCTTACTGTTTTGCTTCAGCATTTCTCTCTCTTAGTCATTTACCATTTATATGGTCATTTGGGTTCAGTTGCTAAACTCCTAGAGAAATTATGAGAAAAGCAAAAGACAGGAAATAGTGACAAAAAGAGAATTATGCTGAAGTTTTTTATGTCACCTGAAGTGGTTATTCCTAATGGTAAACCTGTTCATGAATAGTGAGTTATTCTGGTCTTCTATTTCCTCTATTTTGGGATGGATGCTAGATAGCATTTCCTAAGGCATCGCATGCATCATAAATGCTGGGGAGGCTCTTAGGCCTCCAAGATGACATTATTGAAAATGGACATTTCAAGGTTCAGAGATAGTTTAC
The DNA here is from genome assembly GCF_000001405.40 of Homo sapiens. Lineage (NCBI taxonomy): Eukaryota > Metazoa > Chordata > Mammalia > Primates > Hominidae > Homo > Homo sapiens. The sequence continues at coordinate 200,120,556 of NC_000002.12, read as the reverse complement.
TAGAAAAAGCAGGGGGTAAAGAGTCCAAAGATCCAAGTTACACTTTGAGTTATTTTACTAAATAACCGTGTGGCATGGGAAATTCAATAAACTTCATTGAGTTACCTGTCTCCTCACCTTTGAAATGAGGGAGGCATGTTACATCAAGGATGGTGTTCTGCGTGAACAGTTCATGCAAACCTACTCCTAAAGGCCAAGGAAGCTGAGAGGCCGAAGAAAGAGGCTGACAAATTCAGTTTCTCAGAAAGAAACATTTTATAGGAATTTATAAACAGAAGCCATGTCTTGGGCAGGCACGAGGTGAGATGGTGGATCCCTTCCCTTTTACCCACCAGACCCAAAGCTTACATATCATAGGGAATTTGCTTAAGGACAGGGTTTATGGTAAGCGTGTGTTTATGATAAAATCAAGATTGTTTTGACTTAAAGGCAGAATTTACAGTAAGTACATGACAATAGAACTCTTAGAGGCTTTCCTAGAACTGGGGTTAATCAGAAGTCAACATGGTAGGTTAGCATCCAAGATGGAGTTGCTTTAGCCTCCTCAGATGGCAAGTAAGTTTCATCTGAAATGCCAACCTTTTGACATGTAGTAGCTTTCTGGAGCACTGTGCTGAGAAGGATTCTGAAGCTGTTTCTGGGCTCACTGGAAAAGTCTTGTGCTTGGTCAGCAACATTGGCCATTAAGCATAGGGGATGCAGAATGGCTACCTCCCTGCTATGAGCTCGTCAGTTCTGAGACTATGACTGGAAGATGTGCCTGAAAAGACCTACTTTATGGCTGCAGAGGCTTGTTTGTTACTCACAGGTCTATAGTTTAAAGGACTTATATGTAGCTTTGTTTTGTGACCTCCAGGTCTGTCCAACATCTTATTTTCTTTTCTGATTATGAGGCTGAGGTGTTGGCTGCTGCTGTTTGCTGGAAGCCTACAGTGGCAGCACCTCATGGGAACATACGCTCCAGGGTGTTTTCAATGTAATCCTTCTGCCTGCCTTTTATTAGTAATTTAATTCAACAAATATTGTATGTGCTAGGCAGTCTGCTAATAGGCTGTGGTTGCCCTGCAGCTGTTTGGGAATCCATCCTCCACAAACCTACTGCCCACAAGAGCTGTAGCAATGGTTCTGGGGCTGAGAGGTGAAGGACTCTTCAGGGCAGTTTACAAGTCATTGGTTTGGCCAGTTCTTTTGTTAGCGAGGAACTAAGGGTCAGTCAAGGCCACTCTCTGGGAAGGGGGCAGGGATTAAAAGGCATGGAATAAAGAATCTAACAGAGCTCAAGTCAAAACTTAAAAGCAGGCTGAACTTCTCAGAGTCTAGAATTTAAGGGATGACAAAGTCCTCAGATTCTCTTGCCCACAATTCTCAGCGCCTTTCCTTGCCCCAGATCTGTGTTGGTGAATAAGCCAGCCAAACAGAGCCACCCTGACTTTTATCCTGAGATGAGTTGGTCAGCAGTGATTTTGTTAGCTGCGGTGAATCTGTAGTGGTCTGCAGCAACTTGATTCTTGCCTCCTTGGAGGAAAAAATTCAGCAGAGAGGCATAAGGCAGAGTGAGAGGACAAGGCAAGTTTTAGAGCATGAGGAAAAGTTTATTAAAAAGGTTTAGAGGGTCCATTCCAAGATGGCCAAATAGGAACAGCTCCAGTGCGCAGCTCCCAGCGTGATCAATGCAGAAGATGGGTGATTTCTGCATTTCCAACTGAACCTCTACTGGTGATACCCAGGCAAACAGGGTCTGGCGTGGACCTCCAGCAAACTCCAGCAGACCTGCAGCTAAAGGACCTGACTGTTAGAAGGAAAACTAAGAAACAGAAAGGAATAGCATTAACATCAACAAAAAGGACATCCACAACAAAACCCCATCTGTAGGTCACCATCATCAAAGACCAAAGGTAGATAAAACCACAAAGATGGGAAGAAACCAGAGCAGAAAAGCTGAAAATTCTAAAAACTGAGTGCCTCTTCTCCTCCAAAGGATCACAGCTCCTCGCCAGCAATGGAACAAAGCTGGACAGAGAATGACTTTGACAAGTTGACAGAAGTAGTCTTCAGAAAGTCGGTAATAACAGATTTCCCTGAGCTAAAGGAGGATGTTCGAACCCATCGCAAGGAAGCTAAAAACCTTGAAAAAAGATTAGACGAATGGCTAACTAGAATAAACAGTGTAGAGAAGACCTTAAATGACCTGATGGTGCTGAAAACCATGGCAGGAGAACTACATGACACATGCACAAGCTTCAGTAGCTGATTCAATCAAGTGGAAGAAAGGGTATCAGTGATTGAAGATCAAATTAATGAAATGAAGCGAGAAGAGAAGTTTAGAGAAAAAAGAGTAAAAAGAAACAAACAAAGCCTCCAAGAAACTACGTGACTCCAAGGGACTATGTGAAAAGACCAAATCTACGCTTGATTGGTGTACCTGAAAGTGACGGGGAGAATGGAACCAAGCTGGAAAACACTCTTCAGGATATTATCTAGGAGAATTTCCCCAATCTAGCAAGGCAGGCCAACATTCAAATTCAGGAAATACAGAGGACATCACAAAGATACTCCTCGAGAAGAGCAACCCCAAGACACATAATTGTCAGATTCACCAAGGTTGAAATGAAGGAAAAAATGTTAAGGGCAGCCAGAGAGAAAGGTTGGGTCACCCACAAAGGGAAGCCCATCAGACTAACAGCGGATCTCTTGGCAGAAACTCTACAAGCCAGAAGAGAGTGGGGGCCAATATTCAACATTCTTAAAGAAAAGAATTTTCAACCCAGAATTTCATATCCAGCCAAACTAAGCTTCATAAGTGAAGGAAAAATAAAATCCTTTACAGACCAGCAAATGCTGAGAGATTTTGTCATCACCAGGCCTGCCTTACAAGAGCTTCTGAAGGAAGCCCTAAACGTGGAAAGGAACAACTGGTACCAGCCACTGCAAAAACATGCCAAATTGTAAAGACCATCAATGCTAGGAAGAAACTGCATCAGCTAACAGGCAAAATAACCAGCTAACATCATGACAGGCTCAATTTCACACATAACAATGTTAACCTTAAATGTAAATAGGCTAAACACCCCAGTTAAAAGACACAGACTGGCAAATTGGATAAAGAGTCAAGACCCATCAGTGTGCTGTATTCAGGAGACCCATCTCACGTGCAGAGACACACATAGCCTCTAAATAAAGGGATGGAGGAAGATCTACCAAGCAAATGGAAAGCAAAAAAAAGCAGGTGTTGTAATCCTAGTCTCTTATAAAATAGATTTTAAACCAGCAAAGATCAAAAGAGACAAAGAAGGCCATTACATAATGGTAAAGGGATCAATTCAACAAGAAGAGATAACTATCCTAAATTTAAATGCACCCAATACAGGAGCACCCAGATTCATAAAGCAAGTCCTTAGAGACCTACAAAGAAACTTAGACTCCCACACAATAATAATGGGAGACTTTAACACCCCACTGTCAATATTAGACAGATCAATGAGACAGAAGGTTAACAAGGATATCTAGGACTTGAACTCAGCTCTGCACCAAGCAGACCTAATAGACATCTACAGAACTCTCCACCCCAAATCAACAGAAGATACATTCTTCTTAGCACAACACCGCACTTATTCCAAAATTGACCACATAGTTGGAAGCAAAGCACTCCTCAGCAAACGTAAAAGAACAGAAATCACGACAAACTGTCTGCCAGACCACAGTGCAATCAAATTAGAACTCAGGATTAAGAAACTCACTCAAAACTGCACAACTACATGGAAACGGAACAACCTGCTTCTGAATGACTACTGGGTAAATAACGAAATGAAGGCAGACATAAAGATGTTCTTTGAAACCAATGAGAACAAAGATACAATGTACCAGAATCTCTGGGACACATTTAAAGCAGTGTGTAGAGGGAAATTTATAGTACTAAATGCCTGCAAGAGAAAGCAGGAAAGATCTAAAATTGACACCCTAACATCACAATTAAAAGAACTAGAGAAGCAAGAGCAAACACATTCAAAAGCTAGCAGAAGGCAAGAAATAACTAAGATCAGAGCAGAACTGAAGGAGATAGAGACACAAAAAAACCCTTCAAAAAATCAATGAATCCAGGAGCTGGTTTTTCGAAACAATCAAGAAAATTGATAGACTGCTAGCAAGACTAATAAAGAAGAAAAGAGAGAAGAATCAAATAGACACAATAAAAAATGATAAAGGGGATATCACCACCAATCCCACAGAAATACAAACTACCATCAGAGAATACTATAAACACCTCTATGCAAATAAACTAGAAAATCTAGAAGAAATGGATAAATTCCTGGACACATACACCCTCCCAAGACCAATCCAGGAAGAAGTTGAATCTCTGAATAGACCAATAACAGGCTCTGAAATTGAGGCAATAATTAATAGCCTACCAACCAAAAAAAGTCCAGGACCAGATGGATTCACAGCTGAATTCTACCAGAGGTACAAAGAGGAGCTGGTACCATTCCTTCTGAAACTATTCGAATCAATAGAAAAAGAGGGAATCCTCCCTAACTCATTTTATGAGGCCAGCATCATCCTGATACCAAAGCCTGACAGACACACAACAAAAAAAGAGAATTTTAGACTAATATCCCTGATGAATATCAATGTGAAAATCCTCAATAAAATACTGGCAAACCAAATCCAGCAGCACATCAAAAAGCTTATCCAACAAGATCAAGTTGGCTTCATCCCTGGGATGCAAGGCTGGTTCAACATACACAAATCAATAAACATAATCCATCACATAAACAGAACCAAAGACAAAAACCACATGATTATCTCAATAGATGCAGAAAAGGCCTTCGACAAAATTCAACAGCCCTTCATGCTAAAAACTCTTGATAAACTAGGTATTGATGGAACATATCTCAAAATAATAAGAGCCATTTATGACAAACATACAGTTTGTATATATCGTACATACACAGCCAGTATCATACTGAATGGGCAAAAACCGGAAGCATTCCCTTTGAAAACTGGCACAAGACAGGGATGCCCTCTCTTACCACTCCTATTCAACATAGTGTTGGAAGTTCTGGCCAGCGCAATCAGGCAGGAGAAAGAAATAAATGGTATCACTTAGGAAAAGAGGAAGTCAAATTGTCCTTGTGTGCAGATAACATGATTGTATATTTAGAAAACTCCATCATCTCAGCCCAAAATCTCCTTAAGCTGATAAGCAACTTCAGCAAAGTCTCAGGATACAAGATCAATGTGCAAAAATCACAAGCATTCCTATACACCATTAACAGACAAACAGAGAGCCAAATCATGAGTGAACTCCCATTAACAATTGCTACAAAGAGAATAAAATACCTAGGAATCCAACTTACAAGGGATGTGAAGGACCTCTTCAAGGAGAACTACAAACCACTGCTCAACTAAATAAAAGAGGACACAAACAAATGGAAGAACAGGCCGGGCACGGTGGCTCACACCTGTAATCCCAGCTCTCAGGGAGGCAAGAGGTGGGAGGATAGCTTGAGCCCAGGAGTTCGAGACCTGCCTGGGCAATATAGCGAGACCCCATTCTCCAGAAAAAGGAAAAACAAAAAAACAAAAACAAACAAAAGACAAAAAAAAATAAGCATAACAAATGGAAGAACATTCCATGCTCATGGATAGAAAGAATCAATATCGCAAAAATGGCCATACTGCCCAAGGAAATTTATAGATTCAATGCCATCCCCATCAAGCTACCAATGACTTTCTTCACAGAATTGGAAAAAACTACTTTAAAGTTCATATGGAACCAAAAAAGAGCCCGCATTGCCAAGGCAATCCTAAGCAAAAAGAACAAAGAAAAAGGCATCATGCTACCTGACTTCAAACTATACTACAAGGCTACAGTAACAAAAACAGCATGGTACTGGTACCAAAACAGAGATATAGACCAATGGAACAGAAGAGAGGCCTCAGAAATAACACCACACATCTACAACCATTGGATGTTTGACAAACCTGACAAAAACAAGAAATGGGGAAAGGATTCCCTATTCAATAAATGGTGCTGGGAAACCTGGCTAGCCATATGTAGAAAGCTGAAACTGGATCTCTTCCTTACACTTTATACAAAAATTAATTCAAGATGGATTAAAGACTTAAATGTTAGACCTAAAACCATAAAAAACCCTAGAAGAAAACCTAGGCAATACCATTCAGGACACAGGCGTGGGCAAGGACTTCATGACTAAAACACCAAAAGCAATGGAAACAAAAGCCAAAATAGACAAATGGGATCTAATTAAACTCAAGAGCTTCTGCACAGCAAAAGAAACTACCATCAGAGTGAACAGGCAACCTATAGAATGGGAGAAAATTTTTGAGATCTACCTGTCTGACAAAGGGCTAATATCCACAATCTACAAAGAACTTAAACAAATTTACAAGAAAAAATCAAACAACCCCATCAAAAACTGGGCAAAGGATATGAACAAACACTTTTCAAAAGAAGACATTTATGCAGCCAACAGACACATGAAAAAATGCTTATCATCACAGGTCATCAGAGAAATGCGAATCAAAACCACAATGAGATACCATCTCACACCAGTTAGAATGGCGATAATTAAAAAGTCAGGAAACAACAGATGCTGGAGAGGATGTGGAGACATAGGAAAGCTTTTACAGTGTTGGTGGCAGTGTAAACTAATTCAACCATTGTGGAAGACAGTGTGGCAATTCCTCAAGGATCTAGAAGTAGAAATACCATTTGACCCAGCCATCCCATTACTGGGTATATACCCAAAGGATTATAAATCATGCTACTATAAAGACACATGCACACGTATGTTTATTGTGGCACTATTCACAATAGCAGACTTGGAACCAACCTAAATGTCCATCAATGATGGACTGGATTAAGAAAATGTGGCACATATACACCATGGAATACTATGCAGCCATAAAAAAGGATGAGTTCATGTCCTTTGTAGCAACATGGATGAAGCTGGAAACCATCATTCTGAGCAAACTGTTCCCAGGACAGAAAACCAAACACTGCATGTTCTCACTCATAGGTAGGAATTGAACAATGAGAACACTTGGACACAGGGCGGGGAACATCACACACTGGGGCCTGTCGTGGGTCAGGGGATGGGGAAGGGATAGCATTAGGAGAAATATCTAATGTAAATTATGAGTTAATAGGTGCAGCAAACCAATATGGCACATGTATACATATGTAGCAAACCACACATTGTGCACATGTACCCTAGAACTTAAAGTATTAAAAAAAAAAAGTTTTGGAGCAGGAACAAAAGGAAGTAAAGTACACTTGGAAGAAGGCCAATCGTGTGACTTGAGAGATGCAAGTGCCCCGTCTGACCCTTGATTTGGAGTTTTATCATTGGCATGCTTCCAGGGTTTGCATCTCTCCTCCCTTGATTTTTCCTTGGGGCAGGCTCTTTGCATGTGCAGTGGCCTGCCAGCACTTGGAAGGGGCTGCAGGCGGTGGTGTGTTTACTGAAGTTGTGTGCATGCTCGTTTGAGGCATTTTTCCCTTAACAATCGAGTATTGCTAGAGGAAGGTCATATAACAGTTAAACTCTTCTATTTTGCCTCTAGTGCACGTGCTTAAGCCTGCTCACCCAACTCCTGAGATCTTATTGGGAAGATGCTGATCACCAGCCTTAGGTATTTTCTGTCTTCTGGGAGACAGCCGTTCCCTGGCACCAGCTGCAATGAATTATCATTTTAGAGAGACAGTTTGATAACCATCTGACCATCACCTGATAGTTGTCTCACATTCCTGGAGGGGAAGCCCTCTCCTGCCCTACTCATGTCTGCCTAGCTATCTTCTCTAACAATATCAGACTTAGAAAAGAGCAACTTGACCCTCCCAGCACATTTCTCTCTGCACTCTGGAAAGGGCATAGCATCGTTTTCTCAGTTTCTGAAGCTGTCCTGCAGTTTCAATGGCCCTGGAAAACTCCCTTTGTCCATGGTCAAGGTGATAAGGTTGCTTGCATCATTGACATCCTGGACTTCTTGCCTTTTGCAAGGAGGAACCAACCCTCATACAGTCAAAAGCCTGCATACAGCCTAATATCTCTCCTCACATTTATGGGGGTTCCTAGGACTTCAGGTCCCTGGAAACCCGTCTCTTGCTCCTGACCTGGTTCTTGCTGTCCCATGTGATGTGACTGAATCAGACTCTGGCCAGCTGGAAGGAGAGAGAAGGACTTAAGATGCTGCTGTGGGGTACATGTGAGGTAGACCGGCCTGTCTGAGGAGTGGCAGTAAAATTTTGAAGGAAGAAACAGGTTTTGAGGGATTTTTAAAGAAAAACTACTAAATTTGATGATTGATAACATCTGTGCAGTGGGCTGGGCTTGCAGGGAGGGTTATGAGACATGGTGAGGCCAGAGTGGTCAAGTGACTGAATATTGTTGAGAGTGAGAAGTGAAAAGGGCAGGAGACCAGAACTGAGGCTGAGAGTGCAGCTATAATGATAAAGACGGGCCAGGCACAGTGGCTTACACCTGTAATCGCACTCTGGGAGGCCGAGGTGGGAGAATTGCTTGAGTCCAGTAATTCAGGACCAGCCTGGGCAATATAGTGAGACCCCATCTCTACAAAAAATTTAAAAATTAGCCAGGCATGGTGACACACGCCTGTGTTCCTAGCTACTCAGGAGGCTGAGTCGGGAGGATTGCTTGAGGCTGGGAAGGGGAGGTTGCAGTGAGCCAAGAATGCAGCACTGCACTTCTGCTTGGGTGACAGAGCAAGACCCTGTCTTAAAAAAAAAAAAAAAAAGACAAAGACTTGATTTGCTGTTTTTTACACCAGATACACACATAGGTGATATTTAATGGGATTGCATTATTGTTATTATTATTAAGAAAGCTTTTTGCAAAGTGAGGTGGCTCATGCCTATAATTGCAACATTTTGGGAGGCCAAGGTGGGAGGATTGCTTGAGGGGGGGAATTTGAGACCATCCTGGACCACACAGCAAGACCCCATCTCTACAAAAAAGTAAATTAAAAAATTAGCCAGACGTGGTGGCACACATCTGTTGTTCCAGCTACTTGGAAGACTGAGGGAGGAGGATCGCTGGAACCCAGGAGTTGGAGGCTGAAGTGAGCCATGATTGCACCATTGTACTCTAGCCTGGTTGACAGTGTGAGACCCCATCTCTAAATAAATAAATAAATAAATAAATAAATAAATTTAAAGCTTTTTATTTGAAAGTCAATTGTTAGCACATCTAAACATGCTCTCTCATCAAGACGACAGTAGAAAATTTCCCAGGCTAGTCCACAAAAGCCTGTTTAAAATCATAAAGATGGAAGAGAGCTTAGAGATGATCACGAACAGTACACTAAGGCAGAAAGCATAGTAATTTAGAAACAGATTCTGAAATCAGATCACATTTACTAACTAGGTAACCTTGTATCTTATTCAATCTCTCTGGGCCTCATTCTCCTTATATGTAAAACAGAACAATACCAACCTCACAGACTTGTCATGAGGATTCCATGAGATGATGGTGGGTAATGTGTAAAAGCTGAACTGCTTCTTGCTGCCATCACCACACCATGTTATGTTAAAGAAATCTGGGTCTTGCATGAGAAAGTAATTGAGGCTTTGCTGGGTCACCCCGAGAGCTGAGAGCTAAGGGTTTTGATGCATTAGTATTTCTGTACCCCTAGAAAACCCTAGGGTTGAGACTGTGAATGTACACATGCCACTATTTTGTCCCCATCGTGTGTAAAAAGATCAGCATAGGATCTGGAACAAGATGAATGCTCAACCAGGAGGATTATTAGTCTGACCTCTTCTTTTTGCATGTTCAGAAACTGAGGCACAGAGAAGTGAAATGACTAGGCCTAAGGCCCCAGCTAGACTGTGGCAGGATGGAAACTAGAAATCAGGCATCCTGAGTTCATAGTCAAGATTTCTTCCTACTGTATCAACTTGCTTATCACAAAGGAGCTCAAAGATCAGTGAGCTCAACCTCCCCACCATTTGTGGGTAGATGACTGTGGGAAATTGCTCCAGCTCTAACTAAAAATGCCAGAAGATATCCAGTCCCAGCCCAGAGACAAGGGAACAAGGCTTCTAGATGGAGCAACTTTTAGAGGGCATGGGGTGGAGTAGTACCAGAGGGAGGTAGGGGCCTCTGGCAATATTGACTGGCAGAAGGTTTGGTGGATGGTAGTGCTGGGAGACAGCTAAAAGGTGGCATGTCTGTAGTGCCCTTTGCAATGGGAGCATTCGTTGGGGCAGGGAGGAGGTTCCCATAGGAGTAGCAACAGAGATTTGGTGGCAGATGTGGGGGAGGGATTGACCAGGCTGCCCATTGTCATCTCTGTGGACAGGCTGTTCTGAAGTAGGATTTTAATATGTAGGGAACTACAATGGAGTTTACTGTGAAAAAGAACATGATACCTCAGTTAGTCTCTGTTATTGGGGCATTCTGTTACAAAATGAGGAGGGATCACATATTTAGTGAGCATATACTATGTGCCAGACATTGTACTAGGCACTGGACACACATATTCACCGTGTCTCACAAACCAATTAGAATGGAAGATGTCACTGAGACTCAGGAGAGTCCAGTGGCCAAGAACAAGAAAACAGTGGGTGTCAGAGTCAAGTCCAGTGAGCCCAGGCTCCGTCTGATGAAAGCCCAGCTTCTCCCACTGCTCCGTGCAGGTTCACAGATAACTAAGCCCCTGCTAATTTATTAGACCCTCATTCTGAAATTTTGAAATTCATTAGTCTAATTTTCTGCCATACAGAAGTGAACATACTTGCCTTCTTTTTCAATATATCCTCTCTTATAGAATAACAAGTCCTATTGGCTGTGGGTCTCAGTGGGGGAGAAGTTTATAACACAGGCATTTCAGCAACTGTGTAGCATTGGAGATTTTTCTTTTGGAGAGGTGCCACATCTTTTTGAGTGATGAGATGGTAGGGTGTAGTTTGAAAAAAAACAGGAATTTTTACTCTTCCCTTTTCTCTCTAGTATCAACTGCTGTCACCAGTGAAAACCAGCTGCCCGGAACCTTCACTCCCTTCCTCGCCACAAAAAGCTACCAGTTATCATTCAATCAAACGTCAAATCAAAGGTTTACTATACCCTTATGAGAGATGATAAGTATCAAAAAAGTTTTAAAAATGAGCATTTCTTTTGAGCCAATATTTTATTTCTATGATTTTTACTAGGAAATAGTCATAAATTTACTTATAAGGACAGTCAATTGCAATATAAAACATTTAAAAATTTAAGTTAAAAAGTATCAGACCAGGTGCAGTGGCTTATGCCTATAATCCCAGCACTTTGGGAGGCCAAGGCAGGTGGATCACCTGAGGCCAGGAATTTGAAACCAGCCTGACCAACATGATGAAACTCCATCTCTAGTAAAAATTCAAAAAATTACCTGGGCATGGTGGTGCATGCCTATAATCCCAACTACTTGGGAGGGTGAGGCATGAGAATTGTTTGAACCTGGGAGACAGAGGTTGCAGTGAGCCGAGATTGCACTCCAGCCTGGGAGATAGATCGAGACTCTGTCTCAAAAAATATATATATCAATAAAATATACCATATAATATATAGTATTTTTAAATAAAAATAGCAGATAATTCATATATGTATATGAGTGTATATATATGAGTATATATATATGAGTATATATATGAGTATATATATATATATATATGACTATATATATATATATACACACAGTTGACCCTTGAACAACACTGGGGTTAGAGGAACCAGCCCTCATACAGTCAAAAACCTGTGTATAACCTTTGACTCCCCCAATATGTAACTATTAACCGCCTACTCTTGACCAGAAGCCTTACTGATAACATAAAGAGTCGATTAATACATATTTGTATGTTATATATATTAAATACTGTATTCTTACAATAAAATAAGCTGGAGAAAAGAGAATGTTCTTAAGAAAATCATAGGGAAGAGAAAACATATTTAGTATTCACTAAGTGGAAGTGGGTCATCATAAAAGCCTTCATCCTCATTGTCTTCACGTTGAGTAGGCTGTGGAGAAGGAGGACAAGAAGGGTTGGTCTTGCTGTCTCAGGGGTGGCAGAGGCAGAAGAGGTGGAAGAGGTGAAAGGGGAGGCAGGAAAGGCAGGCATACTTGATGTAACTGTTACTGAAAAATCTCAGCATATAAGTGGACCCTCACAATTCAAACCTGTGCTGTTCCACGGTCGACAGTAATTTTAATTTAATAGACTTTATTTTTTAGACCAATTTTAGGTTCACAGCAAAATTGAGCAGAAAGGACAGAGATTTCCCTTATATCTCTTGCTCTCCAACTTACAGCCAACACCACTATCAACATCCCACACAGCAGTGGTACATTTCTTACAACACAGGAACCTACATTGATGCACAATTATCAACCCAAATCCATAGCTTGCATTAGGATGCACTTTTAGCGTTATACATTCTATGGATTTGACAAATGTATATCCTGTGTATCTGTCAGAAATGTTAGAACCAGAGTGACTCCATCTTGAATAGGGGCTGGGTAAAATGAGGATGAGACCTGCTGAGCTTCATTCCCAGAAGGTTAGGCTTTCTTAGTCACCAGATAAGACAGGAGGTTGGCAGGACTAGTTTCACAAGATACAGGTCACAAAGGCCTTGCTGATAAAATGGAATATGCTAAAGAAGCTGGCAAAGCCCACCAGAACCAGGATGGCAACTAAAGCAAACTCTAGTTGTCCTCATTGCTCGTTATAACCCATTAGCATGCTGAAGTCACTCCCGTCAGCACCATTGACAGTTTAATGCCACGGCAACGTCAGAAGTTATCCTATATGGTCTGAAAAGGGGAGGAACCCCTCAGTTCTGGGAACTCCCTACCCCTTTCCTGGAAAACTGAGGAATAATCCATCCCTTGTTTAGCATTTAATTAGGAAATAACGCTAAGTATATTCAGCCCATGTTGCTGCTCTGTCTATGGAGTAGCCATTCTTTTCATTCTTTTATTCTTTTTTCTTCTTCCTCATCCTCTTCCTCTTCTTCTCCTTCTCCTTCTCCTCCTCCTCCTCCTTCTCCTCCTCCTCCTCCTCCTCCTCCTTCTCCTTCTTCTTCTTTTTTTTCCTGAGACAGAGTCTCACTCTGTTTCCCAGGCTGGAGTGCAGTAGCACAATCTCGGCTCACTGCAACCTCCACCTCCCAGGTTCAAGTGATTCTCTTGCCTCAGCCTCCCTAGTAGCTGAGATTACAGGCATCTACCACTGTGCCTGGCTAATTTTTGTATTTTTAGTAGAGACGGGGTTTCACCATATTGGCCAGGCTGGTCTCAAACTGCTGACCTCAGGTGATCTGCCCGCCTCGGCCTCCCAAAGTGCTGGGATTACAGGTGTAAGCCGTTGCGCCCGGCCCCTTTACCTTAATAAACTTGCTTTCACTTTACTCTGTGGACTTATCCTAAATTCTTTCTTGCACAAGATCTAAGAACCCTCTCTTCGGGTCTGGATCAGGACCCCTTTCTGGTAGCAAATCCACCATTGCAAAACAGTATATTTTTAAAATAGGAAAATATATGTTAAATGTTAATATTTGTATTTGGATGATGAAATTACAGAATAATAGACATGACGTTCTCACTGTATTTCTCACTATTGGTATACTTTACTTCACAATAAAACAATAGTTTTCAAGCATCTCTGCTTAGGTAGCAGAACTGAAAGCTAATGGGAAATCTTACCTTGACTGTTACTGGTAGATAGCGAAAGAAAGTGAGTCCAGCTAAAGAATTAGAAGCAGTTAGTTAGTAGTATAATTGATATTTTGAGGGGATAGCATATTTTTGCTGCCCTATCCTCTGTCTTCTAGTAGAAAGAAGAAATAGAAGAAGGCTTAGAGAGAGAGGATGCACTAGTACTACATGTGAATCATTTAATAGAAAAAAGATGTGATTATCCACACTAGTAGTTTGTGATAATCTGTTTATATCTTAATGGAGAGGATTGCCCCAGAAACCTTTCAGGTGTAAAAGAAAATGCAGTTATTCTTCAACTTGTGAAAATTCTAACTCTTGCAACACTTGGACTTATCTGCATTATTTTTAATATTCTTAGAGTCATTTCCTACTTGCTAGTCTGCCTTTGCTACAAGATCACATAAGAGATCACCTCATGGGGGTACTGTCTGCTGTCCAATACTAGCATTTTAACTATATTTGCTCTTTGTCTACTTAGCAGTGATCGTGGTTTTGCTGGCATAGTTTACCAATTTTGCACTTATTATTTTTTTAAAATGAGAGAAAATATAGGCATAAAAGTGTTGATATAATAAAATCAGGTCTGTATTCTATCTAATTGAAATAAAGATAGATATTTGTAATCAAAATCTATAACCTTATTTGAAAACTCATTGGACAAATCATTCAACTCAGCAATCATAGGTAAAGGAAAAGAATAAAATTAAAGAATGTGTATAAACAATTCAATGAGACAAGCAAAGCTATTAATGGCATAAGAATTAGAAAGGTTGAGGTAAAACTATTTGTTGACAATATGATTCTCTCTCTAGAAAACTCAAAAGAATCAATGGAAAAACTATTACAAACAATAAAAGAATTTAGTAAAGTAACAAATTATGAAAACCAACAATCATAAATTGATAACCTTCATATATATAAACAACCAGTTAGAGGATACAATGAGAAAGAGGATTCCATTTTGCAATAGCAAAGGAAAATAAAACAAAAACAATGATAAGCATAGATAACAAGAAATATCCAAACCACACATGAGAAAAACTATAACATTTTTCTTAGGGATCAAAATATAGACATAAGCAAATAGAAAAACATGTCATGTTTTTGGATAGGAAGATTCAACATCAGAAAATGTAAATTTTTCTTTAATTTTATAAATTCAGTACAGTTCACATAAAATTACTGATACCATGAGTATTTTTTGTCTGGAGCTGCTTCCAGTTGATTATAATGTACATTTGGAATAAGAAGAAAGAACAGCCAGAAAAACATTCAGAATGAAAGGCTATGATGGGGGAGGGGTATCCCTACTAAATATAATACATGCATAACATTACAGTAGATTGGAATGATCCTGTGCTTAACATTGTGAGGTGGTGGCTCATGAGTAGATAGGCACATCAATGAACAGATAGAAAACCCAATAATAGACTCAAATACATATAAAAATTAGTATATGACAAAAAACATGTAAAATTAGTGAAAAAAGATAAAATTTTAAATAAGAGGAGTTGTGATAACTAAACTGAAAAAGGTAAAATTGGATCAATTTTTCACACTGAAGCTAGAATAAATTCCAAATGGGTCAGAGATTTGTCTAAACAATAAAACCGTAAAAGTACTAGAATAAAATATGCATAAATGCTTTTATAGCTTGGAAAAGGAGAAAACTCTTTCTAAGTATGATTTGAAAACAAGCATCAACAAGGGGAAAAGACTAATAAATTTGATTACATATAGATAAAAGGTAAAAATGCTTCGCATGACAAAGTAAAATAAC
Source organism: Homo sapiens (assembly GCF_000001405.40). Classification (NCBI taxonomy): domain Eukaryota; kingdom Metazoa; phylum Chordata; class Mammalia; order Primates; family Hominidae; genus Homo; species Homo sapiens. The sequence continues at coordinate 200,105,039 of NC_000002.12, read as the reverse complement.
TAATAAAAAATCCACTAAAAACATACATCACAAGCAAAGTCAATGACAAATGATAAATCTGGAAAAACATTAGCAATTTATATCACAAAAATGGTTGGCACAAGTTGCAGTAAGCTGAGATTGTGCCACTGCACTCCAGCCTGGGTGACAGTATGAGTGAGACCCTGTCTGGGAAAAAAAAAAAGTTTGAAAAGCTGCAATATAGAGGAAGCCCTCGATAGCATATCTACCTCAGTCATAACCATAACAACTTTAATTTGAATATATATATATGTTCTTAAAAAGAGAAAAGTTATTTAAAGCTATTTAAAGCATCGTATTTTGACGGTAGAGGGATATATCTTATGGTCAAAAAATACTGCAAAGTAATCATCACATCCTTAATAATAATATTGTTTGGTTGTTTTAAAATATACACATGCTTATACTTTGTCTGGTTTCTTTTTTAAATTCACCCACAAAAATGTCACATACAGTGTTACAGGTAAGTTTTGTTAGATAGTCAAAGAACAGATAATTCTAATCTTACGTAAGATCTAAAAAGAAGAAAATTGAGAAATGCTCTCCCCTTTTATGCTGGACAGAATAATGGCCTTGCAAAGATATCTACATCCTAATTCCTGGAACCTGTGAATATCTGCCTTAGCAAAAGGACTTCACAGATATAATTAAGTTATCCTGGGTGATATCCAGGATAATTATCCTGAATTATTTAGGTGGATCCAGTGTAATCACACATGTCTTTCTAAGTAAAGGGAAAGTAGGAGAGTCAGAGAGAAGGGGATGTGACCACAGAAACAGAGCTCTGAGTCATGCGATTGCTGTCTGGAAGGGGACCATGAACCAAGGAATGCAGACAGCATCTAGAAGATAAAAAAGGCAACAGAAACAGATTCTCTCTGAGAGCCTCTGGAATGAACACAGCACTGATGACACCTTAATCTCAGCCAGTGAAATTAATTTTGTACTTCTGACTATGAGAACTACAAGATAATTAATCTGTGTTGCTTTAAGGCATTAAGTTTGTGGTAAATTACTACAGAAGCAATAGGAAACTAACACATTCCCTGTATCTTATAAAATATTAGCATAGCACTATTCACAATGGCCAAGACATGGAATCAACTGTGTACATCAACAGATGAATGGATAAAGAAAATGTGGTATATTCAACTCAGCAATCCTATTAATGGGTATGTAGCCAAAAGAAAACAAATCATTCTGCCAAAAAGACACATGCACTCACATGTTCATCGCAGTTCTGTTCATAATAGCAAAGACATGGAATCAACCTAGGTGCCCATCAACAGTCGACTGGATAAAGAAAATACGGTGTATGTATACCATGAAATACTTCACAGCCATAAAAAAGAATGAAATCATGTCATTTGCAGCAACATGGATGCAGCCGGAGGCCATTATCCTAAGCCAGTTAGCGCAGGAAAAGAAAACCAAATACTGCATGTTCCCACTTATAAATGAGAGCTAAACATTGGGTACTCGTGCACATAAAGATGGCAACAATAGAAACTGGGGACTACTAGAAGGGGGGGCAGGGGTTGGAAAACTAACAGTTGGGTACTATGCACAGTACCTGGGTGGTGGGATCATTTGTGCCCAATACCTTAGCATCATGCAATATACCCGGGGGGGAAAAAACGTACACATGTAACCTATAAATCTAAAATAAAAGTTGCAAAAAAGAAGAAAATGTGGTGTATATATATACAACAGAATACTATTCACCCATAAAAAAGAATGAAATCCTGTCATTTGTGACAACATGGATGAGCCTGGAGAACATTATGTAAGTGAAATAAGCCAGGGACAGAAAGACAAATACCAAATGTTCTCACTTGTATGTGGAAACTAAAAAAATCGATATCATAGAAGTAGAGATTAGAATAGTGGTTACTAGAGGCTGGGAATGGTTGGGGGTTGCAGAAAAAGTGGGTTACTCAGAGGTTGGTTAACAGACACAAAATTACAGCTAGATAGAAGGAATAAGTTCTAGTGCTGTATAGCATTGCAGAGGGACTATAATTTACAACAATTTATTGTTGAATGTTCCCAACATAAAGAAATGATAAATGCTTGGGGTGATAGATATGCTAATTATACTGATTCAATAATTATATATTGTATACATGTATAAAAATATCACATTGTGTGCCATAGTATGTACAAATATTATGTGTCAATTAAAAGTAGTAATAAAAGCAAAAAAAAAGAGGTTAGTGTAATTTTGATACCAAAATAAAAAACAGCATGAGAAAGAAAATAGATAAGCTGATTTCATTCTTAAGTATGTGAACACCCTAAATAAAACATTGGCAAAACAATGCTAGCAAGTATTTTTTTAATCATTATCAAGTTGGGTTTATCCCAGGCATATGAGGACATTTTATCATTAGAAAAGTTATTAAAGTTAAACAAAGTTATTAAAGTAATTAATTCATCACCATAACAAATTGAAGAAAGGTCACAAGATAACCTTTACAGGTAAAAAAGAATGCATTCAATAAAATTTAAAACACATTTATGATTAAAAACTAAAAACTCTTAAGCCACGATGGAATAATTAGCATCAGATTAGCTCTTTCATTTCAAACAACTATAAAACAGGGTGAATATATTAATTACTGTTTTCAGATGTTGGACCAAAGTGACAAATGACTGTGATCCTTGAGAAAAGAGAATGAAATTAGGCGAGCCCTACAATCACCTGCCTGAAGGCACTTTGCGGATTGTGGCATAGGTAGAGTGCGCTCGAATAGAGCACGGCAGTCTTGCTGAATTGGAGAGACAGATATTGGAGTTCAGGACCCTTGGAGTGGCTGGAATTTACAGAGCAGAATGCCAAAAAGGAGGGAGCTACAGCAAAAGGCCTAAATATTTACTTAGAGGATTCTCTGAGTTTTTGGCAGATATTAAGCTGCACATATGCAGAGACTCTACAAGCCTGAGCAAAAAAGAATGACCAGGGAAGAAATACTAGTGGAGCTACTAGTGAGCTGAACAGTGGAGCTCACAAAGGCCAGGAGGCATTTGAGTTCCAATCAGACAGAGTGACAAGGCTTCACTGAACCCATAGGGCATTTGGTAGAGACCCCCAAAGGAGCACAACTGACCCTAGCATAAAGGCTACACTGTACTTATCCTAACAAAACTTAAGGACAATTCCTAAAAATATCAAGTGAATTCATAAGAAACTAAATGCCCCCACAAAAACTCAACACTCTAAAAAAGACAACTATACTTAACAATGTAACATTCAAAATGTCCAGTATCTAATAAAATTAGTAAACGTGAAAAAGCAAGAAAATAGTACCCTTAACCAGGAGGAAATTCAGTTGACAGAAACAGACCCAGAAGTCATAGGATGATAGGAGTAATAGAAAAAGACTGTATAAATTGTTCAAGTATTTGAAGAAAAACATAAACATATTGAAGGAACAAATAGGGAGTCTCCATAGAGAAGGGGAAACTATTTTAAAAGGAAAAAAAGATTCCATCACAACTTGGCAAAGAAAACGAAAAATAGAGAATAAAAAAATTTAAAAAGACTTGTTACAAATTATGAAGCTGAAAGATAAAATAGCCAAACCAAAATATTGATTGGACAGGACTATTAGCAGATGAAATCGTGCTGAAAAAAAAATCAGACTTAAAGACAGGCAGTGTAATCTATCCAAACTGAAGCCCAGAAAGAAAAACAAAGGGCTTATGGGAATAAACCAAGCTTCATGTCATATGGAACAATATTAGATAGAGAAAAGAGACAAATTGGAGGAGGAAAAATGTGAAAGAAAATTAGGAAAATATCTTGAACTGAAAATAAAAAGACAACATATGAGAGTTTGTAGGTTGTAGGTATAATAATGTTAAGAGGAAAATCTATAGCTCATGTTCTTATTTGAAAAAGACTAATATTTAAAAATAATGAACCAAGTTACCAACTTAAAAAAGCTAAAAAAGAAAAGCAAATTAAACCCAGTATCATTAGAAGAAATGAATTCCTAAAGTTAAGAGAAAAGATATATAAAATAAAAAGCTGACAAACAGAGAGAAATCAATAAGTGAAAAAGTTCAATCAGGGCATGGTGGCTCATGCCTGCAATCCCAGTGCTTTGGGAGGCTGAGGTAGGAGGATTGCTTGAGCCCAGGAATTCAAGACAAGCCTAGGCAATGTAGTGAGACCACATCTCTACAAAAATAAACATAAAAGTTGATTCATTGAAAGATTAATAAAAATAAACTCATAGGCTAAAAGAAAAACCCAACAAATAACCAATATCAAGAATAAAAGAGGAATAATTACTATCCATATCGTCTACATTAAAATTACAATAAGGAAATATTATGAAACATTTTATGCCAACAAATTTGGCAACTTATATAATATAGAAAATTTCTTGAAAGACAGTAAATACTGAAATGGACACAAGAAGAAATAGAATATTTGGGTAGCCCTATATCCATTAGATTTAATATGTAATTAAAATATAGTAACAAATTTATATTAAATTAATAAATTAAAAGCAAAGCAAATGCATGCTAGACCCAGATTGCTTCACTGTTGAATTTTATCAAACATTAAGATACAAATAATAACTTTACATTTTTATAATATAGAGAGGAAGAAACAATTTCAACTTACTTCATGGGGCTAGCATAACTCTGATACTGAAACCAGAAAAAGACATTAAAATAAAATACAATATTTCTCATAAATATTAATTCAAATCTCCCTATGAAAATATTAACAAATTTAATTCTGCAATATATGAAAAGGATAATACTTCATGACCAAATTGGCTTTATGCCAGGAATTCATGGGTGGTTTAACATTATAAAATTAATTAATGTAAATCATCAAAGTAATATAATCATGTTAAAAATAGAGAAAACATTTTAAAACAATTCAACTTCCATTCCTGATTTAAAAAAAAAAAACCTCAGGAAACTAGAATCAAAAGAGAATTTCCTTACCCTGATGAAAGACATCTACAAAGAACTACAGCTAACATTATACTCTTTGCTGAAAAATTGAACACATTCTTCCTAAGGAGAACAAGGAAAGGATAGGCAATATCATTACTTTTATTCAACATTGTATTCCTGTTCCTAGTCAGTGCAATAAAACAAAACAAGCAAATGAAAAGGAATACGGATGGGAAGTAAACAGTAAAACTGGTTTTTATTTGTAGACAACATAATTGTATAGGTAGAAAATCTTAGGGTCGATGAAATAATAATTAGAACTAATAAGTGAATTTAGTGTATTTGTTGTCTATTGTTGCATAACATTACCTCAAAAGGTAACAACTTAAAACAACAGACATTTATTATATCATGATTCCTGGGGATCACAAATCCAGGTGATGTTTAGCTGACTGCCTCTGCCCCAGGTTCTCTCACAAGGCTGCAATCAAAGTGTCAACTGGGGCTACAGACTCATCTGAAGGCTTGGTAAAGGAGGATTCTCTTACTCATGTGGTTGTTGGCAGGATTCAGTTCCTGATGGCTGTTGGACTGAAGGCTTTAATTTTTCACTGTACTGTGTTTGAAGACTTCCCTCAATTTCTTGCCATATGGTCCTTCTCCACTGGACATATCCCAACATGTCAGTTGATATCCATCAGAGCAAGCAAGCAAATGAAAGCAAGTTAGTGTTAGCAGAAGTCAGTATTTTTGTAACCTAACATGAAGTGATATCGCATCTCTTTTTCCATTTTCTGTTTGTTAGAAGAAAGTCACTAGGTCTAGCCCACACACAAGGGAAGGGGATTATACAAGGATATGAATATCAAAAGAAGGGATTGGGCCAGGTGCGGTGGCTCATGCCTATAATCCCAGCACTTTGGGAGGCCGAGGCGGGCAGATCACGAGGTCAGGAGTTCAAGACTAGCCTGGCCATCATGGTGAAACCCTGTCCCTACTAAAAATACAAAAATTAGCCGGGCGTGGTGGCAGGCGCCTGTAATCCCAGCTACTCAGGAAGCTGAGGCAGGAGAGTTGCTTGAAACCTGAAGGCAGAGGTTGTAGTGAGCCAAGATCGTGCCACTGCACTCCAGCCTGGGCAACAAGAGCGAAACTCTGTCTCAAAAAAAAAAGAGAAGGGATCACTGGAGGCCATCAAAAGCTGTCTACTACATGCAAGATGCGTGGTCACTATGTAAAAAACTATTGCATTTCTATAATTCAGCAACAAAAAAATGAAAAATTTTAAAAATACCATTTAAAATATTATCAGAAATACAATACAGTGAAAAACACATTTTATGAAATATATGTAATGAAAACTCCATAATGAAAACTATAAACCGGTACTGAAATAAATGAAAGGAGACATAAACAGATGGAGAAATATACCATGTTCATGCATTGGAAAACTCTATACTGTTATGATGTCTGCTTTTTGCCAAGTTAATCTGTAGGTTTAATGCACTTTATCTAAGTTGATCTGTGGATTTAATGCTGTAGCAATCAACATCCCAGCAGGATTTTTGTAGAACTTGTAAATCGATTCAAATTTATATGGAAATGCAAAGGACCTGGAATAGCCAAAGCCATCTTGAAAAAGCAAAACAAAAGTGGAAGACTTAAACTATCTAATTTTAAGATTAAACGCAAGTTCCAGTAATTAAGATAGTTTAGTATTGCTGAAAAGGTAGACAAAGAGATTAGTGGAAACAAATAAAGAGACCAGAAGTAAACCTACACTTATATGACTAGTTGATTTTGACCAAGGTGACAAAGCACCTAAACATCTCTAGGAAAGAAATATCTTTTCAACAAATGAAAAAGAATAACTGGATGTATGGAAGAAAAAAAATTGACATACTTCACATTCACAAAAAAATTAATTTGAGATAGATCATATAACCTAAACATTATGGCTGAAACTTTAGTGTTTCTGGATAAATACGTAAGAGAACATATGTACAAATTTGAAATAGGCAAAGATTACTTAGACAGAATCCCTAGAAATTACTGATGCACACAACACTGATAAAATAGAGTAACTGGAAGTATTCCACATTTCAAAAGACATTGTTAAAAAGTAAATAGGCAAGCTACATACTGGGATAAAAGATTCCCAATATATGTTATCTATATACACACACTACAATTCCTGCAACTCAATAATAAAAAGGCAAATAACCTAGGCTGGGTGCAGTGGCTCATGCCTGTAATCCCAGCACTTTGGGAGGCTGAAATGGGCGGAACACGAGGTCAGAAGATCGAGACCATCCTGGCTAACACGGTGAAACCCCTTCTCTACTAAAAATACAAAAAATTAGCCGGGCATGGTGGCACGTGCCTGTAGTCCCAGCTACTCGGGAGGCTGAGGCAGGAGAATTGCTTGAACCTTGGAGGCGGAGGTTGCAGTGATCTGAGATGGTGACACTGCACTCCAGCCTAGGTGACAGAGCGAGACTTCATCTCAAAAAAAAAAAAAAAAAAAAAAAAAAAAAGGCAAGCAACCTAATTTTTCAAAGTGGGCAAAACATCTAACAGACATTTCACAAGGAAGATATACAAGTGGCCAAGAAGCAAAGGAAAAATGCACATCATAAATCATCATGGAAATTCAGATTGAAACAAGGAGATATCAGTACACACCCACTAGAATGGCTAACATTAAAAAGACTGACCACACCAAATATCAGTAAGAATATGGAGCAACTAGGGGGGAGCTTAAAGTATTACAACCAATTTAGAAATCTATCTGGAAGTTTCCTACAAAGTTAAACATAAATTTATGATTCTGAAAGTCTACTTCTGGATATGTATTGGCCTTTTTGAGTAGTCTTCAGAACCCATGTCCATTATATTTATTACAAGAACACTTTGGAAGAAAATATTTCTAATGAATATAACGGATATGGGTTATTAGGCAGAATACACGAAGAACTCTTATAAATTAATTTTAAAAGACAACTCAATAGAAAAAAGGTAAAAATTGTGACCAAGCAGTGTTCAGAAGAGCGCACTTAAAAGACTCTTCTACCTAACTGGTAATCAAGAAAATGCAAATTAAAAAGAAGATGACAAAATTATAAAAGTCTAACAATACCTAGTTTTGCAAATAATGTAGAAAAATGGAAATTCATCTGCTGGAAGAGTGTGAATTAGTACAACCTCTTTGGAGAATAATTTGGTGATATGTGATATGCTTAAAGATAAACACACCCTTTGATCCAGCAATTCTACACCTGCAAATACCCTTGAGAAAAAAAAAAAATGCATGTGTGCACAGGAACCATGGACAGGAATGTTCATAACAACGTTTGTAATAGGAAAACATTCTGGAGGCCCATAAGTGTCCATCGACATTAAAATGGAGAATTCTGTATGTTCACACTGGGGTGTAATAATCTGCAATGAAATGAATGAGTGAGAACTACCTGCAGCAATGTGGATTAGTCTCATAAATATAACATTAAGAGGAAAAGAGCAAGTTGCAGAAGAATATATACTGTATGATTATGGCATCATGATGATGCTGAAATGGTAATGTGTTTTGTTTAAGGATGGATAAATAAGCGAATAGGAAGAAAGGAAAGAAGGAAGGAAGGAAAAAAGGAAGGAAGGAAGGAAAAAAGGAAAGGAAGGAAGGAAGGAATTGGGTAGCACAGCGTGCTAGCAGCACAGACTCAGGATCCAGACTTCTATATTTGTATTCCAGCTCCGTAATTTGCTAACTGTGTGACTTTAGGCAAGTTGCTTAACTTCTCTGTGTCATAGTTTTGTCCTTTGTTAAACAAGGATAACTGTACTCTCCAACTCACTGGGTTATTAGAAGGATTGGTTATTATAAGGATTGTTAGTATTTGTAAAGATTTTATAAATGACATAGAACAGCACCTGTCAGAATGCCTGTATCTGTCAAATAAAAGCGAGCAATAAACATTGAATTCTGGAGAGTGGTCACTGGTGTGGGAGGAAAAAGGAATATTGGGGGCTTCCACTAAATTTCAAATATCTTATTTCTTAAGCTGGATGGTGGACACACAGATGTTTTTATATTATTATTTTTGATGGGTCAAAATATTTGAAAATTTAAAAGGGGATGCATAAACTATTTCAAATTGTCAAACTTGTTGGGGGAAAAGTTATAATTAAAGATTGATATTGTAGTATCTTTCAGAAATCTGGTGTATTAGTCCATTCTCACGCTGCTAATAAAGACATACCCAGGATTGGGTAATTTGTAAAGGAAAGAGGCTTAATTGACTCACAGTTCCACAGGGCTGGGGAGGCCTCAGGAAACTAACAATCATGGCAGAAGTGGAAGCAAATCATGTCCTTCTTCACATGGTGGCAGCAAGGAGAAGTGCAGAGCGAAGAGGGGAAAAGGCCCCTATCAAACCATCAGACCTCAGAGAACTCACTCACTATCACGAGAACAGCATGGAGGCAACTGCTCCCATGATTCAATTACCTCCCACCGAGTGCCTCCCACAACACATGGGGATTATGGGAACTACAATTCAACATGAGATCTGGGTGGGAGCACAGCCAAACCATGTCATCTGGGAAGAGAAGCTCCCTTAAAATATATGAGTCTAGTTTTTGAACCTTCAATTTTGGTAACATTTTCTGGAATATGTTGTACATAAAGTAGGAAACTGCTTATACCTGGCCTCAAACTTGGAAGCATCCCTAAACCTAGGGTACAAAACACTAGCCTTGGAATCAGAAAACCGAAATTCTGTCCGTGCTTCTGCTGTTGATTTATTTTGAGTCCCTGTGCCAGTCTATCTCCAATGACATCCTCGTGTTTCATTTTATCTGTCTTTAGGATGGATGTGTCGTCTTCCACCTCTTTTAAAAGGCAGGAATGGAACCATCTTTCCTTATCTTCAGCACAGAAGGGAGAGTTAGAGTTTCCTTTCCCACCCTCCCCGACTGCCTTTCACTAACTAGCAAAGACGTTTATTTTATTTTAATGAAGTCTGTGAAAAATGATTCATGCTTGAAAGCAGCCTTTTCCCTTTACTTAATGACAGCTTCAGCTTCTGAAAGTAAGCTAAAATGTAGGAAAAAAAATCCCATGTGGCTTTCAGAATGTACAGATGAGCATATGTGCTGTGCTTTCAAAATTTTCTTTGTTAGTGGATCTATTGTACACATAAGCAAGAGCAGTCTAGACCTTCAGAAGGGAGAATCGCAAAAAAGCCATCTTCTAATTTCCCAATTGTTTGTTTCCCAATTGTTCACTTTAGGGAAGATGGTGACATTATAGCGGTGACAGCCAGTCACTTCGATATGCGTGTACTGTTGCATTTCGGAGAAAACACATGCAGTTGTTTTCTCCCTGCTGTGTCTGATTTCAGACTCCCAAACTATCATTCATTTAAAAATAAAACAACAAAAAACCCTGCTTACCCCTTTCCATGTCGATAGGAATTATATACTGGTAATAAGAGGGCCTGGCTTTTAAGCCTATTTATTTGAAAAAATAAGAATGGGTGCCCAGCCCAGCTGATGTGCTAATGACATCTACTCAAGCTTTTTCCTCTTATTGTGTAGAAGATGAAAGCATTTGGCTTGAAGTGTTGTTCTGGCTCATCTCCTTCCGTGCATTCCCTCCCTCTTTCTCTGATTTCTTGCAGTTGGCATAGGGGGCCCTTGATGCATCTCTGGTTGACTGGGGGTCTTGAGCTTCCATCTAAACAGAGGTGGAATAAAGCTCAGAGCTTATTTTGTCAAGCATGGTTGCTTTCTTTTTAAGCCCACATATGCTAGAAGGGGAATTTAGTCCTTGCATTTCTGATTTGTTTATACTAAAGAGTTGTGTTGTGAGAGAGATATGATGTCTGTGAGACTGTTTGAACATTTTAATAAAGCTTTGTGAAAAACATTTTCTCTGAAAACAGGAAACCAGATTTTGCCATGTGTAAATAAATATAAAATACCAATGGGCTCAAAGCTCCCAACCTGAAGGTTCTGAATGGAGCCCATGCTTAAACAATTAATGTGATTTTCATCTTTATCTTGGAATGAGTGTAAAGTCTCCCCATATGAGTGTTATTTCTCCTTTTGCACATGATTATTACATCTCTGCGTTAAAGTTGGTTCTACACAGAAACAGTGCTACATCAGGCAATTCCCAGGATTCATTCATTCTTCAAACATACATTGAACTCTATAAGTGACTATTGGACACAGTGATACAAACATGAAGAAGATTCAGTTTTACGTTCAAGGAGCCCATGGCCCATGGTCTGGTTCAGAAAACTGACTTATAAACAGATGATGATGATACAAGTTAATAAGTGCAATTGTAGCCATGTGTTACGGGTATTGCAGGAGCCTGGAAATTAGGCATTTGAGTCAGCCAGAATAAAGTCAGGGAAGGCTTCCTATACCTTAAAAGATGAGAAAGATTTGCCATTCTAAGTGAGGGAATGGGCGCTTTGGCAAGAAATGTGTGTGTGTGTGTGTGTTCATGTGTTCGTGCATATACTCGTGCACGTGTTACGGAGATGAGGAGGAGGAACGATAAAAAAAATCAAGCAGTTCAGCATGGCTAGAAAATATATGTAGGGCAGATGAGCCCAAAAGGTAAATGGGAATCAAACCAGGTTAGTTAGCATGGAGAGATTCTATTCTGGGGTGATGAATAATGTTTGCTTTTTAGATTGATCACCCTGGCAGCTTCACGGGTGAGGAACTGGGGAGGGCTGGAAAGCACTGGAGTCACATTGAAGCTCTTCTTGTTCTTCAGGGTCACTTCAATCTCTATTCTTATATAAACAAATCACCAAAAGTCCGTGGTGTATCCAGAAGTAAGGTAATCAAACAAAACCCAAACCCTCTGGAAGACACAGACTGGCAGGAGACTCTCTGGGCCAGAAGTAATAGCTGTTTAGGCTCACCCTGACTCTTCCCTAAATCCTCACTGGCCTTCCTACCTGCTCCCACCCCATTTCCAAGTCCACCTTTAAAATTTGGATCCAAGTGGGAAAAAATCCTTCATTTTTGTATTTGCTTTCAGCATAGCTGAGACAGGCAGTAATTTTCAGAAGGACCTTCATTTTTAAAAACACCACCGAAGAAAGCACAAATGGAAAACAATGAAGAAAATACAGAAAGCTGTCAAACAATTATGCTTACAATATACAGATTTTGTGTCCTATGATAACCAATGGTCCTGCCAGACCCAAGGGGTACATTCTGCTATGCTCTCCCAGAAATCATTTCTTAAGCTCTTAGCTCACCCATTCTTTTTCCTACCCATTGGGATTCCAGGCTCACAGATGTGGGAAAAACAGTGCACAGTCAATATTGCAGATGGGCCATCCCCAGGTGGGCAGCAGGGCTTCTAGCTCTCTAGGGGGCTCAACATTTTTGGAAGACATAGTCTCTCTCAGAGACACTTCCTGGCTTCCTGTGGGGATACTGGCTCTGGGGTAAAGACCCTGGGGCAGAGTGAATAGGAGCATGGTATGAGTCTTTTCCGCAGAGGCTGGAACATAAAATCCAGTGTTTCAGATGTGTCTCCTGCATGAGCCTTCCCTCCATCCTCCCTATCCCCACCCACATTCAGACCTTTTATTACCTCTTGTGCAAACGATTGCCTTGGTCTTGTCCACAAATGCTGCAGTGTTTTCTTTTCCAAAGTTTATCTCTGACCTTATGATCTCTCTCCTATTGTCTACCAGATGAATTGAGAACTTTTCTAACTGGTGATTAATGCCAGTCAAACTCCCCAGCCAAATCTCCCCTGCATACAACCTATGTGTAGGTCAAACCACAATAACAAGATATGCTGATTCCCAGACATGCCCCTGTCTTTATTCACATGGGTCCTTCCATGGGGAATGCCCTGTTTTGCCAATTCAATGGGCTGAAAATCCAAACTATCCTTAAAAATCCATCTCTGAGCCACTGACTTGATGAACTCTTCATCTTCCTTTTGACATTTATTTTACTCTGACTTGTTTTGGAGAAGATATATACATATATTTAATATATATATTATATATTATATAATATATATTAAATATATGTATATATTTAATAATTCTCATTTACCACATGCTGTTTCCTATGCCAAATTAAAGAGTCATGGAAGACAGGAATAAAGTATCTTACAAATAAGTGTAGAGGTCAAAGAAGAGACTATGAAAATTGCTAGCCTGAGGATTAGCACATTGTAACCACTCCAGAAATGTCACCAAGGTTTGCAGCAATGATTCTAGGGTCAGATAGAACTAGATTTGAACCCTGACTCCACCATTGGCTAGCTTGGTGACTCTGAGAATTATTTAATCTCATGGAGCCTCAGTTTTCTCTTCTGTAAAAAAAGTTACCTAGCTTTCTTTCTTCCTCAAGGTGGTGTCAGAATAAATTTGATAGTCGATCAAATTATATCACAGACATAAACATACTTTGTCCCGTGCATAGCTCTTAGCAATCTCTTAATAAACTTGTGCTATCATTATGGGGCCTAGAACAGTGCTTTGTCTGACAAAGAAAAAAACATAGGAAAGGCTTGTTAAAATAAATTTCGAGTGGAGGCTTCATGCCTCAGATGCAACTACCTCCCACAATATGTGAATCTGGATTCTAGTCAGGGGTCTCAATTCTCCTGCCCATTCTCTTCTTTAAGGGGAGCATCTGCTATTCCAGCCTTTGCTCTCTGTGACTTTGCCCTGGCTAGATCCCTACTGGTGCACCCTGCTGGGGCTGAGAGTTAGCCAATTGTAAGACACCATGCTGAAAGCCCCTCCACTGATGTGCCCCCTGTGGATTTCTGTGGAGTGTGAGATAGGAGAGTATTCCATTTTTCTGACTCCTCTGAGTTTCCACCATTTCTAAGACAACACTAGAGGAGCTATGCTTAGGTACTCTGCATGTGAGGATGTTTGTGCACGTAGCTATATTAAATTGATTAGGGCTGAAATGAAAGTCTGGACAACAGTGCTAATACTAATAAGGGCAAGAAAAGGCCGTTTCCATTGTCATTCTGACAGGATCTATGTAATGCAAGACAACCAGGAGGACTCCAGAAAGTGCCCTGTCCAGCTGTTTTGTAGGCTGGCCCTGATTTCTGTTCCTCATACACTGAATGCACATTGCCTGTGGATATTAACCAGCCATCCAATTGATGGTCTCAGTTTTCATCTCTGTCATGGGGCGAGAGCAAGCAATGCATTGCAGGAAGCCGATCAATTATTTTCAAGCGGGATATGCGATACCATCTCCAGCACTCCAACCACAGCTGAAATCCAATTCCCTCAGCTGGCTTGGATTTGGAGGGGAAATGAAAGTCACATTTTGGAAAAGTGGGATTGATTCTGCGTGTTACAACTGATGCTTATGCAAAAAACCAGCTGTGGAGACGTCCTCCCATGATCAATCTCCAATTATCAGTTTCAAGGAGTGACAGTTGAACCACACTGGTCTAGTACATTTTCAGTAATTTTAAGTAAATTTTGATGACTTGCATAGGGCCTCAGTTTTCTTATCTGGTAATAGATATAATCACGTACCTGTGGTACTGTTTAAAGATTAGATTAGATAGTAGATGCAGAAGCAAATTACCATGAAGCTACTGATGCTTAAGCCCCTCATTTGCATGTGTCCCTTTCAAGACCTTGTGCCTAACTTTATACTCATAATGTTCTATCCTTTTTCTTAAAGAGGGTCCAGAATCATCTAAGCTTCAAACCCCACAAGCCTGGGTCTGTTCCGAGGTGGGTGCTCAGATGGCAGGAAACAGCTGACACATCAGCAGGCCGGGAGATGTGGAAGGAAGGTGGGAATGTCTCTAGAGATTGGAAACTTTATTAAGCATTTTCTAATTGCCAGAGCACTTGTCCTTCAACTAATTGCCAGGGCTTCAGAGGGATCTGAGCAGAATATCCTCCAAATATGTGAGTTGATCATGGCATAAGCTGTTAACTCACTAGTGGGACCTGTGTCACGACTGAAAACAATTCATAAGGGTATTTACCACTCATGGTGGGATTTCAGTCTCGGCAACTAGTGCATGGGGGATATGATCTTGGGCAAGCACATATCAAATCACATCAGGGTAGCAGCCTGCCTGGACGGCCTCAGCTCTAGTTTTACAGAGTCTTTGTGAGACCTGGAAGAGACCCAGTGTGGCCTGTAGTAAGGGATGCAGTGCACTTCAACCGACAGGCTCCGCTCAGACAGTTTCTTCAGGCAGACACATGGGGTATCATTTTCAGCTCCTACCTCTTCCCTTCTTTCCGCTTCTTTCCTTCTCCCTCCTCTCATCCTTCTTAGCCTCCTGCTTTCTTCCTCTACTTTCTCTCTTCCATTTCGTGAATCATAATACAAATTTCAATCCAAGATAAAAATGTACTTTATTTCAGCCTTTTGGATGTGATTAAGTTCTGTCCACAGTGAGGACATTGCTGTTTCCATGGTAACCAGTATACTCTAAAGCCAAGGAGGATGACAGTGTAGAAAAGTATAAAGAAGCCAAAGAGGTTTGCTACGGTTGCTTTTCATCCACCACAGAGGAAACAGAATTATGGAATCCAGGAGCTGGAGAGGAATTTACGAGGTCACTAAATCATATGCCCACCTTCATTAGAGCTGTAGTGAAACAACTGTGGAGATAAGCAAATGTCCTTCATTTAAAGCCACCCAGAACAGACTTCACGATCTTTTTTGAAAAGGTATTCAACTGTTATTTTTTTAAAGGCAATTATTCAGCATCTGATTCAAGCAATTCCTGTGTGCCTGAGACCGCTCCTCTGGCCCAGTCAGAACCCCCAGGAGAGGATGCACATAATGCTAACGAGAGCTCTGGCTCTCCCAGGGCAAAGGCCTAGCCTCCTTCACCTTCTTATCCCCAAAAGCTATTGTGCTCAGGCTTTGCTGTCTTTATTCTACTAAGCATGCTGTTGAAGTACCCAGGATCCACAAAAATAAAAGAAAAAAAAAGTATCTTTTTAAAAAATGTTCTCTAAGAAGAGCATTTATAATTCCAGGCCCCCTATTATTATAAACAACATTTATACTTGTTTTAAGCATATAAAATATTATAGAGGTACTGTTGGGAGTGAATATTAATGCTGTGGCTTTAATAGGAAGACAGAATGAGTCTCTGGTAGTTGACAATGGATGTGGGAATCAAGGGAGAGTTCAAGATGTCATCCCTGTGGCCTGATAGCACTTAGTACATCTCGGAGCCCTTGATGCTTGTTCACAAGAAAAGAAGAGGAGCTGGTGGTCAGGACACACTTAGGGTAATCATTCAGATGATAAGGAAAAGGGAAAAGCATTCTGTTTCTAAACTGTGCAGAGACCTTCCCGTATACAGCTACTGAGCTGTGAGCACAGGATGCTAAGGGGAAAGTTATTGTCAGGAAAGATCCTGTTCTGGTTGTTAGTATTTTTCCCAACCTTAAAACTTCAGCTTATGATGGACTTTATTTTATTTTATTTTTTGAGATAGGATCTTGCTCTGTTGCCCAAGCTAGAGTGCAGTGGTGCGATCTCAGCTCACTGCAGCCTCTGCCTCCTAGGCTCGAAGTTAGCCTCTCACCTCAGCCTACCGAATAGATGGAACTGCAGGTGTGCTACTATGCCTGGTTAATATTTGTATTTTTTGTACATACAGGGTCTCACTATGTTGCCCAGGCTGGTCTTGAACTCCTAGGCTCAAGCAATCCCCCTTCCTTGACCTCCCGAAGTACTGGGATTACAGGTATGAGCCTCTGTGCCCAGCCATAATGGACTTTAGGGCTTTGGTTCTCCTGGGCCAAGACTGTACCCAGCAGCACCAAGGCAGCTGAGCATGTTTGTGGCCTCAGAGTTGTCCTGCCTTAGTTCGACTCCTGGCTTGCCACTTGCTAGCTGGGTTGTCTTGGGCAGTGGAAGCACCCTGAGCTTCAATTTCTTTTATTCAAAATGTGGTGATGCTATCTACCTCGAATCTGAGATGAGTGGAGTAAAAGCATGTAAGCCATGAAGAGTGTGGCCTGACACATAGCAAATAGAAACTGCTTGATAAATAGTAGCCACTTTGCTCTCCTTATAAAGGTCCCTGAGGAAGCAGACTCAGCTTCCTTGCTTATAGCTTCTGTTGCTTAAACTAGGGGCAAGGCCCCTTTCATAAACACCCTTCTCATACATACATGCCTCTTGTTCTTGCTCTTTCGATTTCTAGAGATGGCAAACTACCAGCAAGGCACCAACAAAGCCTGGGCAAGTTCAACGTGAGTCTCCAGTGGTGGGGATGTGTTTCATTATCCTCCTGGTGCCCTCTGATAAGGCTTAGACTGTTTCGTGCTCCTTTTCTTTTCTTGATCAAGACAGAAGACAGCGGACAGTTGGGATGGAAAGAAAACTGGGACAGATACTGCCTGTGCTGCCTCTTCCCCTTTCTTCCTGCCTTGAATGTTGGCATGATGTCCAGAGCAGAAACCCGGATAGTGTTGTGACTCTCAACCAATGTCAGCAGCCTGTAGTTCCAGAATCTTTACTGGAGAGGAAAAACTCCACTATTAGTTGAGTTTTCTTGCAGCCCAAACATTTGTAACAGAGAAGCCGTCCTGACTCTTGCCTTTATCTTGAGTGATTACTATCTACACATGGATTTTCCAATCATTAACCTGCCTTTTTCTTACCGAGGGCTGCAACCTTAGATTCTCAATCCCCTCTGGACTGTGTACCAATACATCCTCCTAACTTTCCCCTGCCCTCAATCTCTCCCCAAATTATAATCTGTACTTCTTAGAGACTTACATTTCTAAAACAAAATAAGATCATGTGCCTCGTAACATAATACCATCAGTGCTTCTCCACCGTCCACAGTCTAAAGCCCAGATTCCTGAGCAGAGCACATTAAGCCTTCTGTAATCTTGGTCCTTCCCTCCTCTCCAGCCTCCTCCTTTGCTGAGCCCCTCCCTACACCCCAGCCACACAGAACCTACTTACAGTTTCCCTGGTGTGTCATATGCTTTGCATCCGGTCCATCTGCTCACCTCCGCCCAGCAGCTCGATTGCCCGTTCCCTCCCTCCCATCCCATCTGGCCCGGTGAATCCCCAAGTCGTCTTTCAAAGCTTAGTTTAAAGAGACTTCTATGAAGCTCCTCAAGCCTTTCTCTCTGTAGGACCCCCGATCCTCTTGCTAAGACTTCGTCTACACTCTGCATATGTCTGCTGATAGCGCCTATTCATTGGTGCCCTGTTTATTGACATCTTCCTACTATAGTGTGAGCTATTGGAGGGTGCAGACCAAGTCTTATTCATCTTTGTAAGCCCTGTGCCAATTACATTGCTTGGTACATAGCAAGAACTGAACTGAATAAATGTCTTTGCTGAATGAAATATTAAATAATTTTAAAATCCCCAAAGCCCAAATCCAGTCCATATAATGAGATGCAAGCATCAAATCCTGTGAGGATGGTAGCAGGTCTATTCTCTGGGGACAGAAGAAAGGAGAATGGGGAACCTGCTGTCCTAGAAGGGCAGGCGCTTTATCACCATCTTCAAGGGACCCTAAGGAGTGTCCTGAGAATCAGAATATTGAGCAAAATCTTGGAGATTAAAGTCAAACATATTCCCCCAGCTGCATAAGTCAGAGACAGGGCTGCTCTAAGACTATGTGGGCAATCCAGGTAAATATTTTTTGTGAGACCCTTGTCTATATAAACATTTTGATTATAATAATATATTATGAAGCTCACAGGTGCATGTGAGCTATCATAATTTAGTGAGGAGAATTTTGAATAGTGGATAGAGAAGAGGTACTTACATATTTCTTCACAGTCCAATGAGTGCACATGAAGATTCTTCATGGCGTCCTGACACTACATTTCCCATTTAAGTCCACAAGCCATCTTGTTATTTTCTTTCTTGTCAAATGTGCTGGTCTTGGCTAATTTTTTTTTACATCGCTCTCCACAAGTAAAAGGTAGCAATGTTGTTATTACTCACAAAGAAGCAATTTGCGTTGAAACGATACATATCTTTTGCCTCTGCAGTTCTTCAACTCCAATTATTTAGTGTCGGTCACAGTGGTACTTATGACATGCACCATGCAACCCGCAGCCCATGAATACTTGCTCCAGTGGCTCTCTCAAAGGTTGTTACTGTGCTTTGTTGATGGTGATCAAAAATCAAATGTATACAATAATTTTGTAAATGATGTAAAATTTTCCTTTTGGAATTTTATAGCACAGGCATAAGACAATATTTCTCTTTACACCACAATCAGTGAATTTCTAGACTGTGGTCTGTCTCAATATTGCCTGCAGGCCTGTACACCAGCACCACAGGGGCAGAGAGGCAGAGGGCCTCTAGGCTGAGCAGGCAAAGCAATCCTAGTCCTTGGAGAGATGTTAGTCCCTCATTAGGACTGGTCCTAACAAGGAGTAAGAGTAAGATGATATCATATTGATTGGAAGCAAGAGAGCTCATCAATTGGAAGGGGCTGTTGGAGTTATGAAGCAACAGTCTCAAAAGCTCTTGGAGCACAAGAGCAGTCACCCTTTGGGACCAGCCCAAAAGATGGCATGGAGCCTGTAAAGAGGGTAGGGAGATTGTGTGGGACATACAGGGTGAAGGATGTTTGCACCACCTTCCCATGCTTGGATACTGTAGACCTGGTACCATAATCAGAACACAAATGGGTGAGAGCCAACAAAGGCCAACAAATGCAATTCAAGCTCCAGGGTGGGACGATCCAGAGCTCAGAGCCCTGACCTTATCTTATGTCCAGCATCAGTGAGAGTCACCCCAAATCCTTATATCAGCACCATTCTGGTGGCCCAATCTTGCATGATCCTATGAAGGAAAAAGCTTACAGATTAGTGACTCTCGTCTGCTAGCCAGATGGCCATTCAAGACCCTACTGGCCATGGGCTGGGACAAATCCATAGACAAGAATCATGAAACTCCTCAGGGCATCTGCTTGATCCCACCACTATGGGGAAAAATGGAGATGGGGGCCACAGGGTTCCATTTGGCCTCATGGTTCTCCATTCAGGTGGTACTACCCATCCCAGCCAGTTTCATGCACCTGTGTAGGACCTCCTTGGAGGAAGGTGCATGAAAGTACATGGTGCTCTGAGGCTTGGGGCGGAGTATGCTACTTTCCTGGGTCAAAGTATGACACTGGCCAGTGGCACGGCAGCTCCAACAATCCTAAGGAAGAATGAGACAGACCCTTGTCCCCTTCACAGAAATGTAGTTAGAGCTTCTGTGCATAAATTTCTAGGGTCTTACCTAGAAAAGATAGAAGGGGACAAGGTATGTTCCTCTGTAACTCCCATTAGGGAGAATAATGGGTTTTAGAGAAACTAAATCCACTACTCAGGGCAGTAGTACTAAACATAACAGACTGGATGGAACCCCCCTGCCACAAAGACACCCAATAAGCCCCATCACAAAACCCTATAGTTTTAAGAAAAGAGATGTGATTTCTTTCAAAGGCTTGAGTTTTGGTTTCTCTACTAAGTCACATTGGAAATCAGTGAGCAATGAACTAAGCATTCAATAGAGCTTAGGGAAATGCAAGAGACATATAAAGAAAAATCAGTGAGACAACAGTCAGGGGACACAAAGACTCCATTCTGGGTTGGACCTTCTGAGAGAGCAGCAGGCCACTTTCCCAGTGATCCAACACTGCTCTGGGAGATGGATTGAGCAGTAATGGTGGACCAGACCCATGAACACCTGTCTGGAGTCCTATCTTCAGGGGAATGTTCTCAATCTACTGGGTTATAGTTGTCCAAATCTGATCCCACCTATTTCTGTAGAGTAGATGCAAAACATTGCATGCCTCCAGACACAGGATTTGCCTTCCAGATAACATTTCAATGATAAATGGAAACCATTTAGACAGAGTGATAAATGACAGTCAAAATCAAGCAGCACCCTCTGGACTTACCATTTTGATTACAGTGATTCTGTGCTAACATTTGGGCTCCATTCTTGAAACAGATATGGATGGCAAGCTGGAGGGTTTGTAATATCTCCTAGAAAATAGATAAATTTGTAGAAAAAAAAGAAAAGACTGATGCTAAATATTTTTAAAGCACTGAAAAAAAAAAAAGTCCTGAAACACTGATTTGATGATATTTAAAACTTTTTCCAGGAAAGTGTCCTTATCTTGGCTCTTCTTCAGTTGTTCAGGAAGCATTGGTATAAAAACATGTCTCCTGATAGATAGTTTGCCACAAGATTTATTCCCAAAAGACTATCCTTTTTTAACGTTCTTTAGCCTGCCTCTATTGACTTAAAATGTAATGTGTTTGAACTTGCTTTAGCTTTGTTTCCTTTTTAAAAGACTCAGCAAATTGCCCTTGTCACCTCACCAGCTGGCTTTTTCTTCTTCTTCTTCTTCTTTTTTTTTTTTTTTTTTTTTTGAGACAGAGTCTCGCTCTGTCGCCCAGGCTGGAGTGCGGTGGCGTGATCTCGGCTCACTGCAAGCTCCGCCTCCTGGATTCACGCCATTCTCCTGCCTCAGCCTCCTGAGTAGCTGGGACTACAAGCGCCCACCACCACGCCCGGCTAATTTTTTAATTTTTTTGTATTTTTTAGTAGAGAAGGAGTTTCACCGTGTTAGCCAGGATGGTCTCGATCTCCTGAACTTGTGATCTGCCCGCCTCAGCCTCCCAAAGTGCTGGGATTACAGGCGTGAGCCAACGTGCCCGGCCCCAGCTGGCTTTTTCTAATGCTTTTGGAGGGTGGGGGGATAGAGGTGTTGCTCTTCCAGGTCCATGCAGTATTAAAAGAGTGGAACAAATACGATTTCCTCTTTGTGTACTAACTTAATCATTCCATAGACCTGTCTGCAAACTCTATGAGAGTTGTATGCTTTCATTTCCAGGATATTGAACTGAGCAAGCATAATATAAAAATGTGAAGCTTTAAAAATGTTAGTATAGAAATATGAAATGGAATTACCTAAAAACTGTGGTTAGTTAAAGATATATGCATCCTGACTGGTTCACTGCTAACATGTATAATGCCTTTGTGAGATGTAAGAAAAGGTTCCCTTCTTCCATTTGGAGACATATTCAGACTGGTGCAAAGCCCCCCTATCAGTTGCATCTTGGGCAACACAATTGTACATGGAGACCCTGATCCTGACAGTTGTCTCTGACCTCCCCTGTGCAGCTGGCTCCAGCCCTGCTTGGACTCTCTCTTTCTAAATGCTGCTGCTTGCCAACCTCACTGCAAATGCAGGGATGGTGTCTTAGTCTCCATTCTCTCTGTGGAACCTGACACAGAGGAGACACTCAACAAATAGTTGTTGGTTGAATGAACAAGTAAAAACTACTAATTGCAATTTTTAAAAAATTGAAAGAGAAGGGCTATGGAAGATATATTACTGGCTGTCCAGAACATTTTGCATCATGTCCAAATACCAGAAAACTTTTTTTATTCTTGGGATCAGTTACCGTACATGACAATTCACTGCTAAATATTGAAATGGTCAAACTTAGAAAAGGGCATATAGCAACCTTGATGGCAGTGGCAGATAGTTAAGTGTTCATTTCTAAGCATTTGGAGTGGGGAAGTCCAGAAATCAAGGAAACCAAGACAGGAAATCTGCTTTGCTGATTTTCTTCTTCTCATCTTATGAGTGGTTAGTATTATGCTTTGATAGAGGGTAATTTAGGCATGGCAGCAATCAGTTTCTGAGCACCATTACACTAACACTTTCACAGAAAAAAAGTTCTAGGAACTTGCTCTTTAAAATACTCAAAAGTCAGTTGAAGCCTACATGGATTTAAAGCAAGTCTAGTTGGTATCATCTTTTCCTTCCTTTTCTAATTCTGTCCCCAAAAGCGAGCATCCTGAGATGTTAAGAACAGAGAACTTGGAATGGGCACTGACAAATAGGCTGTAAACAGGAGCTGGTAGAGAGATAAATCAGATGGCCTAAAGATTCTTGCATTTCTTATTTCTATGACAACATCTAGTAGCCTGTTCCTATTTGTAAAAAAAGGCAGTTTTAGTTTTGTTGGAAGAGCAACAAATGCTGTCCATTTCAACCAGTGGGAGTCCAGCTTGAGTCTATTCTAGCAACACTCCGCCTCTGAGACCAGCTGAGGCCTTTACTGCCAACCCAGGACTGGAAGCAGCCCTGATGGCTGGCCACTTAAGCTAAAAACCTCACAGAATACTTCTCTATGAACAAAATGGCAATCCGGTTTAGATGGAGTAAAGTGCTATTAAACACTTAGAGCCATCAAAACCAAAACATGCAGTTCCTTCACAGATTGACCACAATTTCACTTTCTGAAACTAAAGATTCATGTTCATTCAACTCATGGATTCAACATGCAATGTGTTGAAATAGTGACTTTAGAAAAGCAATCGTGAAAGAACCAGATTTTTTTAAAAACGGTCAGCCTATTTCCCCTTGAGAGGCAGAAGGTGCATTTCTCTGCTTTAAACCGGACACATGTTAAACTAGGTTCCTGAAAGAATGAAATATCATTAACAAGATTTACCCAAGAGCTACCCAAATAGAAAAACGATGTGTGCAATGATCTGTTTCGCAGGAACGAGTCTGAATCAAACATCTGTTAGGCCTTCCTTGACTCCTTTTCCCCTCCCCAATGGTTAATGACATCTGAAGCGCTTAAGCTTTGCACATTCCTTCACTAATTAAATTCCCGCAAAGCTGTCTCATGAATCAGGTGCTTTGTGGAGCAGGAACACAGGCCCAGCTTTTGTGTCGCTGCTGCCTGCTGAAGTATAAGTAGGAGCTAAATGTACACTTGGCCTGCTCAGGAGTCTTTCAAAAGGTTTTTAAGAGTCTCGTTTTTCCCAGAGATCTTCCTTTGCATTTTACTACCTGTTCTGTCCAAACTAGATTGACAAAAATAAAGAAATGAGGAGTTAAGTTGCATGGATAAAGTTTCAAGCACCCAAGTCCTAATTTTTGCAAGGACAGGGATATTTTGACCCAAGTGGAAATCAAGGGAAAGGGAACTGCTTTCTCCCAAAAAGAAGTTCTTTTTTTATTCGTTAATTATTTCATTCTTCATTCTTTCATTCATTCATGAAATAAGGATGCATTGGGTGCTCCCTGCATGTTCCTCACTGTGCCAGGCCCTACCTATATTGAGACTCAGCCCCTGCTCAAAACCAGAGTGAACTGTGAGATCCTTCTATCACCAAGAGGTGATATGGTCATTGAGGCAGCAAAGGGGCTGTGGACAGAAGTTTCCAACTGATGGACAACTTGGTCTAGGATTACAATGTATAGAGACCCTGGGGTCTGGATCTGCCTCAACTGAGAGTGATTATTAAGTGTATCGTACGTATTGTAGAAATAATGCCAAAAGCCACCTCCAGTTAAATGCCTGTTATGCACCCAGCACAGTGCTAAGCACTTTACATGCCTACTCTGAATCTTCATAACAACTCTTCAAGATAGTGACATTCCCTCATTGTGCAGTTGAGGAAAATGATGCTTAGAGAGATTGAATATCCAAGGTCATAGGTTCGGGTCATTTTAAAACTCTTTCTGTTTTTTTTTTTTTTCTTTTTCTTTTTTTTCATCACCATGATTGAAGGTAGGGTCATGGACAACCACAGATACCACACAAAGCAAAGCTCTCTATGATGACTAGGCAATACAGGGTAAAAGAGTTCAGAGGAAGGAGAGCTTGTCCCAGCAGCCAAGGAAGTCTTCACAGTGGAGATTCGATAAGAGGGAATCAAAACAAATTCTTGATCAGGTAGACAGGAGCTGGAGGAGAACCATGAAATCATTTTAATTGGGGAATACTTGATACACAAGGACACAAAGGCATAAATGAACAGCAGCTGTTCAAACTTCCTCTGCTCTCCTCAAACCCCATCTCTTCCAGGCTCTCTCTTTCACAGGGAAAACAAACAATATCAACCTACAGATGCAGAAGCTTCTAAACATACACCTCTCCTGGCATCTCCTCCCTCCTCATCCTCTTTCCCTCCTATTACTGTGCAGGTAGTCTCTCTCTAGCTCATTAAGACAAATGCTCTCACCTGCGTCCTGGATCCAGTAAGTATGTGGCAGTCCTCAGGTGTGGCCACATATTAATTCCTAAAGACCTAGATGTAGTAGTAGAGGTAGTTTGCCTGCAAGAGAGTAGCTGCTCTATTTCCCAACCTCATTGCTAAGCAGAACCACCTTCAAGTCCTTGAGTACTGCATATGCCTTCATGCTCCTGGGGTTTTGCTAAAGCTTTTCCCTTCTGCCTTTTGTCCACCTTGTCAATTCTAACTAATCTCTCAAAACTTAGCTCAATGAGCACAATATAGGTTAGCATTAAGGAGGCCCAAAAGAATAATAGCTAAGGTATATGAGTTTATTTATTTATTTAGTTTTATGTAAAAGGAGTTGAGAGGCAATCTAGAACTGTATTATGGGCACCATGATCATTAGGAAGTCAGATTCCTTATGTTTTCCTGCTTTGCCATCCTTAGTCCTTGGATCCTATTCTCAAGCTCACCTATCATCCAACACGGCTGCTGGGGCTCCAGCTATCACACCCATATTCCAGGTAGGAAGGAAGAAGAAAGGAAAGGAAAAAGAAAGAGTTCTGTCTGTTTCTCCCTGTAAGGAGCCTTCATGGAAAACTCATCAAAATGCCCATTTACCTCTCACTAGTCAAAACGTAGTCATATGTTCATTAGGCTGAAAAATATAATCTCTCAGCTGAGCATATTGCCACACTGAATAAAAATTGCCATCATGTTAATAAGGACAAGAGTAAATATTAAATACACAACTAACAGTATTTGCCTAACTACCACCTCTTCTTATAAACCTTTCTGGGTCATTTTCATCTTTCAGTCCTTTCAGCGATTAGGCAAACTCCCTCTGTGTTTCTGTTGCATCCCAAGCATATATATTGCTCCACAGGAATACATACTGCATCATGTTGTCATCATCTGGTTTGCTTGCTTCTCTTCTCCGGTGGCTATAGGCTCTTTGATGCATGTGCCATCTTTATCATAGATGAATTTTCTAAAACAGGGTCTGGGGAATTGGTCCCTAAATAATTGGTCATATTGAATGCATCTCTGAGCATCTCCTGGGTCTGGGTTTTCCACTCGTCTCCCTTTTTTGGAACATTCATATTTTCAGAGAGAAAACACTAAAAATATTTGGAAAGTTATTCCAAAGTACTACAAGCTACCACTGTGCTTGGTGCCAGTTGTAGAGGAAGGAGCACATGGCTTTGAAACCAAACCAAAAATAGTATCGAAATGCTGATTTCAATTTCCACTCAAATGGGTCATCTCTTCAGTATCTGTTACTAGGGAACGGCCCAGAATGTGTTGGGTGGCAAGGACATTTTGACCAGGCTGACACAGTTTTAAAAGGCCAGATACATGAATTTGAACCAATCTTCTTTTAAAATGCACTTCTGATTTTGACAAATGCAGAGTATTGGGGGTGGGGGTAGGGAGGGAATGAGATGGCTGCTAAGAACAAGATGGAAACATGGTCACATAGCTCAATTGAAGTCACATTTTAATTATACTTATAAGTCTGGCTATGTCTTTTTGTGGGAACAGGAAATAAAGAGAGAACATTTTAAATGAAATATTGAAGGCCAGCATGTAAGAAAATCATAATAATGTGACATAAAACCTTTAAGAATTGAGGCATAAGATGCCATCTAATACCACAGCATCGTTGGTGACTTCTTCCCCTTCCTTGTTCTTTATGTCCTTTCTCTCAAGTCTTTTTCTTTCTTAATTAACCATTTTCACTGTCGTCAAGCTCACTCAAGTCCTTAAAACTTTAATTTGGATACAGCAATAACCTCCTACATAATCTGCCACCTTCATCTTTTTCACCCTTCACCTTCACCCCTGTCTATCCTTCCCATCTACCCCGTAATTTCCAGTGTCTCGTATCAATCTTTAGCTCCTTATCCCTCTCTGAATGTAAGTTTCCTCAATTCAGCTGCATTT
Source organism: Homo sapiens (assembly GCF_000001405.40). Taxonomy (NCBI): domain Eukaryota; kingdom Metazoa; phylum Chordata; class Mammalia; order Primates; family Hominidae; genus Homo; species Homo sapiens. Next base: position 200,078,105 of record NC_000002.12, on the reverse strand, counting down.
TATGTTACATCTTACACTTCTTTGCATTGCCCCTGGGCCTAGTCCAGACCTCTGCTCACCATATGGGCTATTTGCGTACTGGCTGACTCAGGGCTGATGTATCCATCAGGCACAGCAGACACAGATTTATAGCCCACAACATTTCTAGGGGCCCATGAAAATGGTTTTATTTTCATTTCTTTGAAAATCAGGAGAAACTATTGAATTGAATAATAGTGAATATATAAGAATAAAACCACCCTGGATTATATTCATCTCTATACCAATGCAGTCATAGAATATAATTTTTAATATTTTTTAAATGAAGAATGGGATCCATCAAAGTAAAGGTGCCTAAGGCCCCCAAAAGTCATGTTGCTACCCTAGACTAACTTTTCAAAACCTAAGTCAATAAAAGTAAAAGTATGTGCAAAAAAAAAATGATTTTTTGGTACTTATTTTTAATGTGTATTTTCCTTGAAAACTCTCCATTTCTCAGCTTTTCATACTGGCCTAGTGCTGATCACTAGTCCGGAAAGTGCGAAGGCTTCTTCCTGGATTTGATAAATCGATGTAAATGGAATGTGACATGTTACTGTGTTATTTCGTTCACACAATTGCCTCTTTGATGGCTCAGTAAAAGGTGGAGGAGAGAAACTTCTCATGATATCTGTAAAATATACACCACGTTCAGTCTGTTATGTTAAAACACATAAAGTTCCCTTTCCAGTTTCTCAAACTAATTTCTGTGTGTCCCAGCCAAATGGAATGTGTTTTAGTCAGCTCTTGGGTAAACACAGAAATGTAATCTTTCCCCTCTTAAAGCAGAGCCTGCTTCACACACTGCATCTGTGTGTGCAATGTTTATTTAAGCATACAAGGATTAGGACTTAAAACTGGTTTGAAAGCACTGGTGAGTGTTTTTCTTAAGATATCTAAGTCTAATTATTTGAGAATTTATAATATTTTACATCTGCACAGATAATTTTTCCTTCCAGATAATTTATATTAACTTGGGTTTGAAATGAAGGAAATAATAATTGTGCTTTCTTCTCTTTCTCTATCTATCTCTTTTAGGTTGGGCACAAAATGTTCTCTAAAGAGCTGACATTATCTTGCAATTAGGATTTTCATTTCTTTTTACCTAAACATAATTATCATTAACCCAAATAAAATTCAGGAGATGAGTTGACCTTTTTCTTTGCACTACAAATTATAATCAATGCCATCAATTGCTGTTTTATTCCATTAGCTAATTTGTTTTTCTGTTAGAATGTCACATGCCCCTTTCCAACATTATAGCCAATTTATGTAATTTTAAGCTATTTATGCAGTTACCTAAGTGGTCAGTTTTCTATCTTCACAAACTCTCTGTGATTTACTTTTCAATCCTTTAAGTTTTCCTTCCCATGATCCTAGAATTACAGCGTGAGAATGATTTTGAAGTGTCACCTGGCCTAGTCCTATGCTTCTAGGTGGTAAATGCCCCACAAATACTGATCTGGAATGAAGGGATGACCCTTCTCTTTCTCAAGGTCGGCGGTCCCAATTGGGTTTCTTGGTTTAACTGCCCAGATCATCAGGAACTTCTCCCTTATGCTCAGTCAAGAATCTCTTCTGCCCTCCATGGATTTCCTTTCATTTTGTTCTCCACAGACATGGAGAATAACTCCTCAGTATCTTCCTGAAACAAACTTCTTGAGTTGGAAGGTCCAAGTGAAGGCAAGCTTGAGTGAACTTCCTCTTCCTTGGGCAAACCTCTCTTCATACTAGGACCTGTTTCTCCCCTTAGAAAATGATTCGGTGGAATATCCACCCAATGGACTTTATTCGGCCATGAAAATAAAAGAAATACTGAAATATGTCACAGCACAGATGAACCGCAAAAGTATTATGCTAAGTTAAAGAAGCCAGACACAAAAAGCCACATATTGTGTGAGTCTATTTATGTGAACTATCTGGAAGAGGCAAATCCATAGAGACAGAAAGCAGTATAGTGGTTGCCAGAGACTGAGGGGATGGGGAGTTGGGAAGTGACTGCTTAATGGGCATGGGTTTCCTTTCGGGGGTGATGCATATGTTCTAGAATTAGATCATGGTGATGGTTGCATAACATTGTGAATTTACTAAGTGCCCTTGAATTGTACAGTATAGTTAATTTTATTATGTATATTTTACTACACACACACACAAATGCTAAAATGCCTCTCTGCAACTCCTCCATTTTTGTGTGTAATCCCTTTTAAGGGTGGTGTCTAAGAAAACAAACTTTTTAAAGTCCTAACTGGAGAGTACAAATAAAAAGATTACATTTCAGCTGGCCAGAGTTAGAGGTCAATGGGTAGAAGACATGACCAAGAGTAAGGCACTAGATTTCATTCTTTCAGATTTTGTTTAGCACCTACTATGTGGTAAGTTCTGTGCTATGGGCTGGAGATGTAGCTGCAAGGGCATTTCAGATGCAGCCCCAGTCCCTAGGAAGCTTGAAGTCAAGCTAGTTTTTTTCATGATTTTATGAGAGCGGAGAGTGAATTGATTCTTTCATCTTCATTTGACAAACAAAAGGGGTGATAATAATACCTCATTATATGTACCTTTCTAATCCACAGAGATTGGAAAGACTCAATGAGAAATGCATGTGAACATAATTTGTATTTTATAAAGCAATATACAAAATATTAGGCAATAATATTATCATAGTTTAATGTTGACTTTTAAAAAATAATAGCCCTGCATTTTCAATCAGTTAAGAAACTGGTGTGATTGTCTCTTTATAAAATTTATTGGTGGGAGGGGGGAGCAGGCTTCCTATTACAAATGTCATATGTGTTCATTGGAGAAAATTCAACAAATCCAGAAAAGCATATTTTAATCAAATGTTATCTTCCCCCCAGATATAGCCACTGTTAACATTTTAGTATATGTTCTTCAGCAGTGATAATCATTGGGTTAAGAGCAAGGACACTACTAGAGACAGGTTCTGTCATTTCCTAATTATTTACCTTGGGAAAGGCATCTCACAACTTTAAGTCTCAATTCCTTATCTGTAAAGTGGAGGAAATAACAATAGCTAACTCCTAATTATGAGGATTAGATAAGGAACTCAATGGATATTACTCAGCAAAGTGCTTACTAATACATACTATTAATAGAATACATATATTATATACACAAATACTAGTATACATAATGTATACATGCACAGTATCTACATAACATATATATTATATACATAATATACATGCATGCTACTTAAATACATATATACTATGTACTTAATATATACATACTAGCAGTATACATAACATATACATACATACTGATTAAATATCTACATGATAATTATATACATATATATCATAAGTATGTCATACACACACACACACACACGGTATAAAATTTTGTTTCTTATTAGTGAGGCAGCAATAAACACATCTATCTCAATCAGTGCCTTAGCTCATTAACTACTTAAATGAGCCTCCCAAGTGTATTATAATGAAACTTAATTGAAATAAAAGTGTTCAACCCCTTCAAAGAGTAGACTTCATAATCTATGTACAGACGTTTCTGATTTTTGTGCTGTTTATCATTCTTTGCCTTGTAGTAGGGTGAAACAACTAATATTAATATTTTGACAGATGGCCCCTGGGTTCCTCTGGGAGAGAACTATTTTTGTGGAATAGAACTCTTTGCTACACATAGAAGATGACCTCTCGAGGGCTGGATATGAAAGGACAGTGAAACAAACTGAACAAACCTCACAAGAATAATCAGAGTCGGGGGAGGTGGGTAGGGGGCAGGCAGAATGGAGGAGCCAGGAAGAAAAGATAGCAGGGTAGGTAGAAAGACGGAGAAAGGGGACAGGAATAAAACAGCGTTCTGGGTTCTGATGAGTTTGAGAATGAAAAATTTCCAGAAGTGAGCTCACCAAGTGGCACATTTTTTTTTTTAACTTTTTTTTTCTCTTTTTTTGAGACGGTGTCTCACTCACTCTGTCGCCCAGGCCGGAGTGCAGTGGTGTGATCTCAGCTCACTGCAACCTCTGCCTCATGGATTCAAGTGATTCTCATGCCTCAGCCTTCCGAGTAGCTAGGCCTACAGGTGTGTACCACCACACCCGGCTAATTTTTGTATTTTTAGTAGAGACGGGGTTTCATCACATTGGCCAGGCTGGTCACCTCAGGTGATCCACCCACCTCAGCCTCCCGAAGTGTTGGAATTACAGGCATGAGCCACCTCGCCCAGCCTAGCAAGGGGCACTTAAGAACACAAATTCCTCATCCTCCAAGTTAATGTGTGTGTTGCTGAAATGTGTGCATCATCCATTTCTCTATAAGTTCTGTGCTCATAAACAACTTAGTGAACAGATTTGGGGCACATCAAGGAAAAGGACTGAGTTCTACATCTTGGCTGGTATCTAGCAAAGAAAATAATATATCCATGGAAAATGAGATGTGAGATTAAGATTTTTAAATTTTATTTTTAATTGATACATAATAATTGTACATATGTGGGAAACAGTGATATTTCGGTACATGTATACAAGATACATGTATACAACATGTAATGATCAAATCAGGGTAATTAGCTCATCCATCACCTCAAACTTTTATCATTTATTGGTTGGAAACATTCAAAATCCTCTCTTCTAGCTATTTGAAATATGTAATAAATTATTGTTACCTATACGTCACTCTTCAGGGCTAGAGAATATTAAAACTTATTCCTTCTATGTAGCTGTAATTTTGTGTCCATTAATCCACCTTTCCCTATCTCCATTCCACTTTTCTCAGCCTCTAGTCACCACAATTCTCCTCTTTACTTCTATGAGCTCCACATTTTTAATTCCTGTGTATGAGTAAGAACATGTGATGTTTGAGATTAAGGTTTTATTATGAGCAGAAACTTAGAGCCAAACTAACCATGAGACTATGAGCTCTTCCAGTAGGATGAATAGTGTCCCTCAAAAATTCATGTCCACCTGGTACCTCAGAATGTGACCCTATTGGGAAACAGGGTATTTTGTAGATATAATTAAGGATCTCAAGAAGAAATCATCCTAAATTTAGGATGATGTCCTAAATCTAGCAGCTGTTCTCCCTATAAAAAGAGAAGAAGATGAAGTCAAAGAGACACAGACAGAAGAAGGCCCTGCATAGATGGAGATAGAAAGTGGAGTTATGCCACTACAAATCAAGTGGCTTGGCCATCAGAAGCTGGAGAGGTAAGGAAGGACTCTTTCCTGGAGCCTTCGGAGGGACTGTGGCCCTGCTGACACCTTGAATTCAGACTTCCAGCCTCCAGAACTGTTGGACTATAAATTACTATTGTTTTAAGACGCTCAGTTTGTTGAAACTTTGTTATTGCAGCCATCGAAAACTAAGACAGCCCCTGAAAAGTTGCCAGAATCTTAGGGTGGGCATCAAACTTTCCATAGGACAGACAACCCAAAGAAGAAGCTGAACTCCTTTAATTTTCAAAGGACAAAATTTCATTCTCTTTAATTTTCATCCTTCAAAGGATGAGGTGACCTCAGCTGTCATCTAGGTTACTTTATATAGAGACAGAAGCAGAATCGTCTTTTAACTAAAAACCTTACTATGAGCTTTCCAATCACCTTCCCTGACCAAATTGAAATTCCCTGATCAAACAGACTTCTTTTTTTGTTTGTGTCCCATCAACTACAGTACATATGCAGCCTCCCTGTCCAGCTTCAATTTTTGGTAGTCCAATTATTCATTTTGATATGGTTTGGCTGTGACCCTGCCCAAATCTTATCTTGAATTGTAGCTCCCATAATCCCCATGTGTCCTGAGAGGGACCTGATGGGAGGTAATTAAATCATAGGGGTGATTTTGCCCCTTGCTAGTCTCGTGATAGTGAGTAAGCTTTATACAGGGCTTCCCCCTTCACTCAGCTCTCATTCTTCTCTTCCCTGCTGCCATGTGAAGAAGGACATGTTTACTTCCCCTTCTGCCATGATTGTAAGTTTCCTGAGGCCTCCCCAGTCCTGTGGAACTGTGAGTCAATTAAACCTCTTTCCTTTATAATTTACCCAGTCTCGGGCAGTTCTTTATAGCAGCATGAGAACAAACTAATGCACATCTCTTGTATTTTAAGCTTTAATAAAGTAATATCGAATTCTGAAAATGTCATATTGTTTGCACCTCCATGCCTTTGATTATACTGGGCACTCCTTACTCACCATCAGTCAAGTCTACCTGGTAAATGCCTACTCACTCCTACTCACTCTTCAAATGCTACTTTGGGAGGCTTTACTCCTCCAGTCTGACATCTCCATCTACCACAATGTGAGATATATATATATCTCCAAAGCAAGTATTTTATTTGCTTATTATTATAACTGTTTTCTGTCTTCTCAGAGAATATTCTTGAGGTCGTGGAATATGGCTTTTCATCCTTGTAGCCCAATGCTAGCACAGTGCCATCATGCTAGGCTGGTTTTATGTAGTGGCAAGTAGACTAGAATTGAAGTCATAAAACCCAGTTTGAATCCAGGCATCTCCATGATCGTCTGCGTGGTTGTGGTGGATACTGGTAATGAAGTTAGTCCTGTTTTCCCTACTAGCAAAATCCCAATTTTATTCAAGTGTGTGATGAGATGAAAGAGATTCTTCCATCTCAAGGAGAGTGGACCCAGCCACTAACCCAGGGATGGAAATTATAACTCACCTCTAGACAGTGAGAAGTAAGAGGAAGTCTGTGGGGTTACCAGAAAAGATATCTCTTCCATGATGAGAGAAAGATGTGAAGAAAAGCCCTCTGGGCTGAACTTCCTCTGAGTGGGTGTATGGAGATGCAGTAGCCTTCTCACATCTCTAAGAGGAAAGTCAAAACAATCAAAAGCCGTGTACCTTGAGCCATGATTTGAAAACTGACTTGACTGTGTAGCCACTGAGCCAACACCAGCAATGCCCTCCACCCAATTTTATGTTATTTGAGAGAAATTAACTCATATTTGTTAAAGGTTTCTGTTACCCAAGAGAAGCTAACAAACTTGAAGCTAAATTCACTTTTGTCTAATATGGTAACTTTGAATAACTTAAGTCATTAACCTCTCTGAACTTCAGTTTCTTATTTTATAGAAATGTGGCTAATAATCCCTTCCTACCACCTTTGGTCATTATAAGGTTCAAATTTAAAAATATTCAAAACCTCAAAGTAATGCATGCATTTAACAATAAGAGATTACATTTATTGCATATTCCATGGGTATTCTCCTAAGAGCTTTCCTCTTATTATTTTATTTAATCGTTACAATAATCTATCAGGTGTTATACGGAAGAAATCTTTACCCAACCCAAACACACAAAGATTTTCTCCTATGTTTTCTGCTAAAAGTTGTATACTCTTCAGTTTTACATTTACATATGTGATTCATTTTCAGGTAAGTTTTGTATATGGTGCAAGTTATGTTTCAAAGTTCATATTTTTGCATATGGATAGCCCAATTGTTCCAGTACCTTGTTGAATAGACCATCCTTTCTTCACCCTTGTTAAAAAGGGTAGGAAAAAACACACATTTTCTCCATACTTACACATTTCTTGGAATATAATAGTCTTTATATGCATGGGTCTATTTAAGGGGTCTTTTCCGTTCCATTGATCTGTTATCTTTACCACCCATCTTGCTCACTATAGATTTATAGTAAGTCTTGAAGCCAGGAAGTGTAAGTACTTTAACTTTTTTTTTTTTTTTACAAAGTTGTTTTAGTTATTCTAGTATATTTGCATGAATTTTAGAAATAGCTTATCAATTTATACAAAAAATTCTGTTGGGATTTTTTAGCAGGATTGTATTGAATCCATAGATAAACTTGGAAAGAATTAATATCTTAACAATATTGATGCTTCCCATTCATGAACATGGTATATAGCTTCATTTATTTAGGTCTTCTTTGGTTTTTCTCAGAAATGTTTTATAGTTTTCAGTTTATAGATATTGTACATCTTTTGTGAGATTTATCCATAAGTCATATTTTAATGCTTATATAATTGATAATTTAAAAAAAATTTTAATTTCCCATTGTTCACTGCTAGTATTTACAAACACAATTAATTTTATATATTGACTTTATATCCTGAAACTTATTAGTTCTGGTACCAGTTTTTGTAGATTCTTTCAGATTTTCTTTGAAGATGATCATAGTCACCTGTGAATTAGGATAACTTTGATTCTTTTTCTCTTCCAAAATATATGTCTTCTATTTCTTTTTCTCACTGATTGCCCTGGCTAGAACCTTCAGTACAATGTTGAAGAGAAATGAGAATGGACATCCTTGCCTTATTCCTAGTATGGGGGCAAAACATTCAGTTTTTCACCATTAAGTATGATGTCAGCCACATAATTTCTTTCAGATTTCCTCTAGTTCTAGTTTTTATTATGAATGGATGTTGGATTTCATCAGATACTTTTTCTGCATCTATTGAAATGATCATATGACTATTCTTCTTTAGTCTATTCATATGCTAAAAATACATTGAATAATTGTCAACTATTAAATCAAATTTGCAGTCCTCATCTAAACCCCACTTGGCATGATATTTTTGTTTTGTATGGTTGAATTGAAATTGTTAAAATATTATTAAGAATTTTTTCATCTATGTTCATGAGGGATTTGGCCTTTTTTTTTTTTTTTTTTTTTTTTTAGATAGAGTTTCGCTCTTGTCACCCAGGCTGGAGTGCAATGGCACAATCTCAGCTCACTGTAACCTCTGCCTCCTGAGTTCAAGCGATTTTCCTGCCTCAGCCTCCTGAGTAGCTAGGATTACAAGGGCCTGCCACCATGCCTGGCTAATTTTTTGTATTTATAGTAGAGATGAGGTTTCACCATGTTGGGCAGGCCGGTCTTGAACTCCTGACCTCAGATAATCCACCTGCCTCGGCCTCCCAAATTTCTGGGATTACAGGTGTGAGCCACCATGCCCGGCCAGTTTTCTTTTTTTAATAATATCTTTGCCTATCTTTTGTATCATAATTCTGGCCTCATAGCGGGAGAAGGAAATTATCCCTCCTCCTTTAGTTTTCTGGAATATTTTATGTGAAATTGGTATTATTTCTTCCTTAAATGTTTAGTAGAATTTGCCAACAAAGCCATCTGGGCTTGAAGTCTTCTTTATGATGATTCAAATTTATTAAAATTGTATTTCTTTAATAGATATAAGGTAATTTTGTTATTTGTGTCTTCTCTCTTATTTTCTGTATTGGTCTAGTTAAACATTTATCAGTGTTATTGATATTTTCAAAGAACAGGTTTTTTCCTGTTTGCTCTTTGTTGTTTATTTTTTTCTGTTTGCTATTTCATTGATTTCTGTTCTGATATTTATAATTTCCTCTCTTCTAATACTTTTTACTTGTTCATTACTTCTACTACAGACTTTCTTATGCTACTTATATTTTTGTCTCCTCTTGTTTTTCCAGTTTCTTAACATGGAAACCAAGGTCACTGATTTGAGACCTTCTTTTCTTTAATATAGGCAATTAGCACTATAAATTTCCCTCTAAGTACTGCTTTCACTGCCCCTACAAATTTTGATATGCTGTGTTTTGATCATTCAGTGCAAAATACATTATAATTTTCCTTTTTATTTATTCTTTGACCCCCTAAGTTTTTTTTAGAGGTGTGTTACTTAGTATTCAAATATTTGGGTTTTTTTCCAGTGTACTTTCTGTTATTGATCTCAAATTTAATTTCACTGTAGTCAGAGAACATGATTTAAGTCCTTTAAATCTACTGAGATGTATTTTATAATTCAGAATGCCTATCTTACTAAATGTTCTGTGTGTACTTGAAGAGAATGTATATTCTGCTGTTGGTGGCATGTTCTATACATATCAATTAAGTCAGGCTGGCTAGGCACAGTGCTTCATACCTATTATCCCAGCACTTTGGGAGACCAATGCAGGAGGATCACTTGAGCCCAGGAGTTTGAAACTAACCTGGGTAACATAGTGGGAGCCAGTCTCCACAAAAAATTAAAAAGCTAGGTGGGCATGGTGGTGCATGCCTGTACTCTCAGCTATTTGGGAGGCTGAAGTGGGAAAACCACTTGAACCTGAGAGGTTGAAGCTGCAGTGAGCCATGATCATGCCACTGTACTCCACTCTGGGTAACAAAATGAGACCCTGTCTCAAAAAACAAAAAAATTAGGTCAGGTTGGTTGATAGTATTGTTCAAGCCTTTTATAACTTTACTAATTTTCTAACTATTCTATCAACTATTGCTAAAGGGGTGTTGAAATCTTCTAGTATAATTGTGATGTATCTGGTTCTGTATGTTTTTGCTTCATATATTTTGAAGCTCCATTATGGGTGCATAAACATTTAGGATTATTATGTCTTCTTGGTGAATTGACTCCTTCATCATTATGAAATGATCATATTTTTCCCTGGTTATATTTTTGCTCTGAAATCTACTTTATTTATTACTAATAGAGCCACTCCAGCTGTCTTTCATTATTGTTAACCTGATACATCTTTTTCCACATTTTTACTTTTAAACTATTTATGTCTTTATAGAGTATGTTTCTTCTAGGCAGCATATAGTTGAGTCTTACTTTTATATTCAGTTGGAATATCCCTGTTTTTTAATTGGAGTGTTTATTAGTTGTCAATTGCTCTTAAACATAGTATATTAAAACAGCAAATATTTATTCTCTCACAGTTTCCGTGGGTCAAGAATGCAGGTACAACTTGGATGGATACCTTGGTGTTGGGGTTTCTGATGTGGAATGAAATTTTTAATTCAATCAAGTTTACTAACTGGGAACGTTTACTAACAGTGGAAATGGCAAGATACTCTAACACCCTTAGAAAGCTTCAGTGTGAGCATGTAACCTTGACTCAGTCAATTAGATGCACCCACTGGATCTTTTACTTGGGACAGTAAAAATTTCTGTTTTGGTGGAACAGGCAGCAATCATATCCATTATTCAGAGGCAGTAATGCCATGGGGACAGCAGTGATATCCAGAGTTCAGGGCTGCTGCACCAGTTGGTGAAGATTGGTACCAGCAGTGCTCGCCTCTCCCTGGACTGAGTCTGTGGCATGATTTTGGCTGTGATTCTTGCTAGCTATCCTCCCATTGTTGCTTACTAACAGTGAGCTGTTGTTTTCTCTATTTTTGTAATGTTCCCTGTCTTTATCCTTAACATCACATCTGGTTGTAAGCTCTTTCATAATAAGGATTCTTTGGTTCCAAGCACCAAAATTTATTCTGGTTTATCAAGCAGAAAAAAATATATACATTAAAAAGGTATTAGTTGCATACAGAATTGAAGGAAAGTCTGCAAACCCAGGCTGGGAAGGGAACAGCATTCAGGGTAGTTCCGGAGAACTAGATAGCAGAAACCAATCTATGGCCCCTAATTAGATACTAACTCATCAGGGTTCCAGCCCTGAAAGGGGTCAGTGCCAACTATTTTCTTTTCCTATCAATTAACTCAAAATTGCTCTAGTCTTGCTCACTGGCCTGCCCTTTGACTAGAGGAGAGAAGCATGCCTTGATTAATGGCTGCACCAAGGGCCCACAAAGTGGGGAGACATAATTCACTAAAAGGACAGCATGGTGCTGTTGTCTAAAAAGGCAGGGGGAGAATAGAGATTCGAGATTTAAAACACACACACACACATATTTTAAACCATACCAATACAATAAATGATTAAATGTACAGATACAATGTTTTAAATAAATATATAATCCTTGGTATCTATTATTTTGTTCTTAATGATCAGACTCTCAGAAACAAGTCGGTGTTCATTCTGGTTAAGAAAAAAGTTGCAGAATGACCTTCTTAACAAGATAAATGGGCTCTTAAAGGGTGAACCATGAGTATTTCTATCTATGGCCCAAGAGGGACAAAAGTCAATGCTACAGGTGCCTGGAGTCACTGCAAGACAATAGGCATCCTTGATTGTTTTACAAGAGTATGGCACACTCTGAAGTGTGGGTCAGAGAGGAGAATGCAGCAGGCAGGTAAGTATCACACGTTTATTTTTCTGTTTGCAATCTCAGGTAGGTTAGCAGAAATTAAATTTTGCAGTAACTTACCTAAGGCTATTAAGGGATCATTTGGTTTTCAAGGATTCAGTAAATTTTCTTAAAGCACTTTGGTTCCATTTGGGAGGAAAAAGTAGCATGGGAATATTTTAATCACAGTTCTGGAGCATGAAATCTGATTTAATACGCAAAGGTCACTGCACTGTTTTATTGTAGGGAACATTTCACTCCATGTTAAGAAGAAGTTACAGGGTAAAATGAACTGCAATTGAGGCGGCTCTGTATTGTGGTCTGCTATTTAGACTGTCTGTCCTCCATTACGTTGTTTGTACTGTACTAAAGAGTTCTGGAATGAAACTGCATGACAGCTGTTTCCCCTGAGACTGCTCTGGAAATAAGATATACATCTCATGTGTCTCTCCCAGCAAAAAAGCATTTGAAATAAATAAATATTCCATCTGTTGCCATCCATCTGAATTTTCTAATCTCTTCTGCTTTCTCTGTGCTGGTCCCACATTGTGTACTTGGTGTCAGGTGGTTGAAGGGCTGTCAGAGTGTCCTGGCAGGGCTCTGACATTGTAGACTTTTCAAATCTTCTTTGTTGGATGTTATGGCAATGCATCTTTTTTGTGTACTGCTTTGAACGAACCTGTGAAAGCCGTTGTCTGAAGGAAGTTATCAGTCCAGGATTTGGAGAGAAAGCTTCTGGAAGGAAGTTACATTTAAGTTGGATCATATAGGACAGGCAGGGTTCTCTGGGAAAAGTGAGGGCAATGGGGGTGGGAAAGAGGAGGACTCTGTAAATAGGGGTTCAGCTTGTGCTTGGGACTGGCAATGAGAGGCCTCTTCTGAAATCTTCAACGGCCCAGTGTGTGTGTATGTGAGTGTATGCATCTGTATGAATGTGTGTTAGTGTGTGTGTATGTATGAATGTGTGTCTGTATGAATGTATGCATATGGCTGTGTTTTTGTATGTGTATGTGTGAGTTTATGTGTGAATGTATATGTGTATGTATATGCATTTGTGTATTGTGTGGTTATGTGTGAATGTATGTGTATATATTAGTGTGTGTGAGCATGTTTGATGTGTGTGTGAGTAGTGTGTGTGTGAGTAGTGTGTATGTGAGTGTGTGGATGTAAATACATGTTTGGGATTGTGTCTAGTGTCATGGAGGCTGGCAAAATATGAGGCTAAAAAGGTAAGGCAGAACTTATCTGGATCTTACACGGTGATGTCTGTGGTTTTAGTTCTTTGCCCATAGAATAAAACCTTTTCCGCCCACCACCACCCCTACCCAGTGGACAAACGAGGCATTGGAACTGGCTTCAAATAGCAACCCTTTTAGGCATCACTTTCAGGCATATCTTGCCAGCACTTGTTTTAAAATCAGACTTTAAAATCAGGTTGCCTTGTTTTAAAATCAGACCAGCCCACTCATTCATTTTGAAGTTCAAAACTTTGAGCTTCCTTGCTCCTCAGAGCAATAGTTGTGTGCTCCTTCTCTTTGTGACAGTGTGTTCCAGCCCCTGTGGGTCTCACTTAGTGGAATTCTGCCCCTTTGGTTAAAGAACTGACTATACTATGGAACTGTAATAGGTTGATTTCTATATGTTCTAATTTATTGAATGTTTTTGTATTCTATATATAATGTGTCCGCTTTTAATTTATAGAATAATCATATATATACATATCTTAATTTATAGAGCTATTCTATCTATCTATCTATCTATCTATCTATCTATCTATCTATCTATCTATCTATGTCCATCTCCAAATGACAACAACAAAAACTCACAATCAGTTGTCTTGTACTTACACAAAATCTTTGATTAAATTTTTGGCAGGTCAGTGGTGCTTAGAAACAAAAAGGTTTTTCCACACCTGCTACAGATGCTATTACTGATTGCCTTGCTCATAAGGAGAGTTATGTTCCTTTCCTTTCATTTGCCTTATTGGGTTGCAAAAGCAATCTGCAACATTTTCCTGAAGCAAAAGGGCAAGACTTCAAGGGATGCCTGGAAGTTCTAACTACAGCCTGGTTCCCTTTTATGCCCCGTCTTTGTTTTCCCCTTTTGTTCTTCACGTATTTCTAATGTATGCTATCTTGTTATTTTACGTACCCTTGTAACACCCCTGAAATCCTTTCTGAGACAAGGTAGAATATAAATTTTAAACAATAAATTGTGTGAAAAAATATGAAATAAACCATGTACCACATATTTAAGAAAAACATACTGTTTTTCAGCATTATGAGGTATTTTAGCTGATTTTATAGTTAAGGGCTTGAGGCTGAGAAAGGGGGCACACTACCAGGTCCCTGGGATGCCATTCCTGTATTTCCATCACAGTCTTCTATGTAGATGATTTTCCTTTAGAATTAGGAAAAATGTCTGCAAACATCCCAAAGTAAATATCTTAGAAAGAAAAGTCAGCCCTTCACACCATTCCAATTCCTTAGGGAATCAATGCTTTGCAGTCAACTCCAACCCCAGACAAGAAGCGGGGCCAACATGATGCTAAGACCTCCAAGGAGAGCAAGACCCCAGTTCTGTTGTGGTGGGCAGCCGCCAGGCAGCCAATCGACTCCTCAGTCTGGGCTGCTTTTCTGTTTACCACCAGGTGACAGGAGGAAAATAATCTCCTTGCCCTCCTGTCAAGCAGGTTCAGAGAGGGACAGAAAGAGAGGGAGTTTGAGGTCGGCTCTCTGAGCCTGGGAGATGAAGCAGTCTCTTACAGGGCTGCAGGGTGGCCAGGGAGCAGCCATTAGGAGATGGGTGTTCATTCAGATTATGAGATAGGGCAGAGCTTAGGGGATGAAGCTGTAATGTAATCATCAAAATATTGCTGTTGTGAGACAGGCTGGTTTGAAAAATTACAGGGCAATTAGGAAAAGGGTTCTATTCCTTCCTAAGGATTAAGACCAGTGCTTCTAAATGTAAACACTCTTTTGTTTTTAAAGGCAAAAAATGTTATCTTGGAAAGGAAAAAATACATTCCTAGATCTTAGGTTGAAAAACACTGATTTCGATTGTACTTTCTCTAAAAACCAATGTGTGTCCTTGGGAGAGGAGTATGTATATATGCATGTGTATGTGTGTGTGTGGTGCAGTGTATGAATGTGTGTGGTGTATGTGTGTGTATCTGGATGTGTGTGTAGTGTGTGTGTGCGCGTGCACGTGCATGCTTGTGCATCCTACCACAACTGATTCCCTTGTTGGCAATAATTTCTTCTCTATCAGAAGTGGCGGTAGTGATGCCTCTCACTCATATGCTCCACGAAGGCTGTCACAGAGGATACCCTAGCACATGCAGATGACTACCCCTCCCAAGCCCTGGTTCCATCCAGAAGTGAGGTGAGCCATCAATGAGACAGGACCATCCACTGGGCAGGAGTGATAAGCAGGTGGAGGGCTCCAAAGCCAAGAGCAGCCTGTATGTTATTGGAGAAAGAGTTGGCCTTAAAAGAGAGAAGAAAACTGACGTTGGAGCTGCAGAAACACATCTCCTTTTAGGTACAAAGCAAGGAAGGCAAAGACAGTGTGTCTGGGCATTTGGGGAGGCAGGTCTGCCTCTTGGTCAACAGGTGGGAAGACATTTTGGCCTTCACTCTGATGACAGAAATGAGGGGTAGGGATGCAAACTAAGGTGTTTCTGCTCTTTCTGCTCTATTTCTATGTTGCTCTTCTACAAAGTGTGCCCTAGACAGTCATGATAAATAGAGCTTTTCAAAGTGGAATTTTTATAGGAAATATAAAAGAAAATTAGGTATATCAATATTCCATTCAATGACATAGCCTGAAGATAAAAACCTGTTGAAAAAAATTATCTCCTAAAAAAGTTACATCTAAAAAACATAAAACAGTAGTGTACGCTAATGTACTTAGAAACCACCTAGGCATCTTGTCAAGACAACTGGTTGGGTAGGTCTGGGCTGGGGCCTGAGAGTCTGCATTGCTAATGAGCTCCTGGCTGATGTCAATGTTGCTGGTCTATGGACCACACACTTTGAAGAGCAAAATTTTAGTATGTTTTCCAGTCTCAGGTTTTTAAAAAACTTTACTCTTCAAATTGATTATCTAGTGGATTCAGAGTACATACCTTCTTCAGAAGTCTTTGTCTTTCTCTGTTGTTGTAGAATGTTCTTTATTTTATATTTGCAATTATTAATAATATAATATCCAACATGAATTAAGTACTTAGCACATGCCAGGGACTGTTTTAAGTACTTTATTTGTATTAGCTAATTTAATCCTCAGAACTTTATGAGGAAGCTATTATTACCCCTGTTTTACAGATAGGAAAATGGAAACAGAAAGTATATTTCTTGTTCAGAGCTACATGTACAGTTTTATTATATAGGTAAATTGCATGTCACAGGGGTTTGGTGTACAGATTATTTCACCACTCAAATAATAAGCATAATACCTGATAGGAAGTTTTTCAATCCTCTCCTTCTTCTCACTCTCCACCTTCAAGTAGGCCCTGGTGTCTGTTCCCTTCTTTGTGTTTATGTGTTCTCAATCTTTAGCTCCCACTTATTATTTGTGGTATTTGATTTTCTGTTCCTGGGTTGTCTTGCTAGGGATAATGGCTAAAAAGGATGTGATTTTGTTCTTTTTATGGCTGTATAGTATTCCATGCTGTATGTGTACCACATTTTCTTTATCCAGTCTGCTCTTGATGGGCATTTAAGTTGGTTCCATGTCTTTGCTACAGTGAATATTGCTGTGATGAACCTATACATGCATATGTCTTTATGGTAGAACAATTTATATTCCTTTTGGTATATATCCAATAATGGAATTGCTGGGTCAAATGGTAATTCTGTTTTGTTATTTGAGAAATCACCACACTGCTTTCCACAACAGCTGAACTAATTTACATTCCCACCAGCAGTGTATAAGCATTCCTTTTTCTCTGCAACCTCACCAACATCTGTTATTTTTTTACTTTTTAATAATAGCCATTCTGATTTTTGTGAGATGGTATCTCATTATGCTTTTGATTTGCCTTTCTCTAATGATCCATGATGTTGAACATTTTTTCATGTGCTTGTTGGTCATGTGTATGTCTTCTTTTGAAAAGCATCTGTTCATGTCCTTTGCCTACTTTTTAATGGGGTTATTTGTTTTTTGCTTCTTACTTTGTTTAAGCTATTTATAAATTCTGGATATTAGAATCTATAAGAATATAGATGCTTAGAATCAGATGCATAGTTTGCAAACATTTTCTCCCATTCTATGCCTTGTCTGTTTACTTTGTTGATAGTTTCTTTTGCTATGCAGAAGCTCTTTAGTTTAATTAGGTCCCATTTGTCAATTTTTATTTTTGTTGAAATTGCTTTTGGCATCTTCATCATGAAATGTTTGCCAGGGTCTATGTCCAGAAGAGTATTTCCTAGGTTATCTTCCAGAGTCTTTATAGTTTTAAGTTTTACATTTAAGTCTTTAATCCATCATGAATAGATTTTCGTATATAGTGTAAGGAAGGGGTCAGTCCTTTGCATATGGGTAGCCAGTTACCCCAGCACCATTTATTGAATAGGAGGTCCTTTCCCCATTGCTTGTTTTTGTCAACTTTGTCAAAGATCAGATGGTTGTAGATGTGTGGCATTATTTCTGGGCCCTCTAGTCTGCTCTATTGGTCTATGTGCCTGGTTTTGCACCAGTTTCATGTTTTTTTGGTTACTGTAGCCTTTAGTATAGTTCGAAGTCAGGTAACATGATGCCTCCAGCTTTATTCTTTTTGTTAAGGATACCCTTGGCTATTCAGGCTCTTTTTTGGTGCCATATGAATTTTAAAATAGATTTTTCTAATTCTGAAAAGAATGTCATTGGTAGTTTGATATGAATAACATTGAATCTGTAAATTGCATTGGCAGTATGGCTATTTTAACAATATTGAATCTTCCTATCCATGAGCACAGAATATTTTTCCATGTGTTTGTGTCATCTCTGATTTCTTTAAGCAGTGTTTTGTATTCTCATTGTAAAGATCTTTCACCTTCCTGGCTAGCTGTTTTCCTAGATATTTTATTCTTTTTGTGGCTATTATGAATGGGATTGTATTATTGATTTGGCTCTCAGTTTGGATGTTGTTGGTGTATAGGAATGCTACCAATTTTTGTACATTGATTTTGTATCTTGAGACTTTCCTGAGGTTGTTTATCTGATCAATGAGCTTTTGGGTAGAGGCTATAGGATTTTCTAGGTATAGAATTATATCATCTATAAACAGGGATAGTTTGACCTCCTCTCTTCCTATTTTGGAAGTCTTTTATTTCTTTCTCTTGCCTTGTTGCTCTGGCTAGGACTTCCAGTACTATGCTGAATAGGAGTGGTAAAAGTGGGAATCCTTGTCTTGTTCCAGTTCTCAAGGGGAATGCTTCCAGCTTTTGCCTGTTCAGTATAATACTGGCTGTGAGTCTGTCATTAGATGACTCTTATTATTTTGAGATATGTTCCTTTGATGTCTAGTTTTTTGATGGTTTTAACATAAAGGGATGTTGAATGTTATTGAAAGCCTTTTCTGCATCTATTGAGATAATTATGTGATTTTTTGTTTTTAGTTCTGTTAACGTGATGAATCACATTTATCGATTTGCCTATATTGAACCAACCTTGCATCTCAGGGATAAAGCCTGCCTGATCATGGTGGATTAGCTTTTTGATGTGCTGCTGCATTCAGTTTCCTAGTATTTTGTTGAGAATTTTTGCATCTATGTTCATAAAAGATATTGGTCTGAAATTTTGTTTTTTATTGTTGTTGTGTCTCTGCCAGATTTTGGCATCAGAATGATGTTGGCCTCATAGAAGGCCCTAGGGAGGAGTCCTTCCTCCTCAATATTTTGGAATAGTTTTAGTATGAGTGGTACCAGCTCTTCTTTATACATCTGGTAGAATTCAGCTCTGAATCTGTTGGGTCCTGGGCTTTTTCTTGTTGGTAGGCTTTTTATTACTGATTTAATTTTGGAACTCATTATTGGTCTGTTCAGGCATTCAATTTCTTTCTGGTTCAGTCTTGGGTGGTTGTATTTTCCCAGAATTTATCCATTTCTTCTGGGTTTTCTAGCTTGTGTGCATAGAGGTGTTTGCAGTAGTCTCTGAGGGGTTTTGTATTGCTGTGGGGTCAGTGGTGACATCCCCTTTGTTATTTCCAAATATGTTTATTTGGATCTTCTCTCTCTTTTTTCTTTATTAGCCTAGCTAGTGGTTTATCTGTATATAATGCTAATTCTTTTCAAAAACCCAATTCCTGGATTCGTTTTTGGTTTTTTTTTTTTTTTTTTTTTTTTTTGCATCTCAATTTCCTTGAGTTCAGCTCTGATTTTGATGGTTTCTTGTCTTCTATGAGCTTTGGGGTTGGTGTGCTCTTGTTTCTCTAGTTCCTTTTGGTGTGCTGTTAGGTTGTTAATTTGAGATCTTTCTAACTTTTTGATGTGGGTGTTTAATGTTATAAACTGCCCTCTTAACACTGCTGTAGCTATGTCCCAGAGATTCTGGTATGTTGTAACTTTATTCTCATTAGTTAAAAAAATTTCTTTTCTTGATTTCTGCCTTAATTTCATTGTTTACCCAAAGTTCATTTAAGAGTAGGTTGTTTAATTTCCATGTAATTTTATGGTTTTGAGCAATTTTCTTAGAATTGATTTCTATTTTTATTGTGTTGTGGTCTGACAGGGGATTTTTTGAATTTGCTGAGGATTGTTTTATGTCCTACTGTGTAGTTGATTTTAGAGTATGTGCCATGTGCAAATGAGGGAAATGTATATTCTGTTGTTTTGGGGCAGAGAGTTCTGTAGATGTCTATTAGGTATACTTGGTCAAGTGTCAAGTTTAGGTCCTGAATATATTTTTTAGATTTCTGCCTCAATAATCTGTCTATTACTGTCAGTGACGGTGCTGAAGTCTACCAGCATTATTGTGTCCCTTCATAAATCCCTTGGATAATACCAGCATTATCCAAGTTCCTTCATAGATGTCAAAGAACTTGGTTTATGAATCTGGGTGCTCCTGTGTTAGGGGCATATATATTTAGGATAGTTAAGTCTTCCTGTTTAATTGAACCTTTTACCATTATCTAATTCCCTTCTTTGTCTTTTTTGATCTTTGTTGATTTAAAGTCTGTTTTGTCTGAAATTAGAATAGTAACCCCTACTTTTTTCTCTTTTCCATTTGCTTGGTAGATTTTTCTCCATTTCTTTATTTTGAGGCTATGAGTATCATTGCATGTGAGATAGGTCTCTTGAAGAGAGCGTACTATTGGGTCTTGCTTCTTTATCCAACTTGACACTCTATGCCTTTTAAATGGAGAATTTAGCCCATTTACATTCAAGGCTAGTATTGATATGTGTGGATTTGATCCTATCATCATGTTGTTAGCTGCTTATTATGAAGACTTGTTTGTGTGGTTGCTTTGTAGTGTCAATGGTCTATGTAGTTAAGTATGTTTTTGTAGTGGCCAGTAACAGTCTTTCCTTTCCATATTTAGCATTCCCTACAGGACCTCTTGTAAGGCAGGTCTGCTGGTAACAAACTCCCTTAGCATTTGCTTGTCTGAAAAGGATCTTATTTCTTGTTTGCTTATGAAGCTTAGTTTGGCTGGATATGAGATTCTTGGTTGGAATTTCTTTCCTTCAAGAATGCTGAATATAGGCCGCTAATCTCTTCTGGCTTGTAGGGTTTCTACTGAAAGGTTTGCTGTTAGCTTGATGGGGTTCCCTTTGTAGATGAACTGTCCCTTCTCTCCAGCTGCCTTTAACATTTTTTCCTTTGTTTTGACTTTGGATAATCTGATGACTGTGTGTCTTAGGGATGGTCTTCTTGAGCAGTATCTTGCAGGGGTTCTTTACATTCTTGAATTTGAATGCCAGCCTCTCTAATGAGTTTGGGGGAATTTTGAATGATATCCTGAGATATCTTTTCCAAGTTGCTTGCTTTCTCCCTCTCTCTTTCAGAGATGCCAATGAGTTGTACATTTTGTCTCTTTACATAATCCCATATGTCTCGGAGGCTTTGTTCATTCTTTTTTATTATTTTTTTCTTTATTTTTGTCTTATTGAGTTAGTTCAGAGATCCAGTCTTTGAACTCTGAGAGTCTTTCCTCAGCTTGGTCTATTCTGTCATTAATACTTGTGATTGTATTATGAAATTCTTGTAGTGTTTTTTCCAGCTCTATCAGATCAGTTTGGGTCTTCTTATGATAGTCATTTTGCCTTGTGACTCCTGTATCGTTGTATTGTAAGCCTTAGATTACTTGGGTGGGGTTTTGACTTTCTTCTGAAACTCAATGATCTTTGTTCCTGTCCATATTCTGAATTATATTTGTCATTTCAGCCATTTCATCCTGGTTAAGAATGCTTGCTGGGGAACTGGTATGGTCCTTTGGAGGAAAGAAGACACTCTGTTTTTTTTTGAGTTGCCAGAGTTCTTGCACTGATTCTTTCTCATCTGTGTGGGCCGATGTTCCTTTAACTGTGGAATAATTTGAGAATAGTCAGTTGGCTTCTTTTTGGGATGTTTTCAGAGAGCTGCGGCTTTGTGTGGGGTCTTTATTTGCAGCTGAATTATTGTCCTTAGTTTCACAGGGGAGTATGTTAGCAAAGTATTTTTGGTGTTGAAGTTTGAGCTGTAATCTAGTAAATGGCACTTATGTGTAATGGCTAATACGTAGTTTCTTGCCCAGCCACGTGTCTTCTCTGTATTTCCTCACAATTGCAGCCACACTTCCTCTCAGTGGTCTGAAAGTGTGAGCTTTCCCCACTAGAATGCTGGCTGCAGATCTTGGCTTAGCAGTCCCAGGCTGCACACCGCTGTCCTGCAGTGAACTCAGGCTTTATGTTCCCTCCCAACCTTGGAAGCATCAGGGGAAGAGACCTTGGCAGTGGCTATGGCAGAGGGCCTTTCACTTGTCTCTTCACCCCAGAGATATGCAGAGCTGCTGCCAATCAGTGTGATATTCCTGGGGGCTGGGGAGTCTGTTGTGGGCCCAAGCTGGGGGACTCTGCCTGTTGACAGGCAGAGGATGTGGGGGACTCATGGGGAAGACAGACTAGCCTCTTCTCCTTAGGGAGGCTGTGACTTGCTGGAGGTGTGAGTAAAGCATTTAGGGTCTTTGTTCCTTCCCCAGTTTGAGGGCAGCAAGGGCAGTACCACTGCAGCAGCAGTGGCAGAGGGGCTTTCAGTTGCCTCTGGGAACTCCACCTCAATGGAGAATGCTGAATATAGGCCCCCAATCTCTTCTAGCTTATAGGGTTTCTGTTGAAAGGTTTGCTGTTAGCTTGACGGGGTTCCCTTTGTAGATGAATTATCCCTTCTCTCTAGCTGCCTTTAACATTTTTTCCTTGGTGTTGACTTTGGATAATCTGATGACTGTGTGTCTTGGGGATGGTCTTCTTGTTCAGTATCTTGCAGGGGTTCTACTGCTACTGGGAGGGTTCAGCCAGTGGATGGGGTGGCTGCACTGCTGGCAGGGGCTGGGGCCCCGCCGCTTAGTGAAGAGCAGGAGGTCAAGCGCTCACAAGGAGTAGAGACGAGGCTCCTCTCGGTATGGAGACTGTGGTATGCCAGAAGTGCGAGTAAATCCCTCAGGCCCTTTGTTCCCTCCGTAGCCCAAGGGCATTAAGAGTGGTACCACTGCAGCTGCAATGGCAGAGGGGCTGTGGGTTCTCTCTGGGATTTTCTCCCCAAGGAAAGGCAGAGCCACCACCAACTGAAGTATTCAGGTGGAGGCAGGGTGGTTGTGCTGAAGTCCCAGGTCTAGAGGCACTGCCCAGTGAGGAGTGGTGGGGGCGGGGACCTGTGTGGAAAACACTCTGACTCCTTTTCTGTAAGGCAGCTGCACTGTGCTGGGGGCACATGTTAGTTCCTAATCAGTGTGCTCCCTCCCTAGACCGAAGGCAACAGGAGCGAGGGATGAGGGATGCCAAACAACAAAAATGTTGGCCTATATGCTCCCTCCGGGAGCTCCGTCCCAGGGAAGTAGCCACTACCCGAGAGCCCAGGCTGCGAGTGCCTGGAGTCTCAGGTCTGGAGGCCCTGCTCAGTGAGGAGTATCGAGGGGTGGGAACCCACCTGGAAAATAGTCTGGCCGCTTTCCTGCAAGTCTGCTGCCCTCTTCTGGGGGTCCACGTTGTCCCTAATCACTGTGCTCCCTCCCTGGCCCAAGGGCAACAGGAATGAGGGCTGCAAAGCAGCAAAAATGGCGGCCTGCCTGCTCCCTCCAGGAGCTCCATGCCAGGGAAGTGCAGAGCTACTCCTGGCCCGACAGCCCAGGCGGGGCTGGGGTGGCTGCACTAGGTTCCTAGGCCAGTGGGCCCCACCAAGCAAGGTGCAGCACAGATGAGGCCCGCAGACCATCTGCTGCTCAGCCCCATGGGATTCGATCCCTGTCCTGGGGGCATGCAAGGCAGCCTGGCCTCCCCCATTGCTAGAGATGCAGTCACTGGTGCCAGGATGCTTGGGGATTCAAGGCTCCCAGAACTCTGCAATGGTCTGAGCAAGTGGCTCTGCCCAAACTCCACGGAGCTCTCTGTGTCAGTGCAGTGGAGGCTCTGTGCCACTCCCAGGTGGGCGGTTGTCCTCTCTTGCTCCTCTCCATTCTCTATGGGTTGAGTTGTTTCCTTTATGAATCCCAGTGTCCACCTGGATGGTCCAGTTGGAGAGAGTGATGTTCCCTTGCCACTCCTTCTCTCCATGAGAGTGGTGCTCCCATAAAGTGAGCCTTATTTTAATCTGCATTTACAATTCAAACATGACAGGTAAGTCTATTGATAATCATTTTGAAAATAAAATGTAGAACTTTTCTCCTACTGAGACAGTCTATTAAGCCACAGTTATCTCTATTTTGGAGGTTAAGTACCAACAACTTTGACTGACTGAACCAGATAATTTAGGAAAAGTATCTAACCTTATTTCAGCCCACACATTTATGGGATAAGCCATAAAGTTTCTAGATGATCTCCGGTTGTCACTCTTTCTTGGTAGGGAAAAAGAATGCAGATTCAAGAGATATTTTCCAGCATTAAGCTCACGTATCTAGTGTTTATATGTTGGGTGAAACCAGCCCTGCCATTCAGACCACAACAATGCAACCAAAAATTAGTGGATAAACCAAAAGCATACACTCATCAGCTCCACTGAGAGAGAACAACCACCTCTCAAACAGCCTGACCTGGGAAGTTTGTCCAAAGGGTGGTTCTACGTGAGACAAGGTAAGGGATCCCTATCAAGTCTTTTCTTTGGGGACTATAAATACTAATTATGAAGTGAAGTTAGGTCTCATAATGCCAGGCAGCATTATGTGGTATATTTTTCCATTTTGGAAGGTCTAGAACAAGGAGTATTATGGCTTGCTAAAAAAGATCATATTCCTTATCATGTATCCTTATCATGAATCCTCATTACTGAGAGTAACTGAGTCAAACTAATACTCTGTACTAACAGAATTAGTTGGGTTATATTCCGTCCCTCGCTTCCTGCTACCCTTTGTACTCAAGTAAACTAGAATAACATACTATTCAATTAATATAATTCTGTTTGGAATTGCTTCATGCACTAAATTTCCCCTATATTTGTGCAAGATAAGTCGGAATTTTCTCCTATTAATGTGCTAAATTTGGTGGAAAATGTAAGGTGTTTATAAGGTCACTTAGCCTCTCAGTGATGTAGCCAGCAAAATGTGAAAGACAATGTTTTTAATTGCCCAGAAATACATTCTGGCTCTGGCAACTTAATTCAGAAAAGTCCTCTAATGATTATGAAACAATAGTACACATTGCAATACATCAGCTTAAAAAGACAGTACGAAGGAAAGACAATTTACAATTTCCAGATCTTTTCTAATTCAATGTCTACAAGCTTCTAAAAGTCTCTAATAGGGTCTCTATAGGACAAACTTTTAAGTGCATTTTTTGTTTGGTTGTTTTTTTTTTCTAGTTCCCTGAGGGAAAACACTATCATCCCTTTGTCGTCATTAAAGGATATAAGGTCACTGGGTAGCATCATATTTGCAATAAAATGAAGTTATTATGTTAAATGATTTAAGCATAGTAATATAAATCTAGGTTTTATTTTTTAACAACTCAGTCATGACTGTCTTGTTTTTTAAGCTATGACCTCCTCCTTTTCTTTTTGTTCATTCTTTCTGAGTTAAAAGTAGATCCAACTAGGAAGAGTTTGTCATTGCCTGGTTACTAGTCAGCAAGATCACCAAGATACAGGCTTAAAGTTACCTAAAAGACCAACGTTCAAGTGCCTTTATGTAGATAGATTTTCAACATTGACATTGACTACGTCATACTAATCAGAAGCTTTGATAGGCAGTTATATAAACTTTGATGAATTTTTAAAGGGGCAGGAGGAAGTCATGAATGTTTACTTAAGTGAAACTTAATAGACAAAAATCTCTTTGAACATGGTATTCAGGAAGGGCAATAATTTTTTAAGGTCTTTGTAGGTAGAAAACAATAAATAAACACCGCTGACTGAAAATTACACAGATAAAGCAAATACAAGTTCTTTTAAAAAATATATTTTAAAAAAGAAAGAAGGAAACTGAGAGGAGAAAAGAAGGCCAGGGAAAGAAAAGCTGAAAAAGAGATAATAATGGAAACAAGTAAAGGATGGGGAGGAAAATTAAAATGTGGTAAGACTATAATAAAATGTGGGAAGGGTCAAGCATGTCACCTTCTCTTCCAAATTGCCTTTGTAGAGATGAGTTCTTACTTTGACGTCTTTATCTGAAACCTCTTTATAGTTGGGAAGACCTATGTTAACCAGCACAGAATCAAATGCTACTCAATTCTTTATCATTGGATTTTGAAGTCATAGTGAAAAGAGTACAACCCTGAACATGTAAAGTCTAACTGGAAACCAGCAGACGTGATAATAATCCTTACCTCAGCTGCAGAAAACAAAGGATTCTTGAGGCCATGTGCCCCTGCCTTCCCACTTTGATTTTATGGAATAGCAGAGCAATGTAACAATGCAAAAATCCTTTGGTTACTTTAGAAGAACCACAAAGATGGGTTCACATATGGATTATTGGACTTTATCATGCAGTTTGGCTTTGCCAAATTTGGATATGATATTCCTATATAGATGGATCTGTTTTGCTTGGATAATGAACTATCATTTTATCACTCCAAAGCTTTGAAAAACATTTATGTTAGCCTCTCCTCTTCACACATGATCATGATAAAGAATATAAGTGATCATGTTTAGTGCTTTATAGTCAATGTCTCGAGTTTAGCCAAATAATTGTCATTCAGTCATCCATTCATTCAGCAAATATTTATTAAATGCCTGCAATGTGCCAGCTGCCATCTTAGGAGGCAGTGATTCAGTCATCAACAAGACAGACAAGGTCTCTGACTATGAAGTGTTTGCTACACAGAAAACCAACGAGATAATTGTCTTTTTACTCTGATCCAGAACTAATTGATTTACCCTCACAGTTAACCACAAAGCATTTTCACTTTTTGCAAAGTTTTAAAAACTCTCAAATAGGGAGGACTGGTAGGTGAGGAGAAATCATCATGGGATAGGGCTCAAAAAAAAAAAAATACCATGATCCTATGGGCCAACTGCAGCTAGGAGCATAATTCCTTTCATGCAAGACCGTATGGCTTTCAACATGGGCACTTCCCTCGCTAATCGAAATTTCAAAGAACACAGAAGACCATTTAATAGGATTATTGCTAAACCTGTTATAGATTAAATTCTCTGGCTGTCTGACACCATAGTAACTAGCCCAGATTTGTATTTACAAAGAAGAGGTGAGAAAAATTCCTTCCTGATAGGAACAAGAGAGCAGAATATCCTCCCTCTTCCCTTGCCTCAAAAATAAATAAATAAAATAAAACTAAACTAAAAAGGAATAGGAACATATGCCAGGAAACAGAAACCCCACCTCCAGTTTACTGTTGGCAAAGTTCAAATGCACCAGGGAAGCTCACCAAGCAATTTCCCCCGGTGCCCTCTGAAGCAAAACCCCACTGGCTGTTGTTTCCAAAGGCTCACGGCCAAGATCTTAACATTTCTTCCTGAATGGCAGGAACAATAAATATCTGTCTCTTGGTGACACAAATGGTTAAGCATTGACAGAATTTGATATAGAAAGTACTAAAAGCCCTCCTCTGGGTTGTAACCACTAATCTTACTGTACCTTCAGAGATTGAGGATGGCAGCTACTGACAATGGCAGCCCACCAGCAGCAAAATTATGTGAAGAGAAAAAATTACAAACTTGTATTTCCACCCTAAAATAGGTGGTATTGGGAGGAAATACAGATCAGCTAAAATGAGAGCAAGTAAGCCATATTCTTTTAAAACATGATGGGTGATACCTTTACATAGACATGTGTGCACCCCCAAGCTAACTAATGTTCAGATGAAGCTGTCATTCTAACATCAGTACAGGAGACAAAGATGTTCATAAATAGAAAACTATGTAAGTAAGGGTTTAAGCAAACAGCTTTTCCTGACACCTATGAAAAGTGTTAAAACTTATTTCTGTATTGACTTACCATCTGGGAGGATATTCTGTAGCTTTCCAAATGGGTTTCTAATAAGGTCAAGTCCATTTTCAGGGCTTAAGACAGACTGTCTGCTAGAGGGTTGGAGAGAAGAAGTCTTAAGAATTAATTCACTTTTAGCTAAGATTGCTGATTCATTCCAGATGGTTTATATTCGTACAGGTTCAGTAGCTGATTCTCATTTGGAGCATTTTTTGAATTTGATTTAATACTCCTTATTAGGCAGCTCTTCGAAGTTTACTTATTTACTACTAAGTTGATTCCGTGAGCTAGTGCTGTAGAGTATAGATTTTTAAATACAGTAGAACCACCATCAAAATGCAAGATGGCAACTTGTGTTTAGGCTCTCTGTGCTAGAGAGAGTGGGGAGAACTATGCTTTGCCATTGTCACAGGGACATGACTTGACAAGATCTGTCACATCCGAGGGCTTTGTCACAGCTTTATATGTTGGTGCATACACAGCTTTGCAAACACATCTCCCCTTGTACAACAAATATTTACCACATTTGACATGTAATTTTTATAATAGACATTCACATTTGTTATTTATAGACATGAGATACATGCTCACACTTATTTAATTTGCCTTTATCATAATTTCAACAGGATAGACACTAAAATACATTATTGTGTATTCTAGAAAGTGTTTCTCAAATCCACTGCCCTGCATGTGTCCTAAGAAATTGCTGTTGCTGCTTCCTTCAAACATTGATTAACAGCACAGGCTCTGATTCACTGAAAAATGCTGGTTCTGTCAGTAACTAACTTCTCTAAGTCTCTATTTCATTATCTGTAAATGAGGATAATCATAGTCTACCTATAGAGTTGTTATAACAATTAAATGAGATAATGCATGTAAAGTGCTTTGTATAATGCCTCAGAAAAAAAATAAGGCTTAATATGTGTTAGGTGTTACTGTTACCATATTTTCATGAAATCTGCCAGTGATTGCAAATGCACCATTATTGAATATACCGCCATGGAAAAAAAAAGATAAAACAAACTACTGCCAGTTCAACTATGCAACTATGATGTAAGACTTTTGCTTTCTCATTAACTAGAATTTTTATTTTTATATTCATTGAGAAGCTTGTTCAGATGGAAACATAGATTTTTATTATATAGCACTCTTATGCATGTATAAAAATGCAAGTAAAAATGGGTTAATATATTTCAAAACTTCTTTACATTCAAAGTCTGACTCCCTTAGTCGCTTTTTGACTCATAATTGCTGATGGCTGTGTTTTTCCACACACCATTCTCTCGGCATCAAGAATGCTGGTAATGCGGGATCATCTTTTAAGCCACTGGCACACTTTCTGCAAGTTTTCATGCTGATGCTTCCCAAATCTTATCAAATGATAAGGAGATAAGGTTTCCATTTGACATCAGGGTAAGATAGTTCTATTCTCAAATGATCATTGAATCATTCATTCATTGAAACATCAAGGAACTACCTTTGTTTGTCACACCTTTAATAATAATAATACAGTTTACATATGCACAGCAATGACACCAAAAAGTAGTATATTAGAATTGACTAAATACAGAATGTTCACTCTTACTTTTCCCCCTCTCTCACATGAGTAAGATTGTACGTATCAGTGTCTGCAGCCCAAATGAAATAGAAAGTTGGGCACTTTGCTATAGAATCTATGTATTGATTCCTACAGTGCCCATGGAAATCCAACATTTATGTGTTATTCATTTACCATTTATTGAAATGTATCTATTCTACAGACACATTTTAGACAAAATATACGAATTTAAAGAGATAAGTTTTGGTCACTGAGACAAAGTGGACGACCCAGCCCTTGGTTAGTGAGGGAAAGCAAACCTGTAAGCAAACACTGAAGACAATGAACTAAGGTGCCATAAGTGATGCGCGTGTAAGGTATCTTGGCCACACAAAGGAGACCTCTTGGATTATTCTTCGGCCTGAGATGGAGAAGTAGATATGAGTGCTTCAGGCAACAAAGGAGGGAAGGGTATTGCAGGAAAAGGCTGCATTTCTCAAAGGAATGCTTTTTAAACCTGCTTGTGTTCCTTGCACTGATAGATTAAAATCAGTCATTTCTTTTTTCTTCTTGAAACTACCTATTTATAAATATTGTCTGTTTTCTATGGAGTTATATTCACTTGTTGGCTTGTAGGAACTTTTTTACTTTATGGATATTAATCCATTATGAATTATGTATTTTACGAACACATTCTTCCATTCTGTCACTTGTCCTTTAATTTTGTTAATAGCGACTTTTATATTCCAACAGCTTTAAGTATTTTCCCAGTCAAATCTGTTGATATTTTTCTTTATGGTTTCTGGGTTTTAGATTTACTTATGAAGGCCTTTCCTACCCTAAGATTATCTTCTAAAACTTACTGTATATTCTAAGTTTCTTTAATATAATTATTTAGTATGGTACCTGTCACCTAATTTTTAAACTTTATTTTTAGTTTATTGTAAATTGATAATTTATGATTCTATATATTTATGGGAAACAAAGCAATATTATGATTTATTGATATAATGAGGAATAATTAAGTAAAGCTAATTCACATATCCATCACCTGAAATACTTACCATTTTTAATGAGAACATTTGATATTTACTCTCTTAGAAATTTTGAAATGTAGAGTATACTATTAACTATATTCACCAAGCCATGCAATAGATCTCAAAAAAAAAAAAAAAACCTACGCCACTTATTCTTCCTGTCTGAGACTTTATACCCTTTGACCAGCATCTCTCCAATCCCCCTAGCCCCCAGCCCTGGCAACCACTATTCTACTCTGCTTCTATGAGTTTGTTTTAGATTCCACTTATATGTGAAAACATGCAGTATTTGTCTTTCTGCCTGGCTTATTTCACTTAGCATAATGTTCCCCAGTTCCACCCATGTTGTCACAAATGACAGAATTCCTTTCTTTTGTTAAGGCTGAATAGTATTCCATTGTATGTATATGCACTGTATTTTCTTTCTCTATGCATCTGTTGATGAACACAAGTTGATTCCATAACTTGGCTATTGTAAATAGTGCTGCAATGGACATGGAGGTGCAGATTGATTTTAAACTGATTTCAGATCTTTGGGGGAAATACCCAGAAGTGGGATTGCTGGATTATATGGTAATTCTACTTTTTGCTTTTTGAGAAACCTCCATATTGTTTTCCATAATGGCTGTACTAATTTATATTCTTATCAACAGTGTACAAAGGTTCCCTTTTCTCCACATCCTTATGAACACGTATCTTTCATCTTTTTGATAATAGCCCTTCTGGCAGGATTGAAATAAAATCTCATTGTGATTTTAATTTGCATTTCCCTAATGATTAGTGATATTGAAATTTTTTTCATCTATCTGTTTGGCCATTTCTAGGTCTTCTTTTGAAAAATATTTGTTCCGCCTGATATGATCTGGCTCTGTGTCCCCACACAAATTTGAATTGTAAATTCTTGAATTGTAATCCCTACATGTTGAGGGAGGGGCCTGGTGGGAGATGATTGAATCATAACTCAGACTTACCCTTGCTGTTCTTGTGATAGTGAGTGAGTTCTCATGAGATCTGGTTGTTTGAAAGTGTGTGGCACTTCTCCCTTGGCTCTCTGCCTCTCTCTCTTGCTCTGCCAAAGTAAGATGTGCTTGCTTCCTTCTTGCCTTCCACCATGATTGTAAGTTTCCTGAGGCCTCGCAGTTATGCTTCCTGTTAAGCCTGCAGAACTGTGAGTCAATTAAACCTCTTTTCTTCATAAACTACCCAACCTCAGGTAGTTCTTTATAGCAGTGTGAAACGAACTAATACAGAAAATTGGTACTGGGAGTGGAGCACTGCTAAAAAGATACCTGAAAATCTGGAAGCAACTTTAGAACTGGGTAATGGGCAGAGGTTGGAACAGTTTGCAGGGCTTAGAAGACAAGAAGATGTGGGAAAGTTTGGAACCATATAGAAAGTTGTTAAATGTTTTTGACCAATATGCTGATAGTGATATGGATAATGAAGTCCAGGCTGAGGTGGTCTCAGATAGAAATGAGGAACTTATTGGGAACTGGAGTAAAGGTCACTCTTGCTATGCTTTAGCAAAGAGACTGGTGGCATTTTGCCCCTGCCCTAGAGATCTGTGGAACTTTGAACTTCAGAGAGATGATTTAGGGTGTCTGGCAGAAAGAAGTTGTAAGCAGCAAAGCATTCAAGAAATAGCCTGGCTGCTGCTAACAACATACAGTCCTATATGTTCACAAAGAGATGGTCTGAAGTTGGAACTTACATTTAAAAGAAAAACAAAGCTTCAAAGTTTTGAAAATTTGCAGCCTGACCATGCAGTAAGAAAAACCCAATTTCTGGGAAGAAATTCAAGCCAGCTGCAGAAATTTGCATAAGTAACAAGGAAGTGAATGTTAATAGCCAAGACAATGGGGAAAATGTCTCCAGGGCATTTCAGAGATCTTCAAGGCAACCCCTCTCATCACAGGCCTGAAGGCCTAGAAGGGAAAAATGGTGGCCCAGGGCCTTACTGCTTTGTGCAGATTTGGGATATGGCACCCTGCATACCAGCCACTCCAGCTCCAGCCACAGCTAAAAGGGGCCAAGGTACAGCTCAAGCCATGGCTTCAGAGGGTGCAAGCCCCAAGCCTTGGTGGCTTTCACATGATGTTGGGTCTGTGGATGTTTAGAAGGCAAGAATTGAGGTTTTGG
The DNA here is from genome assembly GCF_000001405.40 of Homo sapiens. Lineage (NCBI taxonomy): Eukaryota > Metazoa > Chordata > Mammalia > Primates > Hominidae > Homo > Homo sapiens. Next base: position 200,045,876 of record NC_000002.12, on the reverse strand, counting down.
AACCTCTACCTAGATTTCAGAGGATGTATGAAAATGCCTGGATGTCCAGGCAGAAGTCTTCTGGAGCCCTCATGGAGAACCCCCTACTAGGGCAGTGTGGATGGGGAAATGTGATTTTGGAGCTCCCACACAGAGTCCCCACTGGGGCACTGTCTAGTGGAACTGTGAGAAGAGGGCCACCATCCTCCAAACCCCAGAATAGTAGATACATCTACAGCCACAGGCACTCAACACTAGCCTATGAAGGCAGTTGCAGGGGCTGTACCCTGCAGAGCCACAGGGGCAGAGCTGCCCAAGGCCATGGGAGCCACCCCTTGCATCAGCATGCCCTGGATGTGAGACAGTGGAGTCAAGGGAGATTATTTTGAAGCTTTAAGATTTAATGACTGCCCTGCTGGGCTTTGGACTTGCATGGGGCCTGTAGCTTTTTTGTTTTGGCAAATTTATCCCTTTTGGAATGGGAGCATTTACCCAATGCCTGTACCCCCATTGTATCTTGTAACTAACTTGTTTTTTGTTTTACAGGCTCATAGGCAGAAGGGGCTTACCTTATCTCAGATGAGACTTTAAACTGTGGACTTTTGAGTTAATGCTGGAATGAGTTAAGACTTTGGGAGACTGTCTGGGGACTGTTGGGAAGGCATGATTCATTTTGAAATGTGGGAAGAACTTGAGATTTGGGAGGGGATGGGGCAGAATAATATAGTTTAGCCCTGTGTCTCCACCCAAATCTCATCGCAAATTGTAATCCACATATATTGTGGGAGGGGCCTGGTGGAAGGTGACTGAATCATGGGGGTGGACTTCCCTTTTGCTGTTCTCATGATAGTGAGTGAATTCTCTTGAGATCTGGTTGTTTGGCAGTGTGTGGCACTCCCCCCTTCGATCTGTCTCTCTTTCCTGCTCTGCCATGGTAAGATATGCTTGCTTCCCCTTCACCTTCTGCCATGATTGTAAGTTTCCTGAGGCCTCCCAGTCATGCTTCCTGTTAAGCCTGTGGAATTGTAAGTCAATTAAACCTCTTTATAAAATACCCACTCTCAGGTAGTTCTTCGTAACAGTGTGAAAACAAACTAATGCACAGCTTCCTTGCCCATTTCTTAATTGGGTTTTTGTTTTCTTGCTGTTGAGTTGTCTCTGAGTTCCTTATATATTTTGGATATTAACCCCTTATCAGATGTGTGGCTTGCAAATATTTTCTCCTAACCATAGGTTGTTGCGTCACACTGTTAATTATTTGCTTTGCTGTGTAGAAGCTTCTTAGTTTGATGAAATCTCATATATCTATTTTTGGCTTTTGCTGCCTGTACTTTTAAGGTGAAATCCAAAAAATCATTGACCAGACCAATATTGAGACATTTTCCCCCTATATTTTCTCCTATTTGTTTTATAGTTTCTAGTCTTAAGTGCAAGGCAATTCATTTTGAGTTGATTTTTGTATATAGTGTGAGGCAAGGGTCCAATTTCATTTTTCTGCATGTGGATATCCAGTTTTTTCAACACCACTTATGGAAAAGACTATCCTTTCCTATTGTGTATTCATGGCACCTTTGTCAAAAATCAATTGATTTCAGCGTGTGTAGGCATATGAAAATTTTTTTAGAAAATCAATTGACATACATGCATGGGTTCATTTCTGGGATCTCTATTCTGTTCCATTAGTCAATGTGTTTATTTTATGCCAGTACCATATTACTTTATTTACTATAGCTTTGTAGTCTAGTTTAAAATATGGTAGTGTGATACCTTCAGCTTATTCTTCTTGCTTATGATTGCCTTGGCGATTCATGGGTTTTTGTAGTTTCATAAGAATTTTGGAATTGCTTTTTCTATTTCTGTGAAAAATGACATTGGAATTTTGATAGGGATTGCATTGGATCTGTAGCTTGCTTTGGGTAGTGTGGATGTTTTAACAATATTTATTCTTCTAATCCATGAACACAGGATATCTTTCCATTTGTTTACATCTTCTTCAATTTCTTTCATCAATTTTTATTCGGTATCCAAGGCTTTTACCTCCTTGGTTAAATTTATTCTTAAGTATCTTATTGTTTTTTGTAGCCATTGTAAATGGAATTAAAGACTTTTTTTTACATTAAAGTCTGTAGTCAAAATTTATTTTTGGATACTATGTGAGGTTGATATAATTTTCTCCCTAAATGCAAATTGAATTTAGATTTTCTGTCAGCTTTTACCAGATTGTTATTAACTTAGACAAGTATAAGCAGGCAAATTTCAATGATCTGTGCCAACAAAGAAAAGTAGTGTCACAAATAAAATCAGACTATTCTTTTAGTTTTAAGTGTCAGAAACCTGCACCAAAATAACTTTGGTAAAACAAGAATTTTTTTAGTTCCCATACAGGGCAAAAGGGGAGAGATGAATCTATGCTTGGAAATAGGTGGATTTGGGGATGTGAAAGTCATAAAGACCAAGTCTTTCACTTGTTTCTGCTTCTCTTTTTATGTTTTTTTTTCCTCCAACTGAAGACAAATTTTCTTTCTCTCATATGGTAAGAGAAATGGGCTCAGAGCATTCCAGGTGCACATCCTCCCAGTTTAGTTACTAGGGAGGAAAACATGTTCCCCATCTCATCTAATAAAAAGAAAATCTCAGGAAAGGAGAGTACTTATACTGCCCTTTAGTCATTGGTTCATTCTGAGGCAATGACCCACCCATTTCTGGACTGATCTCTGTGGTCAGGAAGATAGAGTTTCTATGACTGACCAAGCTGGGTCATGTTGTCAGCCCAGTCACCAAGAAGCAGGGTCTGGTAGCAGAAGAAATCAGATGATCACAGACATAACTGCCAAGAGAATGACTAAGAGACAATCAATCCTTCCACTCTGTGATTTGCTACAATCAATAATCATAAAAGCAATATAAGCATTTACATTTCCCTATTGACCACATTTGATTTTTAGGCAAAAAGTTGTCTTTCTCATTTTTTATTATTTTAAGAGCATATTAAATTAATTTTCATAACCTCAATAATAATTGATTCAAAACCTGGGTTTTAGCCATATGAGCTAAGACAAGTTGTTTAACTTCTTGTTTATGATTTTTCATCTGTAAAATGAAGGCCTTTGATTGTATGATCTAAGGAACTGGAAAGAAGACAATCCAAAAACAGAGAAAAAGAAGGCTGGGATTCAATGTTTGCCATAAATGACTTTTAAATCTGCCAGTGGATAGTAGGGGTAGACTGTGCTCACAACATCAAGCCACTGTCTCCTGTGTACTCTCCCTAATCCACCATGTTACTTAAGAAAAAGATAAAGCCTGGAACCAGAATTCCCTCTATATGAGTCAGGAGCTCTTTCAGGATCAAGTAACAGAAATCTAAGTCAGATTAGATTAATGGGGCAAAAAGAATTTACCAGTTCCTATAACTGTCAAGGGGTGCACACTGCACTAGAGGAAAAGCTTCAGGAACCAGGATCTCAGAAACTCTAACTGGGGACTCAAAGCTACAGAGAACTGTCTATTTTGTTCACTGCTATCTCAGCTTCTCTTTGCTTTTTTGGTCTCAGGATTTTATAACAAAGAGTGTGGCTGCCACAAACCTCATGTTAGAAACCACAGCCCAAAGGGCATATTTCCACCCCAAGAAATGACTCTGGCCCTGGTTGGGTTGTATGATGTGGACCAGTCTCTATTAGAATGAGAATTGGTCACATATTTAGTCCTGTGGCCAGGGAGATGGTATCTGTTAGCCAAAAAAAAAAAAAAAAAAAAGGAAGTAGATGAGGAATAGGGTTGCCAGACTTAATAAATAAAAATACATCGTAATTTAACCTGGCAACTCTAGGTAGGAGAGCTTTCTACACAGGTAAACCTAATAACCACCACAGTTTCTACATTGTTTCCGCAAGCACTTGCCCGTGGGTTATTCACCATTTTGCTCATATAGTGGGCAGATTCATGAGCAGACAGACAATGAATTTGGCTTAGCATTAAAGGTGGGGAGTATTTACTAAGTCTTTTTTAATCCTCCTTGAAAAATTCCTTCTTAGCTTTTCTTAAAGCTGCATGCCTCTTCCATAAGCTTATGGGATTTGAGAGTTTGAAGCATCTTAGTGGCTGTAAGGTTTGGATTCTATTAGTCACACAATCAGAAGCTGGCAGGAGACCTGGAGGTCCTGTCCAATCTTCTCATGTAATTTGTAACTTTGGGGTGCAGGGGGTAAACTGCCCAAGAATTTTATGCATGGCCATTTCTAGGTGACAGTCCTTAAGGACAATAAGTGTTACTGGAACGTAAGGCAAGAGGGAGGAGAGGAAAGAAATAAGGTTGGGGGGAGCAGTACCAAAGAGCTTTGACTAGTGGGGAGCCAGCAGTGGTCTTCAGTGGAGGAGTAAACATGATGAGGCTGAGTTTTAGACAAATCACTGTGGTGGTAATTTGGGAGGAGAAACCATGAGAAACAGGACTAGAGGGAAGGAGTTTGATGGGGAAGTAGTAGCATTGGTCCCACTGAAGGGCATTGAAGGCTTCAGTTGGAATAGTGGAGGTAGGGCGGGAAGGAATGGAGGGAAAAAAAGATTCATTTCAATAGTTCAGAGTGATAAGTGAGCAAGAATTGGTGACTGATACTATCCATGTTTAACTTCACTCCTGCTTTTAGCCTTAACCAGTGACATATCTTCAGTTTCTCCCACTTTTCAAGGACCTAGAGACAGCACACACATCAATTTTTTAAAGGCCATATTCAAGTATTTGCTGAAGATATTGCAAGATTGGCAAGTTCATCATGTTCTCACCATTTTAATGATATTTTCCAGTGAAAGTACTTCTCATACATCTGTCCTCTTAATGTTTATTTTTACTGTGGGAGTTACGTATGCAAGGATCATTCTACCATGGTGTCAGTTTAAGTGATCTTTAGAAACAATGAAACTATCCAAATTCATTACTTTAGGTTATATGATTCCTACTTTCACTGTATCTCCAGCATGATGAGGTGGGGAAAGTACTGGATCAAATGTTAGCTGACGTGTGCCTGGCTTGCATCTCATTTCCATGGGTCAGCTGAATGACCACAGACATGGGACAGAACCTCAGATTCCCCACCTGCAAAATGAGGGAGCATGCGCCAGCTGATCTTTCAGAAGTCTTCCAAATCTATTATCATCAGATTCATTGGCCAGGAAAATTATAATTGAGATCATGAAAAAATGGTGACCTTTCACTGAATGTGACCTCTTGTGAAGTAAGCAGCAATCTCAAATGCAGGTTAAAATCCTAGGCTTTGGAATCCAGCAGACTTGCATTTGAATCCTGGTCCTGTCATTTTGCATCTTCCTCCCTAAGCTTCGGTCTTCACCAAAGAAAAGAAATACCTACTTCATAGTGTCATTGTGAGGTAGGTATTTCCCCATGCATGGGGAGCTTTCTACCCAGGGCTGAGCAGCTAATAAATACTCCATACATGGGAGCTTGCACTGCTGTTGGGAGCATGGGAGCATAGCTAACATGCTGCATCATAAACTGGGTCAATGCAGAACTAAAAAAATTGTCCTAATCATTCATTCATTTGTATATTCATTAAATTATTCATTCAATACAAACTACATTTGCCCAATAAATATTTGCATGGGCATACAAATAAGCATGGCCTCTGGCTACAGACTTCCATCAGGCATTTTTTATATTCTCACTTTCTGGCTTCCCCTAAAGTGCTGGGGTTGCAAGAATGAGGAACATTTCAGAATGGTTATCATTATGCTATCTTTAAAAGTAACAAGCTCCTGGTTTTAATTAATCTTGGTCCCTGACTTTTTCATGAAAAGAAAAGTCAGTGAGCTCATGCTGTGGTGTCTCTTTCCAGAGCTGATGTGGTTAGTCGTTCTCGTGTGAAACTGCCAAAGGCAGACTGGGTTACTGTCCTATGGAACATCTGCACAGTGTTTATCATTTTGGCATTTGAGAACTATGTAAATACGTGCAGACCCGTGACAACCTCAGGATTTTGTTTCCAAATGCGCCATCAATGAATAACGGCCCAAATGAGCAAAATCATCTGGGCAACAATTTGGGTGGAGAGTAAGGCTGGGAATTGCAATGTGCTTCCAAGTGCTCTGGGGGTAAAAATCTTTTCCTATCATTGCATAACAATAAAGTCTTTGGGAGCACAATAATGTGTAGAATGGCTTTAGAATCAGACAACTTGCATTTGTTCTGGAAGCACATATTTAAATCTGGCCTAGGATCATTACTGACAGAAGCAACTTTCTTGATTAAGTCAGTCCCATGAAGGAACAAACATCTTTATTACAGAGAGCACCTTCTCCTACTAATTTTCACCTTAGCAGCAAAGGCCAAATTCCCTCAGCTGAGCCACAGCTCTCAACTCAGAACTCAGTGCCTCCATCTCACCTGCTGGTAATTGAAGATAAATTCAACTTGTGCTGCCTCTGTTAGTGCCCGAGTGGTTCTCTCCTTTCACATAACTCAATCATTTGTCTTCAACTGGTATCTTAGAGATGTGCAAAGGCACTAAGGCAATTATTTTTGACTGTCTCCTAGAACTCAAGAAACTCCTTTGTAGAAGGCTGAAACCATGCCTGGTCATTTAGTCTGCCTAGACTTAAAAAGACATCAAATACAAATAAATTCTGGGAAATAAATCAACTTTAGGCCTTTTTTTTACTGCTGAAGGCTTAAATTAATTCCCAAAAAGGCTAATTACGTCTTTCTTTGCTCAGTAGTTGGGCTTAATAATAAGCACCAAACATATGGCAGAGATTGGGCTGCAGAATCCATCATGGCCTTCTGTTCAGCAGCAAGGGGAGGTCTTAAAGGAAATTACATACAGAAAGCTTGTACGTGTTAAACATTGTAGTACCCATTATTGCTGGAAACAATAACTGCTAACCTGGCTTCTAAATTTCTTTCAATTCACTAGTAATCAAAGAAGTGTAATGTGAAATATAAGTTGAGCATCCCTAATCTGAAAATCCACAATTCTGTATGCTCCAAAATCGAAAGCTTTTTGAGTGCTGGCAGGACACCACAAGTGGAAAATTTCACACTTGACCTCATGTGGTGGGTCCCAGAAAACACTGTCAAAAGTTCGTTTCATGCACAAAATTATTTAAAATATTGTACAAAACTATGCTCAGGCTCTGTGTACAAGGTGTATATGAAACACAAATGAATTTCATGTGTAGACTTGGGTTCCGTCCCCAAGATATCTCATTATGTATTTGTAAATATTCCAAAATCCAAAACAATCCAAAATCCAGAATATTTCCGGTCCCAAGCATTTCAGATAAAAGATACTCAACCTGTACACTAATAATCTATTTTTATTTTTTGTTGTTTTGTTGTGTTTTTTGAGACTGGGTCTTGCTCTTTTGTCCAGGCTGGAGTGCAGTGGTGTGATCATAGCTCACTGTAGCCTTGAAATCTTGGGCTCAAGCGAGTCCCCCACCTCAGCCTCCCATGTAGCTAGGACTACAGGCACACACCACCATGCCTAGCTAATAATAATAATAATAATAATAATAACACTTTTGTAGAGATGAGGTCTCCCTATGTTGCTATGTTGCCCAGGCTGTTTTGAACTCCTGGCCTCAAGTGATCCTCCTGACTTGGTCTCCCAAAAGACAGGGATTATAGGCAGGACTGACCTCTGAACCCAGGCACTAAGGCTCCCAAGCACACCCACCCATTTCCAGCCTCTATTTTTCAACTATCAGATTAATAGTGATTTTTAAATAATGATAATACTGGGGATAATTTGATAAAATAAGTATATTTATACCTTATGTTGAGAGTCTAAATTTGGACAATCTTTCTGAACAGCAATTTTAAAACGAAAGGTAAAAAGGTTACAAGTATTTACTCAGATGTTTTGATCCAGTCACTTTATTCCTAGAAATCTCTCTGAAGGAAATAGTATAAACCATAGACAGAATGTTAATTGTAACATTGTTTATAACACCAAAATATGCAACGAGAGAATGATTTTTAAACTATATACATCTACCATATTCTATGGCACATTATGCAGCCATTAAAAATTATGTTGACAAATATTTTCAAAGGCAGAGGGGAAGTGAAAATAGGATACAGAACAATGGATACACCATGACTTTGACTGTGTAAAATAATATATCACACACATATTGGAGATAAAAACATATTACTTTTAAAACTGCAGCAGTCAACCAGGTGTGGTGGCTCACGCCTGTAATACCAGCACTTTTGAAGGCCGAGGCCGGAGAATTGCTTGAGCCCAGGAGTTTGAGACCAACCTGAGCAACATAGCGAGACCCCTTTTCTACAAAAATATTTAAAAATTAGCCAAGTGTGGAAGCATGTGCTTGTGGTCACAGCTACTTGGGAGGCTGAGATGGGAGGTTGTTTGAGCCCAGGAGTTCAAGGTGCAGTGAGCTGTGTTCATACCAATGCACTCCAGCCTGGGTGACAGAGCAAGACCTTGTCTCAAACACACACAGACACACACACACACACACACACACACACACACACACACACACACACACACACACACACACACACACACCAGCAGCAGTTTCTGTATTCCAGGGAAAAAGTGGAAACTTGTGTGTCTTAGGGGTTTGGGGGAGAGAAAATGCCTAGACAGCTGGCGTGCGCGCACACACACACACACCAGCAGCAGTTTCTGTATTCCAGGGAAAAAGTGGAAACTTGTGTGTCTTAGGAGCTTGGAGGAGGAGAAAATGCCTAGGCAGCTGCCCTTGGGGAAGCTCTGAAGTAGCAGAATAATCCAAAGCCAATTGTCAAAAGTATTCTATTGAATATTACTAAAGTCAACCTGTATTGGCAGTGTCAACCTCTGCAAGCTCCTCCATGCATTCACATCACAGTATTTATGGAGCCCTCATTATGGGTCAAAGCACTGGGCCAGGAGAAGGGAGACTGTAACAAGCAACATAGACACAATTCCTGCCTTCACAGAGCTTATAGTCTGACTCGGTTGTCATCATCATGCTGTCTACTGATACTATTTCCTTGGTAGTAGCAACCAGTCGAGATTTCAGAAAAGAGATGTCCAGTAAGATATGTGTGGCTGATGAACACCAGACACAGCAATGTCAGATACCCAGTTGTAGTTCCCTTTCCCACACTGAAATTCCCTCGTATGACCCTCAAGACATTTAAGGCCTGTTAAACAGGGCCAGGCACAGTAGCTCACACCTGTAATCCCAGCACTTTGGAAGGCTGAGGTGGGAGAATTGCTTGAGCCCAGAAGTTTGAGATCAGCCTAGGCAACATAGTGAGACCCTGTCTCCAAAAAAATTAAAAAATTAGCCGGGCATGGTGGCTTGCACCTGTGTTCTCAGCTACTTGGGAAGCTGAGGTGGGAGGATCACTTGAGCCCAGGAGTTTGAGGTTGCAATGAGTTATGATCTTCCACTGCACTCCAGCCTGGGTGACAGAGTGAGAACCTGTCTCTAAAGTAAAATAAAATAAGTTTGTTAAACAGGACTGCCTGTGCTAGCTGAGCTATGGGGAATAATAGGAGGGCAAGTCCCCACACTCTTCAGCAGAGCAGGTGTAAGGAAGCAGCAGGACCCTGGAGAAGACCCTCAAGAGGTGCTGAGTCAGAAGACAGGGCAGTCCAGAGCAAGGGGGGAGGACAGGAGCCAAGATGGGCTGGTGCGATGTGCAGCCTTACCCCAAGGACTCTCAGAAATAGATAAGGGACTGGCCCTCCTTCATTCACCATGAGTGGAGTACGTGTCATTATTGTTGTAACATTAAAGGAAAGGCTGGAAAACATATGAAGGATCTCTAGAGCACACAGAAAGGGAAAGAGATAGCTATAAAATCATGGAAAGAAATATACCAAATATGCCCAGGGGTAATTGGGTCCTAGACGGATTCATTCTTTCATCATTTTACATATATTATTATCACATGCACAAAATGTCGTTTCAAATGCACCTGCTCTCACCACACTCATGTCACACATGGATTTTTCTCCTACTCTGTATCTTCCTTCTTCTTTCTCATTGTTTTTTTCTTTTTCTTCCCTTCCTTCCTTTCCTCCTTTCCCTGCTTGCTCTCATCTCAGGTGTTGTCTTTCAGCTGCAGGTATAGCAACCTCTTTCTGTCATGACCTATCTTTGGGGTTAAAATAATGACATTGATCTTGCACTGTTCTAATCATTTCATGTGTATCAACTCCTTGAATCTATACAACAATCCTACTTGGTAGTAAGGTCACTATCCCCATTTAGCAAATTAGGAAACTGAAATCCAGAGATGTTAACCAACCTGCCCGGACACACTGGTAAAAAGCAGGACTGAGCTCTGAACCTGGACACTGAGGCTCCCAAGCACACCCATCCAAGCCACCTCGCTGCACAGCTCCGGGAAAGCATAGAGGCCACCAACTACAACTCCTGCCCCAAGACTGCTCAGCATCTCAGCTTTTATATGAAATTGAGGGCACAATGGCTGGGGTCCTGAGCCCAGTTATTTCACAAGTGGTGCGACACAAATACAGCTTAGTGCCTTAGAGTCCTATCAGGTAGCCATCATGCCACACCCTCACGGACAGAAAGGCAGGTCACAGGATTTCACTACTTAGCCGTGTGATCCTGGATATGTTCCTAAAGCTTTCTGAGCCTTGTTTTTCAATCCACAAAACGGGTATCCAGTCGCTACCTCATTAGACAGTATTGTATATTCTTACCACAATACCTAGCACATAGTAAGTTCTTAATAGCAGTAGCTATTTTTCCCACCAGTCATTGGCAAACTGCTTGTTAGAGGATTCATTTGTCCTTATGTAGCTTATACTCTAAATGGTACACACCAGGGGCTCAGCAAACTACAGCCCACAGGTTAAATTTGGTTGACTGTTTTTGTAAATAAAGTTTTATTGAAACACAACCATACACATTTGTTTACATATTTATTATCTTTTCATGTTATAATAGCAGAATTGGCTAGTTACAACAGAAACCATTTTCTTTAGGTCTGCAAAGCTTAAAATATTTATTCTTTGGTTCTTTACTGAAAAAGTTGGTCAACTCCTGCTATAGACAGATGTACTTACTAGATGAAGTATCAAAACAAATACACAATCCAGTAGTTTGTCAGATTTTAGATAGATACTTCTGTTTGCTATTTGATTTTATTGGGAGCTAAAGTGGGAAGGTTTATTTTCTAGGCAAACACAGTAAACACCTAACATAGAAATTAAAAAGTCATAATCTTTTAAAAAATCACAAATATACAAAGTCATTTGGCAAGATGTAAAATAGGTTTCAAATTCCCCACATCATTTGTCCTTTCATGTGTCATTTCAGCTCTGCTACTGAAGGCTTCTTTCCTAGGCACTGATACTCTTATTAGGAAGGCAATAATATATGGTTCAGCTCTTTCGTTCATATGTTTAGGGTATCATCTGCCTTGCCCTGAGATGAATCAAAATGCAACATTACAGGGGCTAGAATGGTGGAAGTTATGGCTTCCAGAATAAAACAGCAGCCTAGTGATCTATAGAGTGTCTCCAAAGGATATTAAATTAATCAGCCAAGGATTATTGTGTATTTTTCCGGAACATCTGTGGGCTCTTTCTTTAGGGTGTTTTGAATGGGGTTTCTATTATGAGATTGTGGCAGGGAGAGCACTGTTATTGTCATACAGATGGCATGTGGAGAGAGACTCCGGATGGGCAACAGGGACTCAAAATTCAGAAATACAGTGGATCCTCTGGGAATATGAATACATGCTCGCTCAGAGAAGGGCTCTCTGCTTTGTTTAGAGAAGGCTTAAGTTGGTAGGAATGGAAAATTTGTTTTCCCTAGTGTGCTCTCTCAGAATCAAACAGCAGCCAAAAATCCCAGAAGGAAAAAATGAGATTTCTCTTCAGAAAGATAATTGACTAGGAGGAGGGTTAGACCAGAAATTGATGGCAATTGTACATAGTTACCAAGAAAGTGAGAGATTCCTCCCAAATTAAAGTTCATATGGGGCAACAAAGATCAAAGATCCTAACCAACCAGGGACTCGGGGGAGTGCAGTTTGGAGGCAAAGAAATGACTATGGAGAAGTGGAAACAATTTAGTTTAATGTAAAAAACTGTCGTGTCTCTCGTATCCATCAAATTAGTTGTGACAAAAATTACTTTTCAAGGAGGGTACTTAACTAGAAAGGCATAATATCAGAATTTGATTCGACAATACTGCACATAGAAACAGCAGCGAATGCTGACACTGGAGTCGGAGAAAGAACAGGGAGTTTGGATGGAGACAGACCTGAATGTGATGCTCAGATCTACCACTCAACATTACAGAAGCTCAAACAAATTGGCCAGGCGCGGTGGCTCGCACCTGTAATCCTAGCACTTTGGGAGGCCGAGGCGGGCGGATCATGAGGTCAAGAGATCGAGACCGTCCTGGCTAACACGGTGAAACCCCGTCTCTACTAAAAATACAAAAAATTAACCAGACATGGTGGTGGGCGCCTGTAGTCCCAGCTACTCGGGAGGCTGAGGCAGGAGAATGACGTGAACTCAGGAGGCGGAGTTTGCAGTGAGCCGAGATGTTGCTACTGCACTCCAGCCTGGGTGACAGAGCAAGACTCTGTCTCAAAATAAATAAATAAATAAATAAATTACTTCCCCCTCCCCCAGAAAACCTCCCTCTCCTCACTTTCTGCATCAGTCAGGCCTTATAGTCTACTCTGTTGAGAAAATGGCAACCGTTAGACATGACCTCATGCTGTCTGGGTCTCCCCCCAACTTCAAGCTTATCTACATCCACACCTTTGCATGCCTGTGTTCTTCCAGATGGAGTGCCCCTCCTCTTGCTCTCTTCAAGGCCACCTGTGTTCCTTGACCTTCTTTCCTGCCACCTCCTCTAAAATCCCTGGCTCTCCAATCTCTTCCTCCCTACCCCACTCCCCATTAACATTGAACAAATATTCCCCATCTCTCCCCTAAAATTTCCTGACCCTGCATTTACCTCCTAATTCCAGAGAAACTTTTCTGAATATTCTCTGGATGTTGTCTTAATTTCAATAATTATTATTTTTAATATATTTCCAGGTTATTCACTGTATTTTTGTATTTATGCTATAAAGTCTTAAAAATTAGGGAGTAGTGTGTGTTCAATTCCCAGTTCTACCACTTACTGGCTGGGTAAACATTAACACCTACTTTTCCTCCTGTGTCTGTTGGTTTCCTTGTCTGTACATTTGAGATAATAGTACCTACTTTGACTTCAGGACTGAGAAAATACAGACCAGTGAACAGTCACTATAAACTCAACTAATATATTGCACACACACACAAAAAAAAAGAGAGAGAGAGAGACAGAAAACTATTTCTGGTGTATATATTTGTGTAGGAAGATACTTTTTGGAGATTGCATTTAAAAAATACAATAAACTTTCTCCCTTTGTTGACATGATTTGACTTTTTCCTTGTGAATTCATTCTCTCCCTTCCTCTCCTCTTGAAACCACTTCTCCTTGGATAACGGCATATTTTTAATAAAGCTAGTTCTCCACCAGGGTAAGGAAAGGAGGTAGGTTGGGCCTGTTAAAATGATCTGAGGTCTCACACTCTTTCTCAATTTCATTACCAGAAATTCTAAGGTGTGGCATGGTGGCTCATATCTCTAATCTTGGCACTTTGGGAGGCCTAGTTGGGAGGATCACTAGTGGCCAGGAGCTTGAGACCTGCCTGGGCAACATAGCAAGACTCCCAAGTCTATAAAAAATAAAAATTTTAAAATTTTAAATTAAAAAGAAAAGAAATTCTAATTCAGTAAATCCAGAGCGAGCCCTGAGGAATTTGTGATTTGAAAAGATTCTTTAGGTGATTCAAATATTTACTTTTTTCATGTCACTCTGACTCCCAAATGAAAATCTGTGTTTGAACGTAGGCAGGTACTTCAGGCCAGGTCTGGAATCATTCACAAGACTCCTGGTGCCACAGCCACAGGCCTCTTCACTTGTGTTAGCTGTGTGCCTCTGGGAAACTAGATGCATCGATGACAGCCTGACTCTATCAGGCGCCTTCTAGTCTTTCTAAGGAGTCAACGCAGTGTTTTTGGCTGGGTCAGGTGTGAAATTGGAAACATTCTTTGAGAGATCCTGTTCAGATTTCTATGTTAATTCAGTGTTTTCATGTCTAATTTCCCACTCTGATGCGATTATACATATGTAATCCATGTTGACAAGTTCTGACCCTCAGATTCCAGCAAAATCTCCACCATGTATTTCTGAGAGTTCTTAGAGAGGACTCATTAGTGATTCTGATATTTTAATTCTCTCTATCTGCCCCATCTTCCCTCCCCTGGGTGCTGCCATGTTCACCAAACTCTCCTGAACCTATTGGGCCTGCTGAGGTTTCCCCAGGACACTCTTGTCTCTGTCCCCTCTGCTGGGTGCCTGAGCTGAACACCACAACTGCTTTGGCCATACCACCAGCCCAACAGGCTTTGCTGTCCCCACTCCTTGCCCCTAACCTAGCAAATCTCAGGCTTCCAGTGTTGATTCAAGGGGACCCTGACTGCCAGACTGCTGTTGGGAAATGGGAGAAAATGTCTCTCTCCCCTTTTTAGTGTGAGACACTCTTAAAGGAACTGATCAATGTGACCTTCTTAATCCACATACAAGATATTAGAAATAATTTTTCAGTAGTGATATTAGTGGTATTCAAGATGTGTGCTTGGCTAGATTTTGATGAGGATATTTGAAATATTTTCTCAGCCATTTCTGGAGTATGGATTGAAGATTAGGGAATTTCAAATGTTAATTGACTAATACGCTACACTGTAAATACAGGTTAAAATTAACTTAAATACACATATATCACATTGTTCATTCTGAACTGTTTCAAAGTAAAATCCCACAGACGATATAGCAAGCTCAGACATATTTCTAGTAGAGACCTGGATGAGAAGATAAATTCAATAGATAAACACTAACCAGAATTGCCCTTTGCATCCATATTTAAGAATTAGTAACTTGGCATGGTGGCTTATGCCTGTAATCCCAGCACTTTGGGAGGCCGAGGGAGGTGGATAACTTGAGGCCAGGAGTTTGAGACCAGCCTGGCAAACATGGTGAAACCCCGTCTCTACTAAAAATACAAAAATTAGCCAGGCGTGGTGGCACATCCCTGTAACCTCAGCTACTCAGGAGGCTGAGGCGCAAGAATGGCTTAAACTTGGGAGGCAGAGGTTGCAGTGAGCCAAGATCATGCCACTGCACTCCAACCTGGGTGACAGAGTGAGACTCTGTCTCAATAATAATAATAATAATTAGTAAGTTGGTCTAGAGTATACAGCCTGACTCTTTCTTCTAAAATGAATTTGTTTTCTCTCAGGAATGTCCTTAGACTCATTTAACTGGACTCTGGGTGGTCCATTCAACATCTTCCCAGATAGACCCAGACCCAGCATTCCATCTACATGTAGCCCTTGAAATTTTGCTACTGTACTACTCCTTTCTTTTCAGTCAGATTTCTTTTCACTCAGTAATTGGACTGACCCCTTCTCTTTCTCTTTTAAGAGTTGTTGATCACATTTGGAGTTCAATGACACTACTGTTTTGCTTTACTGTTGGAAGTTGGGAGAGACTAATTACTCATTCCTCCTTATTTATCAGTTCCAACCAATTTATAAATAGACTCAAGGAGTCAAGTTAGGAACAAAGTGCAGTACTGGCAAAGTTGATTTGGGTAGCGTGCAGAGATACTCTACCTTTTACTCCAGGTTGAACTTACCCACCACTGAGATTAAAAAGCTGGAAAAACATAGACCTTCTCAGCAGCTGAAAATCTAAGGCAACTATAAAATATCAGGCTGTATAGAGCCGTTCCATCTGAAGTCAAGCAAGTCCAAGAGAAGAAAAACAAGCGAGGCATTTAGCACAAGCCATTGGCACATTAGACCCATCCAGTAGTGACCCAATGAACATCTGCTTCTCACCAATATCCTACTTCAGAATGTTGAGGTATGACCAAGGGGATATGAGGAGTAGGGTCCCCCTCTCCATGTACTCTAGAGCATGTTCATCACCTCCCTTTCTTCCATACCCACTGTCCTTGGCTCAAGGACAAAATCGAGTTTTCAAGAAGACCTAAGGGGTCTTCTGTTCTAAAGGAATAGAAATTTCAGGAGCAGCAATATGGAATTAAACTCCTTCTTTTTGGTTCTCTCCATCTTTCTTTCTTCCTAGGCAGCTGGAGGGTATTTGGGGTTAAGTAAGGGGCTCCTGCTTGAGAAGTTCTTCTCTTGAAGGTCTAATAGACAATGGGGTGGGGCCCAGGAGAAAAAGGGCCTGGAGCTAGCCTTCAGTCCTGCCTATCTGGACCTTAAGTTAATGGGGGTAAACAGAGTCTGTAAATTTTCCATGTCTGTCCACTCCACCAGGATTAGAAATTAAAGAGACTTGGACCTAAAACATAAGTGAATATTTAAAAGTTAGCATTTGCCAGTAATAATAACTTAGATGGACATGCCTACAGAACCACGTGGAAGCATCCCAGGTAGGCATTCAGAGTAGGAGGAGCCCAGTCATCAACCTGCTTTTCTTGGAGACCAGCATTTGACCACAGATGAGCCTTGTCTAAAGCACATGTGTAAGTTTCCAAATATATCCAGCATTAGCATTAACCCCAACTGTATTATCATAGGATGATGACTTGTTCTTCAGCCAAGATTGTGGGCCATTTTCATCTCTGCACACTCATGTAAAAACAGTGGGGTTTGGACACATGCTTGACTGCTCCTAACACAAATACTAGCCACTATTTTGGAAACCTGACAGTTGCTTTTCAGATTCTTTTCTAGTGGCCTAATGTTACAGTCTTAGAGAAACTTATTAAGGAATGATTACCTCATTTGAGTCTTTAATAGTCTTCAACCTCTTTTTATAGATATTGACTTGCAACTCCCTCATAGAAGTATCATAATATGATTATGTTCCTTAAGTCCAACAGCTGCCCTTTACCATCAAGAAAACTGAGGCCTAGAACATTGGTGCATTACCTTCTTAAAGATCTCAGTTGACTTATCTGATTTATTTCAAATTTCCCCAAGCTATGAAGTTTGGTTCTATTGTGACATTGTTATCTTGGAGTCTACACAAATTTTCATTTTGGATGTGTGAAATTCTGCCTATTAGTCACTTCTTTTGAAAGGTGGAGAGTAGAAAGAAAGGGAGAAGAAGCAAATTTATTGCTGATTATAAATTGAGTCCTGCTTAATAAAATCCATATTCTGGCTTCATAAACTTTCTGCTAAAAGTCCTAATTAGCAGCAGATGGTTTTGAGATTCAGGAGACAAATTTACTTTCCAAATTCCCATTAGAAATTAGTTGGAATCCTTGATTTTTATCTTTTTCTTTTGCTTGTTTGAATTTCTAACTTTTCCATAGAGAACATGAATTACATGAATAATTTAAACTGTTGTATAAAAGCTACTAAATACTGTGAACAAGTTCAAACATTTGAAAATGTTAACCCCATAAGAGGACTGTCTGTATAGAAGAGATGCCCCGCACTGAATCTGAATACAGCCTTGGAATTATTTTTTAAAGTTCTATCATTTGCAGAACTATCATACTGCAGTTATATACTATATACATATAGCTTTAAAGCTAGGTCTGTTGGGCTAATATGGCAGTGTGAATTCATTTTTGAAAAGTCACTGTGCTCCAAACAAATGCAATGGTACAATAATGGATAAAATACAGAAACATACAAAAAGAGTACCAAGAAGTTCAACTGGCCTGAAAGGTGATATTAGTATCTTATCATAGAAGATACTAATTTAGCCATGGCCTAGTCATGGAAGAATTTTTGTTTTACTATCTGTATTTTTTTAATTAATGTTCTCAATTTGAGATAATTATAAATTCACATGCAATTGTAATAAATAATACAGAGAGATCTTGTGTAGTCCTTATCCAGTTTCCCACAATATAATACCTTGCGTAACTATAGTGCAATGTCACAAGCAGGCAATTGGCATTGATACAATCCACCGATCTTATTCATGTCATGAGTTTTACATGCACTGATCTGTGTATGTATTGAATTCTGTGCAATTTTGTATTGCACATATAGGTTCACAGAGTCACCACTACCTCAAGTTACAGAAAAGATCCGTGCCCTTAAGGATTCCCTGTGCTGCTGCTCTTTTTTTTTTTTTTTTTTTTTGAGGCAGAGTCTCACTCCGTCACCCAGGCTAGAGTGCAGTGGCACGATCTCGGCTTACTGCAAGCCCCGCCTCGTGGGTTCATGCCATTCTCCTGCCTCAGCCTCTCGAGAAGCTGGGACTACAGGTGCTCGCCACCACACCCAAAAAATACTAATTTTTTGTATTTTTAGTAGAGACGAGGTTTCACCATGTTAGCCAGGATGGTCTCGATCTCCCGACCTCTTGTTCCACCTGCCTTGGCCTCCCAGAGTGCTGGGATTACAGGCGTGAGCCCCCGTGCCTGGCCTGCTGCTGCTCTTTTATAACCATAACTCCTGCCTGCCTCCCCTATCCCTATTCTCTGGCAACCACTGATCTGTTGTTCTCCATCTCTAAAATTTGGTCACTTCAAGACTGTTAAAAAAATAGAAGAATCATGCAGTATGTAAACTTCTGGGGTTAGCTTTTTAAACTCAGCACAATTCACTTGAGATCCATCCAAGTTGCATGGATCAATTTCTCTTTATTGCTGAGTAGTATTTCATGGTATGGATATACCACAGTGTATTCACTCACTCACTAAAGAATATCTGAGTTGCTTCTAGTGTTTGGCTATTACTAATAAGCTGCTATGAACATCTGTGTACATGTTTTCTGTGGATGTAAGTTTTATTTCTCTGGGATAAATGCCCAAGTTTTTTTTAATCTCCAAAAATAAAAGCATAATAAGATGAAATCATGTACGTCATACGGTTTTCACATCTGGCCTGTGAGTCTGGCTCAAACAAATGTACTCACGCTAGAGATGAAGAAACTGGAATTGTCAAAATGATTTGCCAGAGTTATTCTGAATGTAAACTTAAAGCTAGAATTCTTTCTCAGTGAAAGCCTTGTTTATTCTTTAAGGCAGCCCTTTTAGAAGGGAAAGTCACTTTGTACCTTGAAACATAATATCTGCTACCTCTGAGGTCTACCCAGATGTTTGGCATCCAGGATTTTTCATGTTAGTTTAGGTACTTATGTCTAAAATAGCCAAATTCTGTGCACGTTTAAATGTCTATGATTCTGAAAATTGATCCCTATGTCTATTCTCTTAATGAAGAGAGCAGTTTGGTGACCGCAGACAATCAGGAATGCATTAGCACCAACTGGGGAAGAGCAGGAAGTCTACAACCCTCTCAGCTGAAGCTAACTAGCAGCTAGAAATTCTTTCTCCCCATAAGCTGGAAAACAGCTGTCCCAGAAAACTGTTCCTCCAAAGGAGGAATTACTTACACCCTTTTTTTTTTAATGGAAGAGATCATGGCCTGGCCAAATGCAAGGCCATGTCAAGCGTCTGTTCATTCACAAAGGGCGAACTGAGTATCCTCAACATCCAACTGGCAATAGCTTGAAAAAACAAAACCGGAAACCAAGAACCAACAAACCCTAAGCTTCATTATAGCCTTTTTTGACTTTCATTTTATTCAAACAGGTCACTGACTGTTTATATTTTAGCAATGTTTATCCATGGAAGAGGAGATGAAAAGACTTAAGGACTTAAACCTAGGACGAACAAAACTTAAAAACCAAAAAACTCTAAATCCATCAATCCCAAAATGTGTATTTCAAAAGATAGGGAGCCAGCCTAATTTAACAATATGCTAAACAGGTAAAATATTTCATCTTAGAATTTAACTCTGCAGCAGTGAAACAGGGAGCTTCTCCACTGTGTCTGGAAAAGACAACGCTTTGGTTCTATTGTAAGAGCTGTGAATTCAGCCCAGGGCAGGCAGGGATCCAAATGACCTGAATATGCCACTTCCTACGACTAATTCAGAGGAAATGAATCTTCTACCTTTCCTGGATACTGGGCTGACTTTACATATGAATAGAACTGATCAAGGCCAATGAGATGGGATTTCACATAAGTAATAAAAACAATCATGGCAATAACAACTAACATTTATTGAGAGCAGCATTTATAAACACCAGCAGTGGGCTAGAAGTTTCATGGAGATCATTTCCCTGACTCTTCATGATAATCCTATAAGGTGGGTGTTACTATATCTACTATTTTATAGATAAGAAAACTGATTCTTAGAGAGGAGAAGTACAATAACTTGCCTAAGATTTTGTAGCTGTTAAGTGATGGATCCAGGACTCTAATTATAAAGTCCAAGTTCTAAACTATATGCTCAGCCTTCACTCAGAAATTGCACCATTAGAAAGCCATTTCTCCAGCCTACGCAACATGGCAAAACCCCATCTCTACAAAAAATACAAAAAATAGTGGGGCATGGTGGCACATGCCTGTGGTACCAGCTACTCGGGGGGCTGAGGTGGGAGGATCCACAAAGAATGCAATTTTTCTGGAATAAGATATGGTCCCTTGTTAAATGCCATCCACCTTTGGAAGGGATTACATGGTATGTTCTCAGTCATCAACTCCAGTGTCAATGAGTTCTTCAGGCCCTTTATCACTTGATAACAAACTGAGAGGAAGTGTTTCCAGGAATCAGAGGAGACTGCACATAGGAAGTCTAAAGGGGGCAGTGAGGTTGTAGAGAAGCTACAAGAAAGCTATAACCAGAGTCCCTATGACTGCTGACATGCCTGCCTCAAGAGATTTAGAGCAAGCCCACTTTTATCCTTCCATCTGTAGAAGGCATTCTCTCCCACATAGGACTGGCCCTACTCACTGTCCCATTCTTTTATGTGGTAATTAACTTTACCACTACTTCTAGGGGACAAGAATGTACATCCCCTGGAGACTCCCAGATGCTTTCGTCTACTTCCGTGGGTCTCACGCTCCACATAGATCAAGCCTTCTTGTCTCTTTCTATATCTAGTAATTCTTGATGAGGAAGAAACCCATTTACAAATTTTTTTCTGAGACAGGGTCTTGCTCTTTCACCCAGGCTGAAGTGCAGTGGCATGATCACAGCTCACTGCAACCTCAGCCTCCCAGGCCAAAAGGACTTATAACTTAAAAGGATGGATGGGGTGGAGATGAACACAAGCTGAGGCACATTAAGCACCAGACTCTGATCCAGGGCTTGATATCCATGATGATCTCATTAAATATTCACAGCAGCTCTCCCAGGGAGACGTGATATCCCCATTTTACAGGAGAGTACACCAGCGTCCAGTACCTCCTCACAGTTTCAAAGCTTAGTAAGAGACCAATCCAGATTCAAACACATGTCCCCAGACTCCAATCTCCATTTCCCAGCCCTAAAAGAAAGAGTAAATGGGCTATAAAATAAATATCTTAGAACAGAACCTCTTATTGAAATTAAAACAATATTCAAAGGAGAGCAAAAAGGGGGCTGATGCTTCTTATGTATCTTAGCCATCAAATGTAAAAGAAGGTTGAGTTGGCCTTTATGAGGGGGGAAAAGTAGTGAAAGTGATGGGCCACAGAAATCAGTCAACTAAATTCCTTTACAGCCCCTCACTTATTTGGTGAATGGCACGTGCTGCTCATGATAAACAGAAAAATGGCTTGGATTTCTCATCCTCAAATTCTTACCTGAGAGATGGTAACATTCTAAATAAAGGTACATTTCTTATTACAACCTGAGTTTGAGCCCCAAAGCCCAACATAATCTGCTGGTGAGGTGGGGTGTGCCATTGTGAGCCCTGGTTCCCATGTCGTTTCTAAGAGCAGCCAAGCAGCAGATAGTCCTGGGCCTTCTCATCACCCTGATACTCATGAGGCACTCTCAGTCTCTGTTGAGAGTAAGAGCTTTTAGCTTTTGCATCTCCTAGAGGAGCTTTTGCTCCAGTCCCTAGCATTATTTCCTAGAAAAGAGATGTGGCCAAGTTGTGTCCTTGGCTTTCATACCCAAGTACATTCCTCTTGGCCTAAGGGAGAAAGCCTTGAGCTCCTCTTGTGATAGGTGCTTTGATCATGTCCTATTCACCGCATTGGTGAAGGAGGTATTTCAGGACACTGGACACCACACAGATAAGATTGACAGCAGTTTATTCATCACTGATACTGATAGTCTGGGAGAGGACATTGCTCAACACACAGGGCCACACAGGGACTGCACTTGGGACCAAGGTGAACAACCAGGGGCCATGGGAGGCAAGCTTGGCAGTATCAAGAGGGTGACATGCCCCTTGGTTCCTGTGGGAAAATGTGATTGGCCTCTTTGAATGATTCCACATGCTGGCAGGGACTGAAGCTTGCTCCTTAGGGATAAATAGGAACTGCAATCGGTCCCCATGATAAGAAGAGTTATTAGCTAGGGAACCTTTTCCACACTAGCAGAGTAGGGAGGGGAACTTGTGTTAGGCCATCTGAGGCCTGTCCTGTTTTCTTCAGATGTCAAAGCAAGCATGCTATGGGACTTTAGTTCTAGTCCTTGTACCATTGTAGTACATGTCACTAAAGGATCAAACAAAAATAGAGAAGGAACTCAACAAGTTTTGATTTGTATGTGCCCCGTTCCTCCTTCAACATACATGCTCTAGAGGTAAAGAAACATGCGAGTCCCTCCCCTTTTACGTTCCTTCATGAAGCCTTGGATAATACCGAGTCCTTTTTGATGGAATACCACAATAACCAGTGACTTAATAAATGTTATTGTTTGAGGAAGCCAATCTTTATTTGAGTAGCTATTGCCAGCCAAATTCTTTATTAATTTATCAAATATTTATAGAAAATCTAAACAGACCATTTGTATAGGAGCTGTATCTGTCAGAGTTCTTTGGTTGCAGGCCACAGAAACTGAGTCTGGTTGACTTTAACAAAAAAAGGGAACTTACTGGACTGGATTTCAGTAGCTCAGAAAACTGGATTAAAAAAAAGAATTTAAAGAACCCAGGTTCAGAAAGGACAATAATCAGGACAGCTCTGATTAGGATCTTGGTAGCAGAAACTGATGAATACTCTATTGAGGGCAGCATGGGAGAAATGAATTAACTCTAATCCTTCCGTTAGTTGGCCTAGCATTCAAACTGCAGGAGGAGTCTGACTGGCATGGCTGGAGTCTTGGCCCAGGGAAGGAGGACATGTTGATCGAAAATACAACCAAATCTGCAATAGACAGCAGATGGTTGCTCAAAGGAAAACCAAATGACTATTTACCCAAAGAAAGAGGAAGGGATTCTAGGCAGGCAAAAACAAAAACAAAAACAGGCATACATTTCTAGAGCTATGTCATTATCTTATATGAATTGGAAAATCAATGATTATTAAACAAAACAGGTAAATCATATCTTAACCCACTTTCTTGGTTGTGCTTTCTACAGTGTGTATTTGTGTACTTTTTTACTTGTTTCATTAAAATAAAACATGTTCAGTGCCTTAATACCTGGTTGTAAGGTAGATTTGTTGTGGATTTAACCCTCAGACAGGCCAATCTGCCTTTAAGCCTTAGCTCTTACTCCAACCACGTATCTTACAAAAATAGATCTTTTTTCACAAAGAAGAAGTAGAGATATGAATGGATCAGCAAAAAATATTTTAAGTGATTTTAAAATTATTTAATGAAAGCATTTTATGTAGGCACTGCCCTGCTAGACTCATGGGCAGCAAAAAGATAGATGCACACCACAAAAAGTACTTCCCACACCTAAGTTTATAATGAACATGTGCACACGCAAGCAATTAAATGACAGTTCAATAAGAAATATGTAACCCAGATGTCAGGGGAAACTCTACATTCTTTTCCTTCCCAATATTTACGTCCTGAAGAGTCCCAGAAGTTCCCATACTCAATGTCATTTTTGAATCTTAGTTTCTGTTACCCCTGAAATCTTATTTTCACTTTTATTTTTGCCCCACAATTGTTGCCTTTTCTGTGTTCCATACGAAACCAGAAATACCCCCACTAAAAAAAAGGGGCGTGTTGAGTACAGCAAACTCCACTCAAACATTGGTGAGAAGAAGGGGACCCACATCAAAGAAGAGCTAATAGGTAAAAAGTGTTTGATTTCTATATTTTTAAAAGTCTTTTAACTATTTCCAACAATTCAGGCCACAGCATTCTGTCATGTATTTCAGCCCTCTACTTTTTTCACTGCTTATCAGTAATCTACCCCATGTTACTATGCAAAGCAATCTAGGTTTCGTCAATGCAGCTGCAGCACTCCCTTGGTAGAACCAAACACTCACTAGCTGTTGGACAATTGATCACCTACTTCCTCATCAGTCTCTACAAGAGAACTGGATCAGATTTTTTCCCAGGGGTATGAATCCTGCCACCCATCCTTAGGGGCGTCAAGGGGGGCAGAAATGGCTATAGTTAACCTACATTTTAAATAAGAGTTTGCCCTCTGTCACGACTGCTCTGAGTGGGCCCATGAGGGAGGGAAGGTTGTGGGTCTTAACAGTGTGGAAGAGATTTTAGGGAAGGACTCTAACTTGAACTCATGACTGTGACTTAAAAATGCAGGGATCAAATTTAAACTGAAAACTTCAGACTAAAATTTTGTAACCAAATATATACATATTGGTGTGTGTGTATATACACACACACACACACACACACATATATATATACACACACACACATATATATTTCTCTCACTTTCTTTTCCAAATCCCGTCAAAATATCATAAGTAATATCAAAATAAGAACAAACCTATTGCATTACTGAAAACCAAGAGGGCATCTTCAAGCAAGTAAAAAATTTCTGGAATATATAAAGCAAATGACATATTTCCCCGAAGCTGAAGAATCTGCAACCCATGTAGTTGAACAGAAAAAAAGAAAAAAAAAAGAGAGAGAGAGAAAATAAAAGATTAAAAGGAAGAAAAGAAGGAAGGAAGAAAGTTAGTTTTCCAGACGAACTTTGAAATCCTAAAACCAACAATAGTTGGAATTAAAAGGAGCTGGAAATGGGGTGACAGGCTGGGTGAATAATTAAAGACCTGTGGAACAGCTGCACGAGTCCCCTGCTCTCAGAATTGCTGGTTCTGTTGTTTGCCTGCAGGATACAATTTTCCATTTGTGAAATAATTTTTAAACCCTGATACAGAGTATTCCCAGGATGGTTGTTGGGACCAGAAAAGCAGGGCACTCCCTAGGTAATATATGATCACTACGAGATTCGCAATGAAAAAACAGGTGACTCAGATAACTATTGGTTCTACATCTTTCTCTCCGCTTCCTTTATCAACTGCCAAAAGAAAGCTTGCTATATTGGAAAACTGTCACTGCCAGAGAAACAGAGATGTTTCACTTGGGCTGAGGAAATGGACCCTAGCTACCAATCCAGGTCAATACATACCATTGATAAACGTGAGTATACAACAAACAATCACCAATCATCTGAAGAAAATGAATAGCATAAAAGAGAGGGAACAAACCAAAAGAGTAGAAGAACTAATTCCTGAAGAAAGAGTTAGTAGAAAAAAACAAAAGAGAGTTAAGAGCATGCCATATCCTAAAGAAGAGCAGATGTGTGTGAAAAAGAATCTATCAGGACCTTGGAAATTAAAAACATGATCACCAAAATAAATAACAGATGGCTCAAATAACAGAATTTACATAACAGAAAGTAGAGTTAGTAAATTAAAATATGTGGCCAAGGAAATCTCCTAGGGTATAGTAAAAAATAATGAGATGAAAATAAGTACAAAGTTGAGAGATAGGAAAGACAGATGCAGGAGATCCAACATTCATCTAATTGGAGTTCTAAAAAGGGAGAACATCAGGAGGAAATTATCAAATAAGTAATTATGTAGGCATATGAAAAAGTGTTCAGCATCACTAATCATTAGGGAAATGCAAATCAAAATCACAATGAGAAAAAAATCACCATTTTACATACATTAGGATGGTTATTACAAAAAAAAAAAAAAACCCAAAACAGAAAATAAAAATTGTTGGCAAGGATGTGGAGAAATTGGAACACTTGGGCATTGCTAGTGGGAATGTAAAATAATGCAGCCACTATGGAACACAGTATGGTGGTTCCTCAAATAATTGAATGTAGAATTATCATATGACCCAGTGATTCTAACTCTAGCTGTATACCAAAAAGAATTAAAAGCAAGGACTCAAACAGATACTTGTATACTGATATTCATAGAGCATTATTCACAGTGGCCAAAAGGTGGAAACACCCAATGTCTATGAATGGATGAATGGATAAACAAAATGTGGTATAACCATAAAATGGAATATTATTCAGCATTAAAAACGAAAGAAATTCTGATACATGCTATAACATGGCTGAACTTTGAAAACATGCTTAAATGAAATAAGCCAGATCTGAAAGGACAAATATCATATGATTCCACTTATATGAGATACTTAGAGTAGTCAAATTCATAGAGACAGAAAGTAGAACAGTGGTTATCAGGAGCTGGGGGAAATGGGGAGTTACCATTTAATGGTTATAGTTTCAGCTTGAGTTGAAAAATTTCTGAAGATGAATGGTGATAATGGTTATGTCACAATGTGAACATACTTAATGTCACTGGGTTACATACTTAAAAATAGTTAAATGGCAAATTTTATGTTTGTATATTTTACCACAATCAAAAGCCCTTAAAGCAAAGCAAAACATATTACAGTATTGCTTTTGCATTTAAATAAATTAGACATTTTTGTAAAGAAAGAACTATGGAAAATTTCACTGAGCTGGAGTCTTCACATGGAACGAACTCACTGAGTGATGAGCAGAAGTAACTGTAAAAGAAATAAGCCTAGACACATCATGATGAATTTTCTAAACTCTAAAATTAAAGAGAGAATCCTAAAAACCACAGACCAGAAAAAAGATTACCTATTGCTATGGACTAAATATTTGTGTACCCCCAAAATTTATATGTTGAAATCCTAACCCCCAAGGTGCTGGTAATAGGAGATGGGGCCTTTGGGTGGCAATTAGGTCATGAGGGCTGAGCCCACTTGAATGGGATTAGTGCTTTTATTAAAGAAATCCCAGAGAGCTCCCTTACCCCTTCTGCCATGTGAGGACACAGCAAGAACCAGAAAGCATCAGATCCTGATATGGTTTGGCTGTATCCCCACCCAAATCTCATCTTGAATTACCATGTGTTGTGGGAGGGACCTGGTGGGAGGTAACTGAATCACGGAGGCAAGTCTTTCCTGTGCTGTTCTCATGACAATGAATAAGTCTCACCAGATCTGATAGTTTTAAAAAGAGGAGTTCCCCTGCACAAGCTTTCTTCCTTTGCCTGCTGCCATGCATGTAAGATGTGACTTGCTAGTCCTTGCTTTCCACCATGATTGTGAGGCTTCCCCAGCCACATGGAACTGTAAGTCCAATTAAACCTCTTTCTTTTGTAAATTGCCCAGTCTTGGGTATGTCTTTATCAGCAGCATGAAAACTAACTAATACAGTAAATTGGTACCAGTAGAGTGGGGTACCTGAAAATGTGGAAGCAACTTCGGAACTGGGTAACAAACAGAGGTTGGAACAGTTTGGAAGGCTCAGAAGAAGACAGGAAAATGTGGGAAAGTTTGAAACTCCCAGAGATGTGTTGAATGGCTTTGACCAAAATGCTGATAATGATATGGACAATGAAAAGCAGGCTGACGTGGTCTCAGATGGAGATGAGGAACTTGTTGGGAACTGGAGCAAAGGTGACTCTTATGTTTTAGCAAAGAGACTGGTGGCATTTTGCCCTAGAGATTTGTGGAACTTCGAACTTCAGAGAGACGATTTAAGGTTCTGGTGGAAGAAATTTCTACACAGCAAAGCATTCAAGAGGTGACTTGGTGCTGTTAAACGCATTCATTTGTAAAAGGAAAACAGAGCATAAAAGTTTGGAAAATTTGCAGCCTGACAATGCAGTAGAAAAGAAAATCCCATTTTCTGAGGAGAAATTCAAGCTGGCTGCAGAAATTTGCATAAGTGATGAGGAAGCAGATGTTAATCCCCAAGACAATGAGGAAAGTGTCTCCAGGGCATGTCAGAGGTCTTCACAGCAGCCCCTCTCATCACAGGCTCAAAGGCCTAGGAGGAAAAAGTGGTTTTGTGGGCCAGACCCAAGGTTCCTGTACTGTTTGTAGCCTAAGGACTTGGTACCTGCATCCCAGCTGCTGCAGCTGTGACTAAAAGGGGCCAAGGTACAGCTCAGGCCATGGTTTCAGAGGGTGCAATCCCCAAGCCTTGGCAACTTCCAAGTGGTGTTGAGCCTGCAAGTGCACAGAAGTCAAGAACTGAGGTTTGGAAACCTCTGCCTAGATTTCAGAGGTTTTGAAATGTAAGGACATGAGATTCGGGAGGGGCCAGGGGCAGAATGATATGGTTTGGCTGTGTCCCCACTCAAATCTCATCTTGAATTCCCACATGTTGTAAGAGGGACCTAGGGGGAGGTAGTTGAATCACAGAGGCAAGTCTTTGCCATGCTGTTCTCCTGATAGTGAATAAGTCTCACCAGATCTGATGGTTTTAAAAAGAAGAGTTCTGGCTGGGTACAGTGGCTCACGCCTGTAATCCCAGCACTTTGGGAGGCCGAGGCAGGTGGATTACGAGGTCAGGAGATGGAGACCAGCCTGGCCAACATGGTGAAACCCTGTCTCTACTAAAAACACAAAAAATCAGCTGGGCATGGTGGCACGTGCCTGTAGTCCCAGCTACTCAGCAGGCTGAAGCAGGAGAATTGCTTAAACCTGGGAGATGGAGGTTGCAGTGAGCCAAGATTGCACCACTGCACTCCAGCCTGGGCAACAGAGCAAGGCTCTGTCTCAAAAAAAAAACAAAAAAAAAAACAGAGGAGTTCCTCTTCATGAGCTCTCTCTCTTTGCCTGCTGCCATCCATGTAAGATGTGACTTGCTTCTGCTTGCCTTCCACCATGATTGTGAGGCTTCCCCAGCCACGTGGAACCATAAGTCCAATTAAACCTCTTTCTTTTGTAAATTGCCCAGTCTTGGGTAAGTCTTATTCGTAGCATGAAAGCAAACTAATACAGACCCCAAATTTGCTGGCACCTTGATCTTGGACTTCCAGCCTCCAGAAATGTGAGAAATAAATTTCTGTTGTTTATAAGCACCCAGTCTACTGCATTTGTTATAGCAGCCCAAAATAACTAAGACATCTACCAAAGAGAAAAAAAGCATATTGGCATCTTCTTTATAATACATGACACTAGAAAACAATGGAGTGATGTCTTCTAAATTCTGAAGGAAATTATTTTGAGCCTAGAATTCCTGCTTCAGCAAAACTAGTATTCACGTGTGTGGGGAAAGGCAATTTTTGAACACATAAGATCTCAGTTTACAACTTATGAATTCTTTCTAAATGAATTATTGAAAGCTATAGTAAACTGAGAAATTGGTTTTAAAAAAAGAAGTGTAATTCGAGGAAAAAATAGATACTAATAGGAATTTTAATTAAAATTAAATAATTATTGATAATATGGCTATATGACTCTATAATTTTTTAAAAAGATAAGCATGCCATAAAATATTTCATAATAATTAGAACTTAAAATTCAAAGCAATTTCAATGAAACTAGGAAAAGAGAAAGAGAAAGTAAGTGAGAGGATTTTCCCTTATTCTGGGGGGGAGTGAGATTTTAAATACAGAATAAATATCAATTCTGAGAAAAATGTGAGTTTAAATATATTTATTAAAAACCTAACAATAACTACTGGAACAGTAAAAATAAGATTTGTAACTTTCAAATACCAGGTGAAAAAAGAAAACCTTATCATCAAAAGAGAAGAACAGCTACCCAAAACAACACAAAATAGAAAACAAGCAAAACCAAACCAAGACAAAAAAGCCTTACAAAGAGAAAACACAAAATGAGAAAGCAAAAATAAGATTGATTGATATAACAAATACAGCACTTTCAAGTCCTAGGGACTGTTCAGAGCGCTTTACAAATATTAGCTGATTTAATCAAACATACAATTACCTCAATAAATGTGAATAGGTTAAATTCCTCAATTAAGAAAACCAGATTCTGATGTCTTAAGTTGTGTTAAAACAAGACAAGAGAGAAAGCAAGAGAAATAATGTCTTTAAACAAAATGACTAAAGTTTGTTAAAACAAAAAGCCAGGAAAATTACACCAAAATAAAACAAAGTAGCAGGGATGGCAGTATTACTATTGAACAAACTAAAATTCAAATCAAACAGGATTAAATGGAATTTTTAAAAATTACATGTATGTAAATATATGTCACTATATGTCATTATATTTCATATTTTTAAAATATAAAAATTTAAATATAATATTTTAATTTTTAAAATACAAAATATAATAATAAATCTGTAAATTTGTAAAAAGCTTTAAGAGCACTAACCTATGAGCCTTAGGATAATATCAAACATGTTTATTCAAAACTATTAGAAATGTCAGGATTTGAATTGATTCATGGAGTTGCAAAGGGAAGGAGACATTTTTGGCAAAAAGAAATTACCCTACCTGGTCAGCGAAGCCACTAGTGAGGCCACTTTGACTAACACTGAGGGTCTGTGGAGGAGGCTAAGGAAGAAATAAGATTAGAAAGGTGGAGCAGGTCTAGCTTTTACTTCCAGGAAAGGTGATGAGGATCAAGGGAGAGATGTGATTACAGGTGTCCTTTAGAAAGGTAAATCAGGGCTGGGCACAGTGGCTCACGCCTGTAATCCCAGCACTTTGGGAGGCTGAGGCGGGTGGATCACGAGGTCAGGAGTTCAAGACCAGTCTAACCAAGATGGTGAAACCCGGTCTCTACTAAAAATACAAAAATTAGCCTGGCGGCGGGGTGGGTGCCTGCAATCCCAGCTACTAGGAAGGCTGAGGCAGAGAATTGCTTGGACCCTGGAGGCAGAAGTTGCAGTGAGCTGAGATCATGCCACTGCACTCCAGCCTGGGCAACAAAGTGAGACTTCATCTCAAAGTGAGACGTGAGACTCACTTCACAAAGTGAGACTTCATCTCAAAAAAAAAAAAAAAAAAAAAGAAAAGAAAAGAAAGATAAATCAGGCAGCAGCATGCAAAACTGGCTGGAGAAGAAATGGAGTATTGGCAACACAGGCAGAAGTGCATATTCACTATTAGTAAATCAGTAGTACATTTCCACATTACCCTTATGCTCTTAGTCTATCAGAAAGAAGTATTTGGAAGTTGAGTTCAATAATATGAAAGTCTTCTGAAAATTGAGGTGCTTTAAATATGTAATATTAATATTAATTATTCTCATTCATTCTATAGTATTATATTTAAATACTTAAAGTCTCTAAATCATGATCATAAATTGGTATCTACAATCCTTATCCTGTAGGTAATTGAAAGCTTTGAAGAACTTGATCAAAGTGAATTCTTTCACCAAAGATCTAAGAATAGCCAGAAGATGTTCAATTACAGAGGCAGTCCAGGCATATCTGCTTTTCCTCCCCTTTCTCTCTTTGCACTGTATCCCCCTCTACCCTATACGGAGAGTTTGGATATGGAAATTTTGGAAGGGTCCTATTAGCTACAAGGACATAGCCTCCTATGGGAGAATCTGTCTTTTTCAGATATGAAATCAGTTTTATAATTTTAAGGAAATTTTTGATACCTACATTTTTAAGGAAATGTCATTCTTGACTCTGCTTAGGCTATGCACAGGAGCAGGCCGGCGGAGAACAGATTTTCCTCGTTTTAGGAACTGTTGTTAGTAATGCACTCTCCCAATCACCTGCATCAATGAAGGGGAGCCAAAATGGAAATAATCCCAATGGTAGATCATCCAAAAACATATGGCTGTTTAGTTTGGAAGTACATTCAATTACTTTTTCTTGCAGCTAGGTCTTTCTAAATCTGTATTCCCTGGTTATTGCTAAAGTAATTTGCTATCCCTGACCACACACTAATTCATAATGGGAAGAATGGCCCAGGTGGGCTGGTTGGCAATGGTGCATCAGCCTGAGATTAACCATTTGCCACAGATAATTACAAATGAGTAATTCAGAGCCAGATAACTGAGAATTCTTATATACTATATGTTTTGTCTCAGGAGGCCAACTGTAAAATTCCTGTGATTTCTATGATTCTATGTGCATGTGTGTGTGTGTGTAAGAGAGAGAGAGAAATTAAGAAGAATTTATGATAATTTTATGGTAATCCTTTAGCACTAAAAGAGAATTAATAAGGCCTTGCTTTTAGGAATTGAAGTAACATCTTTAGCTGCTTTCTAACTTTGAAAATGTGAGGATTTTGATTTTTTTAAAAAAAAATCAACCATAATCTTTAAGTAAATGACTTTAATGTCACATACCAGAAAGGGAACATATAAAGATGAAGCTTATCATTTCTCAACTAGTTTCATCAAGAATTATAATTTTCAATGGGTAAACTTTGAGAGAAATTATACTATTAATCGTTAAACTCAAGAGTTTTATCAAAGCCTCAAACATTATCACTGGCAACAAAAGACTGAATATAAACATAGTTAATTATTTCTCTGGCTTTACCAAATACCATTGTGAGGTACTGAAGATACCTATTAAGATAGACATAATTATTATTGAAGGATATGATTTATTTATATATTTTCCATAATACCTATAAAATAAATAAGTTAGAGGAAATCATAATCAAAATGTGTATTAAAATAACATTGTCAATAGCTATTGATATTTGGCAATAGCAGTCAATAAATTAAATAATTACAAGCTTGTCAAAATTTTGTATTGGAGATGATTGTCCTTTACCCAACTATCATTTCCTTGATGCCCATACCCCTTCTTAGAGAGCATACCTGGCACTGCCTGGAAAGAGCACTAGAACACTGTGTCCTTGCCTATCTGAGAGTGTGAGCCCATCACACTGAAGCTGAGCCCATCACATTCTCTCTCCTGGTTTTGGATGTGCAGACTAGAAACACCATTTGTAATCAGAGGTGGGTGCTGCTCTTTTAGGAGCACTGGTAATGGGAATTTTTCCAAAGACAAAAGAATGAAACAGGTGCAGCAGAGACAAGGAACCAGGGGCCAGAGGGACAGGAAGAAGAGGAAAGTGAGAGTAAAAGAATTTTACTGATAACCTTCTGGTTCTATAAAATTTTTTAGTTCTTGCTAAAACTGGACACCTTGAGATGCTGTATCCTTACAATAAACTTCTCTGTAATTAGCCGAGCTTAAGTGGATTTCTTCTGGCAACTATGCATATGAAACTGCTCAACCACTATGTTAATTTTCAAGTCTTCTAAAGATGGTAACAACTTAAATTTCCCTGCCAGAATTTTGGAGAGAGGCAAGCAAATCTGACATCAGAAATGTAGTTGTCTCACTTTTGGTTTAAATCCTGAATCAGTTTAGGGAAGCAGTGGGTGAAGATTATTTTTAAACAGCCCACAGTCAACTTATCCTACTCAAAAGTATGACCAAAACACTGAGGAGGCAGAAGAGATAAAGAATTTTTATTTTCTGATAAGTAGTGGTTATTTTGACATAAAATAATTATTATATGAAAGTCCTTTGAACCACTGTGACTTGGATTGACAATTAGAGAAAGAGAGAGAGTGAGAGTGAGAATAGAGTGAGTGTACATGTGGCCTACTGCATGAAAGGTAAATCAGCAGATTCTTGAATCAACCATCTATTCTATTTCTATAATTATGTATTGGTTTAAAAAAGACTCCTTCTTAGTAAAGGCAAGTGTTGACTAAGTTATGTGTGTCACAGTAAAAGCCATACACCTTCTTTTTGGCCTGTTAAAACAAGGTTTAAGGAAAATGAGGAATAGTTCAAGCCAAGAACATCTGAGCAAATAATCAAATAAGAAAAACAATTAAAAGTTTGGGATGATATTAACAAACTGACAAAAAAACACTGAGATAAGAATCTTGGGGGGAAATAGAAAGCACAGTAAAAAAATAAATAAATGGGGCAAGAGTTAAGATGTGAAAAGACTCAGAAGACCTTCATTCTTACAGTAACACAAGAAAAGTCATAATATAAAATTATACTTACATATGAGACAATAGAAAAGTGGTGGACAAAAGAAAACCTTGACAAACTAATTTTTAATAGATCAAAACCTTTCATGGGTCAGCAGAAAGTGACAACATCCTCTAGGGTAAGTTCTATGTCTAGATATAGGCAGGCAGATGAGAAGACGTGCCATAAACTTGATAAGTGTATCAGGTAAGAAGAGGCCAGCTGATCTATTGGCAATGGTAAAGGAAGGCAGGATGGACTGAGGTATGGAAGACCCCTTAAATGCAGCATTTTTTCTTGGCATAATAATTCTCCCCATTCTCTTCCACAATTTGTTGAGAAAAGCTGGGCATGCTGTATTAGATAATAAGAACTCAGGTAAATAGTTTGTTAATTTTAGAGTTTATGGTAATCTAGCTAGAAATTAGACTTTTTAATGTTTGATGTAGCTATAGATGCCAGAAGCTTCAAATTCCTCTGGCATCTTTGTTTTCGTCTCCCTTTTTGACTTTCAGCTTCCCTAGGTATTCCTCCTCAAAAAGAGTTGTGTTGTACAGCTCTTTCAGCTGTAATCCACTGTTATAATACTGGAGCCCCGCTGGTGTGGTGGTAAGCCATGGCGGATAAGGAGCATTCTATACTCTTCTAATTAAATCTCTGTGTTTTATTGGGCCTGTGTCTTTTACAAGTTTTTCTCCAGTGGTAAAGACCTTTTTCCCTCTCTTGCCTCCACTCCTATCCCTGACTGCTCCAATCCCAATATATTTTCTTAAAGCCTTGACCCTTGTTGACTATGTCTTTCCTCCTTACATGAGACAGGAAGACTGGAGGGAGCTTCAGTGGGAAGAATATCCTTCCCCCAATTGGGATAAAGTTCTGAAAGATTCTTTCCCCATGGAGCATAGGCCATTGTTAGGGAGAGGTCTCTGGGTATATTTCCCATTGGGATATTTCTGGGTATATTTCTCACTCTTCCTCTTCTCTTCCAGAGCTACCAGGGGATCTTCCTTCGCCCTTCACTGTGAGAACCTGCTGAGGTCCCTGAAAATACAGTCCGTGAAAGTGCAGGGGCCACCTGAGACTGTGATTCCCAGGAGTTTCTCATTCAAGTCCATACTCAGCCTCCAACAAAATTTATCAAATTTACTGTGTAAAGGTTCTGTCTACTTTATGGCTTGAGTACCTTCTGCTTCAGGTAAGAAGCTCTTGGCTATGTTTCTCTGGATGAACCTGTCTCCCAGATTTTGGGGAGAAGGGTTGCCCTATAACCTCAGTTCTCTGATGTGTCCAATAAGAGTCATTGATTTTCAGTTTTCCAGCTTCTTCTTGCTGTAAGGATGAGAGTGATGATTCAGGCTGTTAACACGTCAGAACTAAAACTGGAAATCACATTTATATATTTTCATCCAACAAC
This sequence comes from Homo sapiens, assembly GCF_000001405.40. Classification (NCBI taxonomy): domain Eukaryota; kingdom Metazoa; phylum Chordata; class Mammalia; order Primates; family Hominidae; genus Homo; species Homo sapiens. The sequence goes on along the minus strand of NC_000002.12, from coordinate 200,010,471 downwards.
TACAAAATACACTTTCATTTCTAGTACACATGGAAGATAGACCATGGCAGTACATTTAAAGGATTGAAATAATACAGAGTATTTTCTATGATCAAAATAGAATTAAGTTAGAAATCAATAATAAAAATTGATACATGAAAAATCTACAGTATTTGGAAACTAACACTAACTTCTGAATAACCCATAAGTCAAAGAAGAATCAAAGGGAAATGAGAAAATGTTCATGAAATTAAAATGACACAACAACATATCAAAATGCATGGAATAAAACAAAAGTAGGGCTAAGGGAGTGTATTAGTTAACTACTATTGTATAATAACTTTGCCAAAAATATAGCTATTTAAAACAATATATAGTTATTATCTCACAGTTTCTGTGGGTCAGCAGTGTGGGCATGACATAGCTGGCCTCTGCTCCAGGGTGTCACAAAGCAGCAATTAAGGTGTTAGCCATGGCTGCTGTCTCAGCTAAAGACTTGACTGGAGAAGAATTTACTTCCAAACTCATGCAGTTTTTAGCAGGATTCAGGTCCTTCCCATAAAGAAAACTCAAGGCCCAGATGGCTTAACTGGTAAATTATATCTTTAAAGGGGAAATAATGCCAATCTTACATAAGTCCTTTCAGAAAATAGATGAGAAAACAATACTTCCCAACTTTGTTGTGAAGCCAGAATAACCCTAAAACCAAAACTGGCAAGTACATTACAAGAAAAGAAGTAACAGAGAAGTAAGTTTTAACAAAATATTAACACTATAACTCTAGCAATGTGCACATAGGGTAATACAGCACAACCAAGTGGGGTTTATCCCAGGGATTCAAGGTCAATTTAATGTAAAAGTGTAACTCGTCGTGAGGTGTGGTGGTTCATGCCTGTACTCCCAGCACTTTTGGAGGCCAAGGCAGGAGGGTTGCTTGAGCCCAGGAGTTTGAGATCAGCTTGGGCAACATAGGGAGATCCTATCTCTACAAATAATTTAAAATTAGCTGAGCATGGTGGCACACACCTGTAGTCTCAGCTACTCGGGATGCTGAGGCAGGAGGAACACTTGAGCCCAGGAGTTCAAGGCTGCAGTGAGCCGTGATCTCACTACTGCACTCCAGCCTGGGCGACAGACCAAGACTCTGTCTCAAAAAAAAAAAAAAAGTTCATCACATTAACAGAATAAAGGAGAATCACCATGTAACCTTCTTCATAGATATAGAACAATAATTTAACAAAATTCAACTCCTTTGTAGTAAAATCTCTCCGGAAATATAAATAGAAGGAAACTTTAATAATCTGACATGAAAACTCTATGGCTACAAAAGACTTAATAGTGAAATTTTGGATACTATCCTTCTAAGTTCAGAAATAACAAAAAACAGTTTGTTCTTATCACTTGCATTCAGCATTGCACTGGAAGTCCCAGCCAATACTACAACATGGCAAGAGAATAAAATAAAATGCATAAATATTGGGAACGAATAAGTAAAACTCTTTATTCACAAATGATATGATTATATACCTAGAAAATGCAAAAGAATCTACAAAACTCTTCTAGGTCTCACAAGCGAAGTCAGCAACAAACAACTGGAAGATAACATTTTTTAAATGATGGATAGTAGCAATCAAGAAACATAAAATACCTAGGAATAAATTTAATGACAGATACACGTTTGCTAGACTGACGACTATAAAACATTGGTGAGAGAAAGAAAATCTAAATAAATGGAGAGCCATACCATTTTCACAGATTGAAAGATTCAATATTGTGAAGATATCAATTATCCCTTGTAGTAGTTTCTTATGGTTGTTTAATAATTTACCAAAAGTTTAGTCAGTTGAAATAATACAAACTCCTTATTTTACAGCTCGGTAGATCAGGGAGTCAGATGTGGGTCTCACTGGGCTAACATAAAGGTGTCAAGACTCTATTCCTTCTGGAGGCTCTGGGGAAGAATCCATTTCCTTGTCTTTTCCATCTTCTAGAGGCCACCCACTCTCCTTGGCTCATGGCCTCTTCCTCTGTTTTGAAACGTCAACAACAGCATGTCAAGTTTTTTTTGTATTGCATCATTCTGACTTCTTTTTCTGCACCCCTTTTCCATAGCTAAGGACTGCTGTGATCACACTGGCCCCATCCAGATAAGCCGGGATAGCCTCCCTATTTTAAGGTTAATTGGGTGGCAAACTTAACTACATCTGCAACCTTAATTTCCCTTTGCCACATAGCCTAACTTATTTACAAGTTCCAAGGATTAGAATATGAACGTCTTTGGCAGGGGGTGAGGGGAAGGGAAAAATTATTCTGCCTGCCATTTTCCTCAAATGATCTGTAAATTCAATACAATTCCAACAAAATACTGGCATATCCTTTTGTAGAAATTGACATGCTGATACTAAAATGTACGATGAATACTAAACAACTTAGAACACTTGACCCTTGTGCAACATGAGGGTTAGGGGCACCAACCCCCATGCACTTAAAAATTTGCATATAACTTTTGACTCTCAAAAAATTTAACTACTAACTGGAAGCCTTACTGATAATAGTCAATTAACACTTATTTTGTTTGTTATATGTACTATAAGAAACTGTATTCTTACAATAAAGTAAGCTAGAGAAAAAATGCTATTAAGAAAATCATAAGGAAGAGGTAATACATTTACAGTACACATGGTATTTATTGATACTGTAAGTTTGCATTGTCTGTTTACAGGATTGATTGTCTGTCTGAAATAGTGGGTGACCATAGCTGCAGACCTCAATCTATGGTACATATCAAGCAATTCGACTTTCTATTGTAGTGTGATAATTTTTCTCTGCTTCTTGGGAGTGCTTCCAGCATCACTAGTGGCACTTTGTATGGGTCCCATGGTGTTACTCAAGGTCTATGCTGTTGCACTTAACTCATTGAAAAATATGCAAGAACTGAGAGAAATCACTTTCCACTGCAATTTGCAATATACTGAAGAGACAAACTGCTCATGTGGAGATGATTAGCATCACATGGCATTTTAAGCAGATACTTGCAACATTTGAGCTCATGGAAATAGCAACAGGAGGTAGCTATGAAATTATGACAGTAGTACAATATGTACAACAGTGAATTTTATGTAGTTGTGATTCAATACTGCATCTTTACATTTGTGTACATTTCTCTGGACTGTGAGTGGCACCATCTATGATCTGTAAATGCTTATATGCATAAGTTTTGATAAATTCTAACTTTCTAGAAAAGATCTATGTGTATTTTATGGTAGTAAAGGATAAAATAGGTTAGTATCTATGTATGTTTTATGCCTTCATGACATATCTAACTTTTTCTTAATTTGGGGGGTATTTCTAGGCTACGTGGTTCTTTTGTAAGTTTTTTCAAATTGTCACAAATCTCCAAAAAAATTTTCAATGTATTTATTGAAAACAAATTCATGTTTAGGTGTACCTGTGCAGTTTAAATCCATGTTGTTCAAGCATCAAAGGTACTAAACAATCTTGAAAAGGGTAACCAAATCTGGCAGGCATACACTACCTAATTGCAATATTGTCAATAAAGCCACAGTGATTAAGAGAATGTAATACTGGTATCAGAATAGACTAATAGATCAATAACAAATGGTGCTGGAACATTTGGATATCCATATGGGAAAAAGAAGGACCATGATGAATACCTTACATTCCCAAAAATTAACTCAAGATGGATTGCACACTTAAACTTAAAAGCTATACTATAAAGTCCCTAAAAGAAGACACAGGAAAATATCTTTGTGACCTTGTGATAGGCAAAGTTGTCTTAAAATGTGAGAAGACCTAATTCTAAAGGAAAAAAATTGATAAACTAATAAACTGGATACAATTTTTAAATTCTGCTTATCAAAAGACACTATAAAGAAAATGAAATCTGAATAATAAACTTGGAGAAATATTTGCAATACATGTATCTAACCATCATGAGTGCATGTTGCATCACCGAGACCCCTCTCTGAGACTAGAGGATTATGTAATGAGCTGCTTAGAAAATTGTTGGCTGACAGCTCTCAGTTGACAACTCTCTTCAAGAATTGCCTAGGCTGAAGATGTCACACCTCCTTTTGGGGGTAGTCCACATCTAATATCTTACTGACTCAGGAGTGTAAATGTTTGGTCCTGCACTGCAACTTAGGAAAATTCTGAAGGCCCACCAGGTTCAGAATTTCCTATGTTGTGACTACACAGGTGGCCAGTTTCTCCCTTTAACAATCTTCCTTTTTCCTACGGATGTTGATCCCAAGAGCACTCCCTAATACTTCTCATACATTTGCCTCTCCATCTGCTTCCTAAGAAACCCATTCTGAGAAGCATTGACAAAAAACATGTGTCCCTGATAGATAAGTTACTCCTACAAATCAATAATTTTAAAGTAAAACAACCAAAGTTTTAAAATGGGCAAAATACTTAAATAAATACTTCACAATAAGGGATATACAAATGGTTAATAAACTCATGAAAAGATTGTCAAGATTATTAATCAACAAGGAAATGCAAATCAAAACTACAATGAGAATACCCACACACCCATTAGAATAACTGAAAAATAAAAGTATTAACAATACCAAGTGTGGGAGATAACATGGAGCAACTGGATCTTTCATACATGGCTAATGGGATTGTGAATTGATGCAATCACTTTGGAAAACTACTTGAATGTTTTACAATGTTCACAATATACCTACCTCATAATCCAGCAATTCCACACTTAGATATTTACCTACAAGAAATGAAAACATTTATCCATGAAAAGATTTAAACAAGAATGTTCATTACTGCTTCACTTATTAATTTAAAAATAACAAAATTAACCATCAACAAAAGGATAGATAAAGAAATTGTGGCATTTTCATGCAATGGAATACCACATAGCAATAAAAAGAAGGAACTACTGATAGATGCAACAACATGAATGAATCTCAAAAACACTCTGTTAAGTGAAAGACGCTAGACTCCCCAGAATGACATACTGTGTGTTCAGTAACAGGGGAAATTAACATATGAAGGTAGAAATCAGAGCAGTGATTTCCTGAAGAGGAGGGGCTATAGACCTTGAAGAGAACTTTCCAGGGTAAGAATTTTCTAGGGTGATGGCAATGTTCTATAACTTAATTGGAATATTGATTTACAGGGTCATATATTTGTCAAAATTCATCAAACCGTACACTTGAGATCTGTGCAGTTTACTATGAGAGGGAAGATACTGTTTGACAAAAGAATGTAAACAGAAAACTGCTAATAAAACATCAGTAAGACAAGAGAATAGTGGTGGGAGACATTCAGAGAAACATGCTCTGTTTCTTGGCCAGTTCCAAGGCTCCTAACATATCTGCTTTCCCTGGAGAGCCTGTTAATAGATACTTGCTATGAAATTCAAGCACACATGAAAATTCAGAACGTGTTCATCTTTATCAACGGTAATAGTTTTGAGGGCAAAACATGCAGTCAAGTGTAGTGCTGCACTTAGAAGTGCCTACCCAGCCACAAAATGCAGGGTTGAAGCCCAGCTCTGCCTCTGTTTATGAGATCTAGACCAGTTAGTTATCCTCTCATCTGTAAAATGGGGATAATGATAATAATTGCATCCACTTAGTGGGGCCACCTTGAGGATTAAATGACTTAACACATGCAAGCCTCCTAAAAAGTGTTTGCCATATAATAAGTGCTTGATAACTGTTAATATCGTATGAATTCTAAAGTGCATCCTCCTGCATGGATTTGCTATTGTGCAAGTTTAAAGATATCGAAGCAGAAAAGGATATATAGATCTTTGAAAACTTGAATCTGCTTGTATATTTCTCTGAAAATGTCACTGGCACTGTTGTGGCAACCCAGCAGTGATGGTTTCTATTCAGGGAAGAGGCAGTTCTGAATTCAATAAGGTTTTTTGCAGAGAATCAAGAGGCTGTGGGTTCTGGTCAAGATTTCACTGTAGTGTCTACCAAAGTGGGGTGGTAAAGGACCTATTGTGGCTAAAATCATTTCTTCCCACACCAATGATTACAAAGTTAACAGCTACAGTTAACTGGCTGTAGCTGCAACTGTGGCTGCTTGCTTTCTTCAAATTATGTAAACTACAACCAGCCAGAATACTAGTGAAATATTGAATAGTACTTTTGCTTTTATTGGTTTATCCTTTATTCAATCAAAGTCTGTGAACATCTTCATTTCACTTCAGATTTTAGCAAAGATATCCATTAATTAGACCTCAAAATAACTACATTTCTACAAACTAAATTGAGTTAGCCAGCTTATATTATCGGCAATAGTTTTTTAGTCTGAAATAAATATATGGTACCATCCCAAAAATCTGATGTAGTTTTCTTGAAAAAATTTCAATTTCCTAGTAGTATACAGCAATCCAGAGATGTTACTTACTGATATAGAGCTGCTGTATAATGTATCTTATTGAATCAGAATTATTTCCCAGTTGATTATTGGATGCATAAATCCAACCAAAATTATCACCTATCAACCTGAAAACATTAAACTTACAAAGCCAAATGGATCATCTGGCAAATCATAAATATGGCCATGGCATCCAAGTACACATCAGCACTCTGTTGTCTTGAGTCTAGACTTGGGGGAAACATTAACTCTTTCAGGTGGCCAGTAGAGTAGGGCAGCTGCATTCTCCTAGAAACAACTCCATATAATTAGGTTTAGGAAGCCAAACTGCCCTTCACATCTGAAAAGGCACCCTTCCAAGCAGTACATAGCAAAAAGTCTCCTTCAGTTTTCCTGTCCTCTCTCCCCAGGAGCCAGTGACCTCCAGAACTGCAGACAAAGCAGCTTTTGCTGCATTTAAAACAAACAAATAGCACAGGAAGGTGACTCAGTGTGATCAAGAGAATATTAGGCTGTTCTCACTGATCATAAGAATGTAAAGTTGAAACCTCATTAATATGCTGTTCCTGCTTTCCTCCTGAGAGAAAGTTGAATCTGGCGTTACCAGAAGGCAGAGCCATTTCAGGGTGAAGCAAAGTGGGCTTTTGTTTCATTTTGTTTTTGTTTTAGAGTGGCTTGTTGAGTCCTCTATCATTCCTCTCCTCTCTATGCCCTATTGTGATTTTCTGTCCTGTACATACACTTACATAGAGAGTAACCAAACATCTTATGTATTTCTAGACACTTCTTTCAAATATGTTATTTCCTCCATAAGCATACTCATATCTATCAGATCATGTTGCCTACTTTTTAATTTGAAAACCAAGGTCACCAAGATGCCCATGATGAAAACACTGCCCCATTCTATACTGAGTGTCTGTCTTCATTCCCTTATCATTAAGCGTGGCAGACATTTTGCTACATTGGTATTCTCTGCCATTGTCTGCATGTTAGTTAACATTCTTTTGGTTCCAAGTGTTAGAAACAGTCTGGCTAAGTTAAGTTAAAAAGGTAACTTATTGAAAGGACGCAGAGGCAGCTCCCAAATCTGGGGATGAGGGGAACAGCCAAGTCTGCTGGCTGAAACCTCAGCAGCAGGAATCCGTGGACTTTCTCTCTAGAGTGCTGCCTTTGATGTGCTTCAGCTCCGAGTAATCCCATCTTTGTGAGTCTTGGTTCAAAATTCCAAATTGGAGATTCCAGAGAGAATCTGATTTGCTCAGCTCAGAACAGGTGTTCACCGCTGTGTCAATCGGCTAGTGACAGAGGTGAAACCCCCTCAGTAAGATATGGCTGCTGAGGATCTCTCCTTTGCCTGTCTGGGGCAGGTCCCCTTCAAGCAAAGTGACACCAACAGGCATTTAAGCTCAGGAACCCCTCTTTGTATATTGCTTTGAATAGAACCATGCCTCGAAGCATTTCTTTAATACTTTGCCATAATACTTCCAACAATGGTTAGGAGTATTGTCTCTTCATCCCAAAAGAAAGGCATGTTTTTAAGTCTAAATATTCCCATGGCTTTGAAAACATCATTTGGCTCATCTTGAAGTGGTAGAGAGAGTGCTGGGCTAACAATGGGTTACAATAGACCTACTGAGCATGCCTGACCAAGTTTTGAAAAAGAAAACTTCCATAATCAAGTAAGATACATCCATCTACCAAAAAACATAATTTAGGGTGGAAGAAAGAAGGGCTCTTTTAAAATGCCAACCGGTTAGTTTATGGCCTGTATCAGTGCTGCAGTGATGGAAAAGGAAGGTGTCAAAAAAGTAAAATAGCTGATTTACTATCTACAAAAGATTAACAGCTTGCTAGGCCTGGGTGAGTATGGAAGTAGCAGCGAGTGAAATGTTCCCATTGGAGACACACTGATGAAAAGGAGCTGGGTGAGCAGATTGACCAGCTTCTTTTTGTGGTGAGGAAAAAGTTGCCATCCATCATGATTGAACTCTTCATTCTAGGGAAGTGTTTGGAAATCCAGATTGTTTAAGGTTCATTTCCACAAACTGAGATAAACAAATTATTCTGGGACTAAATAATAAGCAAATTCCTACTTTCTGTCTAAATGAGGGATATCACTGACCATCAGTCTCCTTTGAGGATTTATTCAAGTCGCCCTTTTTGGAGTAGGTGACACCAACATGCCCAGGAGGCTATAGTTTGGTAAAGGCAAGCCTCAGTAGAGTTGATACGGCCAAACTGTGGGTCAAACCAAGGAAACAAGATGTTGGCTGGGACTGGAGGCAAGCCAGTTTCAGAGCCAGAGTTACATTTTCTGGGCCATCTGTCCGAATGCTGGGAGAGGACATCTGGGAATTGCAGCTTCTTCTGGTTGGAAGCAAGAGGTTGAGAATCGGCATCTGGGACAACACCACCATTCAACCCTCCCAACCAAGCCTAAGCCCAGAGCTGGAGCGTGAGGCACTGAGCATAGGACAGTGTTTCCATATGTTCGGAACCCAAGGCCATTGACTGGAATAATCTGAGGAAGTCATAAATACGTAGATAAATTCTAGCACATGTCAAAATAAAAACTAATAAGCAAATGTTTTTCTAAAGTCATGAAAAAGAAAATCACATTCTTTATTAGTGTGCTGTCAAAACCTGTCAGTCTTATCTGGTTTTTAAGCATATAAGATACAGAATCTATTTTCCAATATCGAATCCATCTTTCTTTTACCAATGACCCTGGGCATGAGTTCATGTAATGGTTTAGTCTTGCTCATGTTTAACCTGCACTCCTCCGGCCTCTGAAAAAATTCTATCCTGATAAGCTTGTATTAGGGCAGTGCTTCTAAACCCTATCAGACCTAATGTCCCCTTTTAGAGCACATATTGTACAATACCTTCTTTATTATCTTGAGATTAAAATCACAGATGATATATCTTACCTTCAAACATAATGTTTTAAAAATCAATATAATGCCATAACTGTAATTTAAATAAGAAATAAAAGGAACATAATGTATAATAAAATAACATATCAATATGGAGAAGCTCAGACATGGCTTCATTAGAAGACAGAATGAAGAAGTCAGATGTTTGTGCCTCTATGTAGAGTTACTATGATTGCAACAGCTAAAAATGCCAACAGACAGAGGTGCAGTGTTGGCAGCTCAAGTGCCCCAAGCAATATCGTTGCCAGTGATACAATTTTCTGAAGTGGCTAACAACACTTGGTTAAGTTCCCAACAAAGCAAAGTATAATCTTCCCTCCACTCACATGGTAGTTGCACTCATGGAAAATTCAGTATATATTTAAACTGTACCCAAGATAGTCTGTGTTTATATAAAAATCGAGTTAGGCTTTAAGCTTAGATAATTGCAGACAGGTTTTTCACCTACATTGCTGTCTTCTGGGACATCTAAAAGTCATGGCAATCATGCATCAATTATTCACTGTGCAAGATCATCCAGCACATTGCAGTACATAGAGAATCCTTGACACTTACCTAACTGATGGCAATTACAGCCCTCAAACACTGTGAAAATCAAAATGTCTCCCCCATATTTCCAAGTGGCCCTTAAGGGAAGGTGTATCCCTGACAGCCACTGTATTAGGGCATCTTACTACAACTGAAAATATAAGGATCATTTAATTAGCCCTTTTTGCAGTATGAAGATACTATATTGTTGAAAACCAAAGTCATGCACCAAACTATACAGGCCAAACCTACCAGGTTGTAATCAAAAGCTCAGGATGGAAAGCGTTCACACATTTTAGGTTGCCTCATCCAGTAGAGAGATTACAAACATGGTATCAAATCCTAATCTGCCCTATACCTGTAACCTTCTAGAATACTATGTGTCTGCAGAATAAACATTTAGTATTAACTATCTGTGACTTATGTATTATCTAAGTGTTAAGCCCTTTTCTAATGTATCTTATATTTTGTCACAGGAACTCATATAAGACAATGGACTGTGAACTACTCCCAGGCAGTAGAACCATATCCTAATCAAGAACATTTGCTGCCTCCAGGCAAGGGGGTCTTGGCAACATGTACCTAGTTAAATTTCAGAATTGCTATGACCCAGTGACTTCTCTTTGCCTCCTCTCTATAAATGAGAGTGTTGGTTTGGCTCATCCTTTCCCTATATCACATTGAAGGAAGGTATTTATAAGTGGGGAGAGGGGATGGCAATAACTTGTCTTTTTAGTTTATAGGTTTCCAGATCAAGAGGAGTTGCACTTGAAGAGTGAAACCTCATCTGCAGTTGGACCTGATTTGGAGAATGAAATCATGGCCATCAAGTCTGCTGCCATAATAAGATGAGATTTTTGATGGACCTGAAAAGACTGCAGTAGATTTGCAAGGGGGGAAAAAAAAAGAAATGAAAAGCCACAATTTCTTTGAATTTCCTCCCATTGCCATTTGGTCCTGTGACCTGCATTTGTCAATGGGACATTAGCAAATGTGATGCAAAGAGACATTTGAAACACGTGCACATTGGGGTTCAGAATTGCTGCTTGGAAACTATGCAAGCAAGCTTGAACTAGCCTCTTAGAGGAAAAGAAGATGTGGAAGCAGGCCACGGCCACCCATCCTGCCCTCAAGCGGATTGCAACCACATGAGTAAGCCTGGGTCAGACCAGCAGAACTGCCCATATGAGTACAGCCCAAAGGGCCAACTTACAGAATCATAAGCCAATCAATGATTATTTTAATCAGTACATTTTGGGGATTGGTTTGTTACACAGCATAAATTAACTGCTACCGTAACTCTACAGCACTTTAGGGATAGCAACCTCAGCACCATGAAGAGTCAGAGGGAAGTTCCTGGTGAGTCCTACAAAGACTCATTATCTGACTCACTGGAGATATCAAAGATACCAGCTTATGAGAAGGAACACTGGCGACTCTGATTACTGACTTATTTTATACATCCAACATTTGCACATAAAGTTTCCAATCTTGCTAAGTTATCAGTTTCTGAAACTGCCTGAGAAAAAGGTAACTGCATGGTCTACTACACCTACCTGACATTTTTAGGCAGTTTTTCTCACTTTAATTTTACCTTTGGCTTATGAAATCTTATATAATGGATCAGTTGTGCTCCATAAAAGCCTTGGAATTTTATCAAATTGCATGTTGTTAGTTGACCCCTGTGCATCTCTCTCCATTATCCTGGCCCACTGCAAGGAACGTGCGATTAAATGTCATTAACCAACCAGAACTAAAGAAGCTTCATAAATAGACATGCTAACCTTTGACCAAACGCAGTTCATAAACTCTTTCAGGAAAGAAATGCTGGAGATTTCTTATAGCATTTCTGTTTCTGAGTTAAATTGGGACTATGTGGAGTGGAAAGGGTACTAAACTCGGAGTTAAAAGGCCTAGCTTCTTGTTTAGATCCTTCCTTCTCTTTACTGGGAGATCTTGGAGTTATTTAACCTCACTAAGCCTTGGTTTTCTCATCTGCTAATGGAAATGATGAAGCCTTCCCTTCCCACCCTCACAGGGTAGATGTGATGAATACATAAAGTAAATCCTTTGTTTGCACATGTCAGCATCAGGTGCTGACTGGCCCACAGAGACCTTGCTTTTGAATATTTTTAATGATACTATTTCACCTATACACAGTACTGTAGGAGGAAAGTCATAGTGGCAGTGCTTACTGGAGAGAAGAGAACCCAGTCTGAAATGCTGTCAATGCAAAGCCCTCCAGTCCTTGGTGCTGACTGTTAAGAAGAGGCCTGGACCCTCCTGCTGTCTGGCCTCTGACCATGCTGTGGAAGGCCTTTCTGGCATGCGTGGCATTGACTCATTAGATCAGGACTGAAATCTCCATTGCTATGTCTGCAAGATGCACCTCTGCCAGAACGATCCCTGTGTTTCTTGCATACACACCCCTAATATTTGTGGGAGCCGGAGGACAAATGAAAATCCATATGCCTGATATCTAAATATTTAAAAGGATCAAGGAATCTAACAGAGCACTTAAATAAAATATATTATATCCTCATATCTTGACAAATACACTTCACACTGACCTTGAAGGCTAGTTTTGAATTTAGAACTCCTCAGACTTCTCAGAGTCCCTTTCCAGGATATAGTGGGCCTTTCTTTTCCATCCCGCAGTATGAGGGCCTCAAGATCTCACGTGTGGACACCCCTGTCTCCATGTCCAAGCTCCATCCACACTCCTCACAAGTGTCTGTTGTTTTGGCCACCGATCAGATTGAGGAGTACATTGGGGGAGCCTGTCCACACTCAGAAGGACAGACCTGTGCAGAGGCTCATGCAAGCCCTGAAAATTGGCTCAGGACATTTGGGCAGAGACTTCCGGGGTCTTGGCTACTGAGGCATGGTCTGGAAGGGGAGGCGTCCAGTGGCCAGGTTCCCTTGGTCCTGCAGATTCCTCAGCTATTACTGGAAACCCTGAGGCCTCTAGTTTTCAGGTCCACTACTCCTCTCTGTCCAACTTCAAAAGCAAGCCATGACCCGAGAAGAGAATGGGCTGGCAACCAAGGGTGACATTAAAAGATATTTTTAACCAGCATGGCATGAGTACCATCCAATCATCTAACCATTACACCAGCAAAAATAGACACGGATGATGAGAAATTGCTATGGCCATAGTTCTACTTAGAACTGGCATTGCTCTATATCTGACATTTATCCTTGGCCTTCTTCCCTCTCCCTGCTACCTTGGCAAGGCCCACACAACTGATATTCTGCTTCAGTTGATTTCCTGGGCTGGAACCCTTTCCTGATCCTTAGTGTCTTTGACTGGGGCAGGCTCTGATACTCTTCCAAGTTCTTCCCGTCTCCTTTCCCCAGGATGCTAAATCAAGAAGATGATCTTGATGCATAGTGTCATTACCTGCCTATGATAAAACTGCTGCCTGGATCCCACCGCTACCACCTACCCACTAGCAGGGGGACCATGGAATGCTGCGGTTATTCCTCCCCTTGACCCTGTGAGCATTGGACAGCTGTTGAGACATACAGATTGAGTTTGACAAGATGCAAACACAGAACAATAGGGAACAAGGGTGTGGCTTAAGCAGGATCCTGTACTTCTGGTATCTGCCCTATTTCCAGCCTTGCTGATTCCTGGCTTCAGGTTCTGTGACCAGAGGCTCTTCTTCATCCCATGCCTCCAGCCTGGAATTTCTGCATCTGGCATCTCCTGCTCCACTCTCTTTCCACCCTAGTTGTCTCACCTGGTTTGCTCTTTCCACTCTTCACTTCTAGCAGAAGCTCTTTCCTGACTTCCTTTTGGCCTGTGCTCCAGCACTGTCTCTCTCTGAGTACCCGGCTAGTCGTCTCCCATCCCAAGCTCAGCTGGCATTCCTGATACCCTCCATGGGGCAAACAGGCCCTGTTGTCCCAGGAAGTGTCACATAGACACCTTGGCCCTCGGTAGAAGTACAAACAGAGGCCCACATACCATATGTCTAAATATTTTAAAGTTATACATTAAGCCAACCAACTGTTAAATAAAACATGTCCTACTCTCCTACTTTGACAAATATACCTTCACAGTGTCCTGGAGGTCCAGATGGAAATTTTAATTTCTGGGACTCCTCAGAGTTTTATGCCAGAACATAGAGACAGTGAGAACCAGCCCCCAGTCTTTGGCCCCACCCTGCTGCACAACTTCCTTTTCTTTCTGACCTGAATTTGCCCAACATGGTGAGGGGCCTTGCAAGGACAAGTATGCACTTCCCAGCCTTCACAGCCAAACTCCACCCACATTCCCTGAAGAGAGCTGCTCCTGGCCCACCCTGTCCTCAGAGTGACCAGCCCTAGAAGTGGGCCTGAGGCTATCAGGACAGGGAATTCTGGGGTCTTGGGTACCTGGAATATGGTCTCAAAAGGAGGATGTGGGCTTTGGGGTGGGGATGCTCCCTCAAGCTTCAGGCCTATGGCAGGAGCTCCTCTTTCCCTGGCCTAAGGGCTGTTCTGAGAGAGAGAATGAAGAAATTTGGGTTTAGATAAGTCAAGTTGGAGGAGCTGGTGAGAAACCTGTGTGGAGATGTCCTGCAGGCCTTTGGAAATGTCCATGTAAAGTTTGACCAAAGAACTACGCACAGTAGAAACCTGAACATCACTGAGCTGGAGAAATGGGATTGCGTGGGCTTTCCCACACCAGCTGATGATGGTATAGAGTTGTTTAAAGGCAGCACAGCTTCTCAGTGCCCGAAATCACTGCTCCTCACAATGCAAAGGTTGTTGCCTCTCCCTGTCTTGGTAAGGATGTTTTAGTGAGACGTGGCTTTCCAGGGGTCATTAGGGACATGTGGAGGTGCCTAAGGTAGAGGTTGTATATAAGATAGATTAGAGTTGACAGTGAGTGCCAAAAGATATAAATGGCTTATAGTGGCAGTTCAGGCTGCAATCATGATGCTACAATCTCTAAGGATCCAGGCTCCCTGTATCTGAATAGTATTTTCCATCTATTCTGAATAATAATTTCCACCTCACTGTTCAAGGTAGTTGCTGAAGCTCCAGTCATCACTTCCACATTCCAGCCAGTGGGAAAGAAGAGCGAAATATACACCTCTCCCTTGTTAAAAGAAAAACTTCAGCCAAATTAAATTTAAAAGAATTTAATTGAGCAAAGAACAGTTCCTGAATTGGGCAGACTCCTGAGCCAGAGTAGGCTCAGAGACTCCAGTGCAGTGCAGCCACATGGTGGAGAAGATTTATAGACAGAAAAAGGAAAGTGATTTACAGAAAATAGAAGTACAGAAACAGCCAGATTGGTTACAGCTCAGAGTTTGCCTTATTTGAACATGGTTTGAACAGCTGACCACCTTTGATTGGCCAAAACTTGGTGATTGGCACAAGAGTAGGTTACATTCTGTTTACAACTTCATTTAGAGTACAGTTCACGATGTACAGAGAAACTTTTAGGCTGAACTTAAAATATGTAAGGAGGCACCCTTAGGCTAACCTTGATTTAATACCTCTTAAGGCCATTTCTCAGAAATTTTACATGGCAGTTCTATTTTCATCTCATTGTCTAGAACTTAGATACATGACCACACCCAACTGGAAGAGGCTGGGAAATACAGAGTTTATTTCAGCCAAGGAGAATCCACCCCCCACCCCGGACATTCCTAGCTAAATATTAGGGTTTCTATTACTAAAGAAGTAGATAATGGGAACTTAGGGACAATTATCTGGCTTTGCCACAGGTTGGAAGAGCAGAGATGACAGAAAGAATTGCCTTAGCAACATGCTGTTTCGCTTCTGATGCTCTGAAATCCTTGGTGGTATGGTCATCTTTAGGTCCTGGTCCTTCCACTGCTATTAGGAGGGTGTGGTCGAAGCCTCCCAGCTCCCTTAGTCCCATTTCTTTTTGGGTAAAGCCTGGAACAGCAGGCTACTATCTAGATGCTGGGTGACAGTCACGTCTTAATTTGTCCTTGCACAGCTCATCAAAGGCTATTTCTCTCTTTGAATAAGCTGTAGCTGTAGCCGTTATTATGCCCGGAAAGGCTGTGAAGTTCCATGGATCAGCAGTTTTGGTAGTTGACTCTGCCTGATCAGATGTAGAGCAAATCATAAACTATTCAACATGTAAACACTGGAGGATGTGCTCTGCATGGGTAATGCACATGAAGTTTGGTTTGGCTCAGTGGCTCCTGTGAGGGCTTTAACCCAGCCCAGCTGGGTGGAAGTGTGGTTTTAAAGCCTCTCAGCCCAATATGGTAAAGTTGGGGAGGGAGAGGATGTTGAAATGATGGGGGAAAGCAGACTTTAAGGGGTCTTTTTTTCATAGAGGAGTCTTCCCTATGAGATTCTGTTCTCTTCCTTCCTGAAGCCCCTCAAACTCAAGGACTTCTGTGGTGTCCATTGAGGAAAGTCTTTGGAATGCTGTCACACAACAGTCTAGGGAAGAAAAGATGGCATTGTGAATTCCTTGAAGAGGCAGCAAAGCCATCACTCCAGCCAAATCCTAGCACTAACTTGCCTCACCCACTATTTTACCAGAAGAACTTTCTAGTTGATCTGTTTTTTGACCTGTTACCACTCGCCGGAGGCCCAGGAAGGGAGAACACCATTCTGGCCAATCCATGGGATTTGGAGTCAGGCAGATCCAGGCTAAAATTCTGCATCTGCTATTTACTAGTTATGTAGTTTTAAGCACATTAACTTTCTGAGCCTCCATTTGCCTACCTGTAAAATTAAAGGGGGAGAAAACTACCTCACAGGATTTCTGTGAGGCTTAAGTAATATCATATGCATAAAATCCTAGTTCAGTTCCAGCCCTTCAGGCACACAAGCTATAATTTCCTTCCATCTCCTCTGCTGGGAACACTGAATCACAAGTAGGACGTGTCATTAAAACCTTATATCTAAGAATCCTTGCCCACCCCCAGTCCCCTTCTCTACTTTCCCTTCTCTTGCTGTTCCTGACTCTCTGGTAGAACCCTACCCTTATCCAATTCTGTTCTCAGCAGTTACAGGATGTCCTTTAACAGCTGCCTGACCCTCGTCAATTTCCCCCTTCCACAGAGAGACTTATGGAGGAAGTCTTTAATTTCTCTTACCACAAAAAATTGCTTGCTAGCTAAATGCTACCTCAGCCCAGATGACCTGGGCTTGGCCAGTCCAGGGTGTCAGTCTATCCACAGTTGTAGATACATGCTGTCCTCAAGCCTCATTGTCCTCTGAGCCTGAGGGCCCTCTGGACCACTCCATGAAAGTCTAAACTACTGAATTGAAAATGACCAAAATCTTCTCTGGATCAGAACAGGATGGGGGAATTAAATGGAGAGACCCGAACTTTCCTTCTTGGCTGTGGCTTCTGTTTACAGCTCAAACCCTCTCATTCCCTTCTCATCAGTCTCTTGGCCAATCACATCAGCAGGCACAGAGCAGCCCGGCTGCGCCGAGTTCAGTTAACATTGGAAGCCTTGCAGTGGCGGAAAGAAATCTTGCTTCCTCAGTAAAACAAATGTGGTAAGACCTACATCTGCCTATCTTCTTCTTCCTCCCACCAGAGCAGGAGGTGCTCCCAAAGGCAACTCTGCTTGGGCTCAAGTCTCAGTCCTTCATGCTGTCTCCCTAGTTATACCTTCTCCTTTTTCATTGCTTCCCTCTGGACTGAATCACTCCTGACATCATATGTAAACATACTGTATTATTTCCCATTTAGGAAAACACCAAAACAAAAATAAAGACCCTCTCCTGACCCCACGTTACCCTCCAACCGCTATCCCATTTCTCAAAACCTCTTAGAAGGATTGTGAGCACACTGTCTCCACCTTCTCACTCCTATTCACTCCACAGCACAATCCAATCCAGTTTCCATTCCCTTTGCTCTGCTGAAACTGTTCTAGTCAAGACCTCCAACCATCTCCATACTGACAATCCAGGGAATTCTTTGGACCAGATGATGTCATTGGTTTGCTTAAAATTCTTTAGTCTTCCCATTGGGCTTAAAAGGACATCCAAACTTCATTTCTTGGCCTTCAGAGCCTTTACTGGCCATGGTCTAACCCTTAAACCTCATCTCATGACCCTTCCCAACCTTCTCGTGAAGTTTTAGTCTTTAGTCATTGGCCTTCCATGGATTCCAGAGATTTTCCAGTCTCTTTCTGCCTCAGGGCCTTTGTGCCTGCTATGGCTTCTGCCCGGAGTGTTTTTCCCTTTGCTTGCTGTGTGGAGGATTCTTTCTAAGTCTTTAGGCCTTAAGAGTCACTTCCTCAAGAGACCTCAGTGACTACTCTACCTAAAATGACCCACTTTGGTATTTTTTATTACGTCACCCCATTTTTAATATTGCATAAAATCCATCATTATTCTGACCATTTATGTATTTAAATGTTTATCATCTCTCCCCATTTTTCTCCCTACTCCCCCCTCACTAATGTAAACTCCATGAAGTCAGGGACTGTGGCCATCTTGTTTGCCATCATATCTTGCTAGGTCTGGTATGTAGAAGTGGCTCTATACTTATTGAATAATGAATGAATGGCTCAAATGTTCTCCACATATGAAGTAGCATGTGGATTCTTGAGATGTCTGGGCCTACCTTCACAGTCATTTGAATGTTAAGCAACTCAGATGATCAGCAGAGGTACCCGTTCTTTGCTATTTACATATAGTTGAGAAGAACTCCCTTTCCTGCAAAAGTGCAATACCCTCCTCAGGATGTTTGTGAATGCCTGGTGTCTTAAACTCTCATGAGCACTTGTGGTTTTAATTTGCTGCCCCTGTAAATTTTCAGTCTCATTCACATCTCATCTCATGCAGCTGTTCTTAGCTTTCTGCTCCAACATGACCCAGATGAGTCTTTCTCTTTTTTATTGGCCCCAGATATCACCGATCAGACATTTGAGTATAGACCAGTCTTTCTTCAAGTGTTGGAGCATTGCTGGGGACAAAGAGGCAGCCAGGGGCCATAGTGTCTATACCACAACACTAGGAAATAAACAACTTTAAATTTTAATATTAAATATCTTAGCAGTCCTTTTGGGCTGGGCTCAGTGGCTCACACCTGTAATCCCAACACTTTGGGAGGCCAAGGCAGGGGAATCACTTGAGGCTGGAATTTGAAGCCAGCCTGGGCAACAAAGTGAGACCCCATCTCTACAAACAATTTTTTAAGAAATGAACTGGGCATGGTGTCATGCACCTGTGGTCCCAGCTACTTGGGAGGCTGAAGCAGGAGGATCTCTGGAGCCCAGAAGTTTGAGGCTGCAGTGAGCTATGATCACAACACTGCACTCCAGTCTGGGTGACAGTGTGAGACCCTGTCTCAAAAAAAAAAAAAAAAAAAATTCCTTTAGTTACCACCCCCACTGCCCTCCCTCTGGTGACTTTTTGCTGGTGACATTTCTCAGCCCCTCTTCTCCTTTTCACTTGCTCTTCATCATTTCTTTTGGAGAGCAGTTTAATTCTATGTTCCTGTTCTTTCAAATGAGAGAGGGTGATGAGATGGGAACAGGGAATAAGAGAAGAAAAGGAATATTCGCCTTTCGAATAATAGAAGGCAATCTACTCCTAGAGAAATAGTCCAGTCCCTTAGAAACAGAGCAGCTTCAGGCTGTTGTGATTTTAAAGAGCACTTTTTTAAACTCCACTTTACCAACACATTTTATGCCCCAAGTGAGGGAAGTATGTTTATTGCTATACGTTGCTATATGTTCCTACATTAACAGTCACACACACATACACACACACAGATGCATAATCATGTGTTGCTTAATGATGGGGATAGTATCTGAGGAATGTGTTGGTAGGTGATTTTGTCATCATGTGGACATGATAGAGTGTACTTATGCAAACCTAGATGATATAGCCTACTACACACCTGGGCTATATGGGACGACAGCCTATTGCTCTTAAGCCACACACCTGTACAGCATGTTACTGTACTGAATACTGTAGGCAGTTATAGCACAATGGTGAGTATTTGTGTATCTAAACCTATCTAAACAGGAAAGGTATGTTAAAACAGTATTAGAATCCTATGGGACCGCCATCATATCTGTGGTCCATCTGAAATGACTGAAAAGTCATTATGCAGCACACGACTGTGTGTGTGTGTGTGTGTGTGTGTGTTTATGTGTGTCTGTGTGTATGTGTGTGTCTATGTGTGTGTGTAATTTTGGTTGTTTTCCAAAAAAGCTCCTGTATAGGCCAGAACCTAGTGAACCCAATTCTCAGTCAGTCATACCTTCAGAGTCTGAGTAAAAATTCTTGATTGGGTCTGCCAGCCTCCCCACCCTCACCCCTTCATGCTGAGACCTGTTACACCTTGACTCAGGTAGACCAAGTAAAAAGCCTAGTAGGGTGATCGGGGGAAAGGATTTAAAGACACCAACACATGTTCCAGTTAAGATCAGCCACAGAAGGTAAGAACATTTTTGTTTGGATTTAACATATGGAACACCAATAAGAATGGTCTGACTTGATTTCCAAAGAACAACTTTGAGCACCTAGAAAACCTCATACATCTTAGAAACAATAAAGACAATAATAAAAGGACTACGCTACTCTGGTGAAAGAGATTGAAACCACTCTCTCTAGATAAAAGCATTTGGGAAAGTCATGTTTAGATTACCCAAGGGCCATAATAGCTGACTCGCCAGGGCTCAGAGCAAAGTACACTCTCGGACTCCAAGATTCTCTTTTGCTCTAAGTACAAGTTGATATGTTCTAGACCTTTCAGGCGAAAAAAACTTGGTCTCTGAGTACCGATGAATTGATGCTTTAGAGAGAGCTATGACCCATGCCAGCTTGCTTAAATTATGGAGAATGGAGTATAAATGGAAGCACCTAGCAGTCCCCAGCACCTAACTTAATGCCTGTTGTTAACAAACACTCACAAAATAAATGAATAAATGAGTTAAATATACACTGGCTGGCTAGACTCTTTCTTTTCTGGTCGAAAGAAGTAGGTATAAGTAAATTAAGAAGGTAGCAAGGATTAATAGCAAATTTGGGCTCTGCACATGCAAACTCAGCCATTCAGATGCATAATCCTAAGGAAACAGAGTTGAAAATATAGCTGTGTTCTCAAAAGATAATCTTTGATCATGCCCTGGACCCAGAGAAGAGATATCAGGGATCTGAGGATATAGATGTATTCTTACCACATTTAAGTACATCTAGAATCATTTGGTGGAGTACAAGGAGTTCTCAACTTTGGCGCTACTGAAATTTTGGGCTAAATTATTTTTTTGTTGTGAGAGACTGTCATGTGCATTGTAGAATGTTTAACAGCATCTCTGGCCTCTTCCTACTAAATGCCAGTAGCACTCCTCCCCCAGCTGTAAACAACCAAAAATGTCTCCAGAAATTGCCACATTTCCCCTGGGGGCAAAATAGTCCCAGTTGAGAACCACTGGTCCATGTTCAGATGGATCGTATGATCTGAAAAGTCTTAGATGCCACAAAAGAAAGAAAGAAAGAAAACTACATTGGTAATAGGTTGCTTTATATTCCTGGCATGAGGACTAGCACAAAGTATTCAAAGGCCAGAATGTGTAATCAATCTAGCTTTAGCTTCAGAAATAGACAAAAGATCTACAGGATGAAGCCTGAAGCTCACTAGAGATTTCCAAAAGAAGAAGGAGGTGAATTAAATATGATTAGATAAAATAATTCATGCAACTGTGACAGGATTTAATTATGGGTGACTGCAGTCTATGCATGTGAATCAAAAAAGTGCCAAAAGCACATCGCGCAATGATGACTGAGATGATGCTCATCATAAATGACTGGCTCATAAACTAGGGCTTGCTGGTTGGAGCATGTGGACCAAGCTGCATCTGGTAGCAGCCTTAATCAATAGGCAACTCTAGGTAAGCAGTTCAGGAGTTGCTAAACTGATGGTATCACTGGCCCATGGCACTGGGATGAGAGTGCTTTATAAATCATCTTGACATCCATCCAAGCACTAGAAAACCCAAACTGAGGTTTCGGATCTTAGGTTTAGAAGAATGTGGCAAGTGCTTAGATAAATGGAGTAAAGAGAAATGATAGGGATGAGACAGCAGTGGAATGTGCTCTGCCCCTGTGAAATAAACTCCAACATTGTATTGCCAACATGCAAATTTAGACACCGTGAAGGAGTCAAAACAGTTAAGGAAATCAGCCTAGAAGGATCTTGGAGTGGAAAAATGATTACAATACAGAGCCCTCCCAAGGAAAACAGGAAACACACTGCACTGGGGAAATAGCACAAAACCTTTCTCAGACAATCTTACATGCAAGTGGAAACTTGAAAGGAGACACAGAGCCACACACTCTCACACAAACACTCGGTAACCACGTAACAGCTGTCTGATGCAGAGCAGGGTTTGTGAATATGTCTGAAATTATCAGCGGCAACAGCTGAAGAAGACAGATGCTGCGAAGGCTTCTTCTCTGTTAAGAGAGACTTTTAGAGAAGATCTGGGAGACCACGGACCTCATGATTTCAACAGCAGGGGGAAAGTGTTTTGAAGCCGTAAGCCACAGCTTGAACGTAAGAATCCTTTAAAAAAGTTACGTTTAATGACAAAGAAATCAGCACAAATTTTCAGTGGTGAAACTGTCCTGCAAACCTGTGAGGTTAAACTGCAAAAGAAAACATTAATGGATGAAGCAGCCTATCCAAATAATTTAAACACCCTTCCGGAAAGCATTTGACACCATTTTTCATAAAAAATCTAATCTGCAAAAATATATTCTGGCATTTACAAGGCAAGCTATTTTAACCACAATGAGAAAAAGAATCCCCCAAACCAATTTTGAGATAGGCTATCGTATTACAGTCAATACTGTGGCCTGGCAGGAAGAACACTGAAGCTCATTTGAAATACTGTGTGCAGCTCTGATAAGGACATAAATATGGAGAAGGTGGAGCAGAGAGCAACCAAGTGATAAAGAGACTCAAAGGAGACATACTTTACATTAGCACATATCTTGCAAAATCAGCAACTGCACCGCACTTGGTCAGCAAAGAAGGGGATTTATGAGAGAATTTCATTGAGATGTTAAGAAAAAATCTGAAGGGATTACAAATGATAAAGCAACAGGGCTGCTTGACTTTGAATGTAAAATCAGGGTCTGCAAATTCAGGTGAATTGAAAAAAGGTTTTTAATGTTTTTTGTTTGTTTGTTGAGGAAGAGCTTGGAGTTGTTGACATGGGGAAAGGAGCCTTGAGCAGTGCTGAATGGGAAAGAGGGACAGCAGAATAATTGTCAGAACTGTGGAAAGGTTAAAGGAAGAAGAAAATAAATGTTATAGCATCTTTGACATGGCAGCATAGAATCGTCCCACCTTAGACTGGAGAAACAGATGCTTTCCTTCACAGATCCGCC
Source organism: Homo sapiens (assembly GCF_000001405.40). NCBI lineage: Eukaryota > Metazoa > Chordata > Mammalia > Primates > Hominidae > Homo > Homo sapiens. The sequence continues at coordinate 199,987,297 of NC_000002.12, read as the reverse complement.
TCTGAGTTTTATAGAGAGAGATGTTGCTCTTCTTGGGTCCACCTCATACTGGTTTTGCGTAATTCTGATCTATGATGCAGAAAGTAACTTGTTTCATTGTGATGGAAAATCTAGATCCCATAGATCAACTTCTTAATGCTCTTTCTGGCTTTTCTCTTCCATTATTTCAAGTCCAAGCCACCATTCAAGGTTCAGTTCAGATTCCATCTCCTCTGTGACATCTTTGCCGATCTCCCCGGTGGAAGTGAACTCTTCCAGCATGTACACCTTTCATATTCATTTGGCACTTTTTAACTGCCAGGGCGGGGCCCCCACCTAGATTATAAGAAATTTAAGGGCAGGGACAATATCTTATTTGTTTGTATGTTTTCCCTTCATACTTCTCACGCACTTTTTGGTAAGGGGCTCAAAAATGAGTTAGGGCTTGGTTAGTAAAGGACATAGAAGCATCTTATTACTTATTAATAAGCATGCTTATTACTTATTAGCTCATGACACCTTATTATCCTAGGTCTTGGTTTTCAAAGACAGCCAGGCAGTGAGGATCGGTGTGATAATAATAGTGGCTACCATTTATTGTGCACCTACTGTGTACCTAGCATCAGTTATATCGAGAGAGAGAGAAAAAAAACAAGAATTGCAGGGAAAACATGCCCTTTTGAGTGGTGAAAAGAAGCAAGAATAGAGAGCTGAGATCCAATCTAAGATGTGAAAATGGAAGAAATCAGTTTTCTTAGAAAAGAGAAAAATATTTTAAAGTGCTAAAGTATAGTTACATTTATTTTAAATTATTTCATTATGTTTGTATTATGTGATCATACTCTACCATATATATGTGTGTGTATATATATATGTATGTGTGTGTATATATGTGTGTGTGTATATATACATATATATCCATGTAAATGTATTTGTTAAAGTTCTAGAGGGACAGACACCTGCTGATAGCTGTGGTTTCCTCTAGGGAGTGGAGTAACTAAGTGACAGATACTCAAAGGAGACATAACTTACATGATCACGTTCAGTCTGCAGCGAGAAAAGGGGGTGATATCATTGAGGACTTTCTGTTGGCCTCTATTTATGTATTATTTTTATAACTGCATATTCATGTGTATACCAGTAAGAAGAAATACAGCACTTCGATTATTTTATCAGTGAGAATTAGAATTCAATATAAAGAATTTTTAGCTAGAGATTAAAGAATTGACAAGGCAAAAAAGGGGCCACTGAAATGTAGCAGAAATAATAACTGCAGAAAGTAGTCACCACTTCAGGCTGGGGAACAAAGGGAGAAGGTTGGGCTTGTTAGGATCTCAGAGGACAGATTCTGATCTTTGAAAAGCGGGTGTCCGCAGAGGCTGGGAAAACTGCACACTGGAATCAACTGCCTTTGCTGGGGTGAAGGGCTATGGCTGGGAAACCCTAACAGGAACAGGAAGCAACTGGTTCTTTCTCTTCCTTCCACCATGCTGTCTCCCCTTGGCGCCCTCTAATGGAGACAAATGGCTGAGCTTCCTTCTAAGTCCCACGGGCATGTGTGTGGCTTATTGATGAACCTCCCAATTAAGCTGTGCTGCAAACTCTACCGATCTAGGTGGATGACATTAACAAGTTAGCTCTATCATAGTCATAGGAGTCAGAAGTAGCCCTAAAGAAGTTAGAAATGAACCTGGCGCTTATGTATATAACTAGGTACGTTGGTTTGGTATAGAATACACACAAGACCCCAATTTTTTTTTATTCTATTTGTGGCCCTCTCCACTAATTAACTGGACAATTCTATAGAAACCACATAATGTCTTTCAAAATAACCATAGTAAGAATTAATTCCAGTATAGCACTTAACGATGTGACAGACACTAAGTGTTTTATGTATGTTAACTAATTTAATCCTTGTGACAACTCTACAAGGAGCAGGACTGTTAAGTAACTCATCCAAGGTCACTAATAGTAAGGGGCAGTCCAGGAAGTGGGCCCGACCATCTGATATAGAGATTATCTCTTTATTATCAAGCTTTGCTGCCTCTCACTTACATTGGGCTTATCATATGCCAGGTATGGCTCTACTCCCTTAAAATATAGAACAATCCTCTAAGGTAGGAACCATCATCCCCATTTTACAGATGAGGAAAACAAAGCCTGAAGGGCTATGAAACCCTCTGGCCTCCATTTCTCTGGCTGTTAAGTAAGGAGGCTGGACCAGCAGAAGTAAAAAGCTGGTTCTGTAAGACACTAGGAAAGAGCCCAAGTGTCCTGGCTCAAACACAACTAGAAAGAAAGACTCCCTTTATGTCTTTATAGACCCCCTGACCTCAGAGGATTGATGATAAAACAGTCTTGTATATGAGTACTAAAATTGCCAACTCAACAGAGGTTTTTATTCCCCGCTGTCTATTCTCCTGCCAGGAATTAGATGGGAAATAAAAAAAAGGGAATTAACAGCTTTAAAAAAAATCATTTAGGAAAATCTGTTTCTTGCTGTTGGCAAGTAGCTCTCTGGTCATAGCCGCATCTGAGTATATTCAGACTCCCTTAACATTAAACGGGAGTGTGGGGGTGAGGGATAACACACCCTTTTTATTGCTTTGCTTTTTCCCATTTTTATTTTCTGCTTGACTTTAATAGTTTCAGTCTAACACCAGCCTTTGAAATGGGTTAGTATTGTCACAGTGGAAAGGCCCAGAGCCCAGGGAAGCTGAAGACCTTGCCTGAGGACACCCACCTGGTGAGAACTGAGCTGGGATTTGAACTTGTGATTTTTACCTAAAGTGACAGTATCAGGACTGCCAAGACAAAAATTGATCTTGTGTTAGAAATTCTGTTTTTTAAATAAAAACTTTCCTATCACTGTGTAAGCTTATAACTCTTGACAAGCCAAGGATAGGGACATTGTTAAACTGCCAGCCCCTCAGCCAAGTGAGCTGACATCATTGCATCCCTGACAGACTCATGATAGCAAGTCACAGGCCATCCACGCACCATGCTGATGCCATTTGAGGTCCATAAGTGTTTAACATCCCCAGGACCTACACACCACGTGAGGGAACGGGCATGTGGAATATGGCAGTACCTGCAAGAGCCACAGGAATGGAGTGATTTTATAAGGATGGACACCTGTTTTCTTCGAAATGTTCCTATGCAGCGGGGGAAGAAAGTCCTCCTGGGCAAAAGCAAGTCCTCTCTGTTCTCCACCAACAAATAACTTTACCACACTTTTATAATGCCATTTTGGGCTTATAAAAATGTTCCTAATATAATCTGCTGGGAAATTGATGGCTTATGGCAATGACAAGAAGCCTGCCTCAGAGAATGATCTTAATTCATCATTTTGAACATCTGTAGAACCCCCTAAATTAGCCTGGAGAGGAATGAAAGTGAAGGGAGGAGAGCAAACCTTCCCAGGGAATGGGACTGGTATGATGCAGATTCCTGCTAATTTTCTCTAAGAGTTGTTAAGCAGAAACAGCAGAGAGAGCTGCTCCTATTTCAACCCTTCCCTTCTTCAGATATGCCAGAAGGTCTTAGGGAATTCTACACTCCTCTACAACACAGCTACCAACGGTATTATTCAATACCTCCTCAAATTTGAATATGAATTACTTTAATCAACAAAGTCAACAGTTAATTGAATCCAGCACTGTTGAAGGGAGATTGGAAGGAGATGGGGTTACTTAGATCAGGGTTACAATCCCACAGCCCTCACTGGATATGCAAATCTTTGCAGGTATTACACATTTTGTCTGGGTTTCTTCATTGAACAAACAGGGGTAATAATGCCCATCTTATTGGCTGATGAAACTATTAGCCATGATGCTTGGCAGTGCAATTTACAACATCTGGATAAAATTTTAGTGTATTCAGAATTATGTTGACTGACTAAATTTTAGTGCATCTAGGAGGCATGGCTATTGGTTTCCTATGGATGTCTTAACAAAGTACCACAAACGTAAAACAATAAAAGTTCTAAAGCAACAGGAACTTTTTCTCTCATAGTTCTGGAGGCCGGAAGTCTGAAATCAAAGTATCAGCACGGCCATGTTCCCCCTAAAGGATCTAAGGAAGAATCCTTCTTTGTCTGTTACAAGGAGGCTCCAGGCACTCCTTGGCTTATGGGTGCTTAACGCCAATCTCTGCCTCTGTCTTCACATGGTCTTCTCTCTGTGTCTCTGTGCTCTATCCTCTTCTTAAAACATCACCAGTCATTGGATTTAGGGCCCACCCTACTCCACAGTGATTTCTTCTTGATCCTTAAGTAATTACTTCTGCAAAGGCCCAAATAAGGTCAAATTCTGAGTTGCCAGGTGAACATGAATCTTGGCAGACACCATCAACCCACAAGAGCTGATTAAAGGGGTTAATGAGAAGGTGCAGTTGAAGTGCCACACATATTACCTGCACATTAGGGGTTTTTAATAAATAAAGGGAGTGGCTTTTGTTTTGTTATTATTGCTGCTGCAGGGATCATGATTGTTTTTCCAGGGAATGGAAGGAAAAGGTTGGATTTGGGAGTGGAAAGGCAGGCCTGAGGAGTAGATGAGGAGGGAGCAGCATAAAGACCCAGCGGAGAGAAAGGAGGAGCCTGAGAGAGGGGGGGAAGAAAGGGCTAAGGGGACAGTCCTTGCCTGGGCTTGCCCGGCTCCTGTGCCCTCAGATGCCAAGGCCTGGATAAGCAAGCAGGGTTGGTCAGGAAACCTGGACACCTCACCCTGGCGCAGTCTGGCACAGTCTGGTCCTGTCCCCATAGGGTGGTCCCACTTCCCTAAGAGAAAAGAAATAGGAATATGCAGAAAGAAACTATGTGTAAGTTTCCAATTCTTCCTCTCTGTCTATAGATATTTCAGAGTTTTTCTTGAGGGAGTGGGAGAAGAGTAGATTCTAGAAGGAACACTCTCAGAATGCTAGACCTTCTTGCTGAAAAGCAATAAATCTCAGTGCTGAGCCTGCACAGAAACTCCTAGGCTTTCAGAAGATTCCCGAGCCCTGGAAGTCAATCAAGCATAACAAAAATTGTAAAAGCAGCTGGAAACGCTGGGCCTCTCCTTCCCAAGGCCAGGATGACAGGCATCCTGGATGTGCTAAAATTTAGTCAGTCAACATAATTCTGAATACACCAAAATTCTACCCTGATGTTGTAAATTGCACACTGCCAAGCATCATGGCTAATAGCTTTTGAAAATTTTTTATTTTTTGATTTCAGTAGGTTTGGGGGGAACAGGGAGTATTTGGTTCCATGAATAAATTCTTTAGTGGTGATTTCTGAGCTTTTGGTGCACCCATCACCCCAGCAGTGTACACTGTATCCAGTGTGTAGTCTTTTATTCTTCACCATCCCTCATCCTTTCCCCAGAGTCCCCGAAGTCCAAGGTATCATTCTTATGCCTTTGAGTCCTCATAGCTTAGCTCCCACATATGAGTGAGAACATAACGATGTTTGGTTTTCCATTCCTGAGTTACTTCACTTAGAATATTAGTCTCCAGTTCCATCCAGGTTGCTGCAAATGCCATTATTTCATTCCTTTTTATGGCTGAGTAGTATTCCATCATATATATATGTGTTGATATTTACTCGTTGATATATATGTGTGTGTGTATATATATATATATGTACATATATATATATCAACGAGTACATAAAGACACTCTGGTATATACCAGAGTGTCTTTATGTACTCGTTGATTGATGGGCACTTGGGCTGGTTCCATATTTTGCAATTGCAAATTGTACTGCTGTAAACGTGTGTGCAAGTATCTTTTTATATAATGACTTATTTTCCTCTGGGTAGATACCTAGTAGTGGGATTGCTGAATTAAACGGTAGATCCACTTTTAGTTCTTCACAGAATCTCCACACTGTTTTCCATGGTGGTTGTACTAGTTTACAATCCCACCAACAGTGTAAAACTGTTCCCTTTTCACCACATCCATGCTAACATCTATTATTTTTTAATTATGGCCATTCTTGCAGAAGTAAAGTGGTATCACATTGTAGTTTCAATTTACATTTCCCTGATAATTAGTGATGTTGAGCATTTTTCCATATGCTTGCCAGCCATTTGTGTATCTTCTTTTGAGAATTGTCTATTTATGTCTTTATCCCACTTTTTGATGGGATTGTTTGGCTTTTTACTTGCTGATTTGTTTGAATTATTTGTAGATTCTGGATACTAGTCCTTTGTCAGATATATAGATTGTGAGTATTTTCTCCCACTCTGTGGGTTGTCTGTGAACTCTGCTGATTATTTATTTTGCTGTGCGGAAGGCTTTTTGCTTAATTAAGTTCCACTTATCTTTGTTTTTGTTACATTTGCTTTTGGGCTCTTGGTTGTGAAGTCTTTGTCTAAGCCAAAGTCTACGAGGGGTTAATAGTTTTAATATAAGTGTGGGACATGTTTATGTCACTGGAAAAGATGGAAGGGCAAGAATTGAGTCATGACTAAAATTATTGAGCACAAAGATTCCCTTTAAGACTGACTTCTTTTCTCCAGTCCTATTGGCCTCTCAGCCAGGTGTTAATTTTTTTTTTTTTTTTGGTACCATGAGCCCTTTTGCCAGTCTGGGGAAATCCATGGGCTCCTTCTCAAAATAATGTCTTAAACTTAATAAAACTAAATACATAAGATTACAAGGCAAACCAATGATATCAAAAGACAGTTATTAAAATATCAACAACAAAAACAAATTTGTGATATAATTCTGTATGTGCTTTTTTATTAATACATTAAATGACAAGATCCAGCAGTAGTCCTATAGCTACTGTAATTTTGAAGTCATGAGATGTAAATGGTATTTCAAGATATCTGCAACAACCGTAGTGGAATCTGTAAATATCTGTAATTTGTTGCCTATATTCATAATTGAAGAAAATGCTAAATTTCAGTTGGAGCTTAGTGAAAATAAACATATAGCGTTTTTCCCATCCAAGTTCACAGAATTTTATCCATGGAGATTTGTGCGCACCAAATTTAGAACCCCTGCTCTAAGCAAACTTTTCAAAGGCATCCAATTTTTGATGGGGCTCTACCAGCTAGCCTGAGCACCAACAGATTTATGTTTGCAAAGGACGCCCCCTGCAGGCCAAAAGGCTTGGGCTATTCACCCGAAAATTCATTTAATTTGCCGTGTTAGAAAACAATAGGTCAGGCAATTAATTCACTGACTCACATCAAGAAATGGAGAAAGGAAGACTACTTGTCAGCGAGGCCCAGGGGCATCTAATCAGCATAGATTTAAAAGCCCCTTTTGGCTTAACGGGAAAGTGCTGATGACTTGTGCTGTTGGTTATTAGCACAGGAGAACAAGATTGCTAACCCGGCAGGCTATTGCTAAGGGGGCTGCTTCCCCTGCTTCTGGTCAACAGCAGGGCGGCTCCGCAGATTGCTGAAAGGTTAGATTTCCCAATGCGCTGTCTGACCAAGGTCTTTAGGATCTGCTTTCAGTGCTTGGAGCTTGGAGCCAAGAGGAAAGGAAGGAGAGAGGAAATGAATTCAGAACTTACTATGTGCCAGAAACCTGCTATTTTCGCTTAGGCTATTGCACTGAGTTCCTAAAGCAACTCTACATGGAATTTATTATTATTGTTACTACTATTTACAGAGGTAACTGAGGCTCAGAGAGGAAAGTCGTCACTTGCCCATGGTCACTCTGAGCAAACAACTGTGTGGGTTTGAGTGGGTAGGGAGCCCATTTGCTGTCCAGTCTCTGCCACCAGGGACACGGCAGTGAGAATCCCACAGCACTGCCCACTCCTGTTAGCATAGAGTTCTGGAGCCTGGTTTGAATTCCGGACTTCCCCACTTACTAACGGTGTGAACTTAAGCAAGTAATCATGTGCCTCAGTTTCCCAATCTGTAAAATGAGGATAATAGTAAAGACTAAATGTTTACTATTATTTTACTAAAGTTACTATTACTTTATTAAATAGTAAATACTAAATGTTAAGCCTGTAGAACAGTGCTCAATACCTGTAGGCATTCAACAAATGATAGCTATTACTACTCTAAGACAATGTTGTCTCCTGACAACCATAGCAGCTACACAGCAGCTAACAGCCTAAACCAGTACCTCTCAACCACATGCAATTTTGTCTCCTAGGGAACTTTGACAGTATCTGGAGACATTTTGGTTGTCACCACCAAAAATGCATCTAATGAATAGAGGCCAGAGATATTGTAAAACATCCTAGAATGCACAGCATAGCCTCCCCACAGTGAAGGTTTGTGTGGTCCCAAATGTCAGTAATCCAAGACAGAGAAAGCCTGCCCAAAACTGAACACCAGTGAAGTAGAGACTATTTTGCCAGACATAAGGAGGTGCTAAATTGAAACTCTAATTGAGGAGAAGGTGCAGACAATAAAAAATAAAAAATGAACTATTAGATGATAATAAATGCTGTAGTAAAATAAAACAGGGTGGCAGGAGAGAGTAATGGATGTGGTTGCTTTGGATGGAATGGTCAGGAAAGCCTTCTTAGAGGAGGTGGCATTTAAACTATAACCTGACTGTCAGAAAGTGATCAGCCATTGAAGATCTGAGCAAAGAGCACAGCTGGCAGAGGGAGCAGTTCCTGCAAAAGTGTCAGGGGAAGGGCAACTTTGATATGACTGAGGAACAGAAAGAATAGGAAATTAGAGTAGTGGGAGGGAGGGAGAGAGTCAAATAAAATTCCAATAAGGCCCCAAAGAATGGCTTCCTTTGGACGAGGCTACTTCTTGGTGTATTCCCTCAGGAAAAAAAAATGTCTCAAAGTAATTGACTATAACTAAAATATGTGATTTTTTAAATGTGGTATAATTTTACATTGGTTTTAAAGTTGTTTACTTTTTGTTTCTGTTTTGCTTTAAGGAGTAATAACAAGAAGTCTCTTTCCCAGCACTGAGTTAGTTAATATGGTCAATTATTGATTTGCTTACTTCTGGTTTGAGATAAAACCACATTATGTCTTTCTTTTCTCTGCAGTATAGGGGATTATTCAGATGTGGTATCATAAGAAAGGAGACAGAGCAGTTTCATTTTGCACTGTTGAAGCATTTCAGCTGCCCTGAGTCAGATGTAAGACTGCAATGCACATTTTGAAAACCAGTAATGCCAGGATGGGGGTGGTGGGAAGGGCAGGCAGGGTGTTCTCTTAAACCCATGAACTTTGTCCATAGCCACTCTGCACTTAAAAAGTCAGAAGCTAGGGGATGAGTCATAAAAGGAAATCACCATCTAATTCTTGCACTGGTCTTGGTGAATTTCTTTACATGAAGGTAAAAAGTACCACAGGATTCTTTGCCTACATCTCATCTAAGGTATTACTAGTGAGAGAGTAGAATAATAGTCACAGGATAACCATGACTACATCTCACATAAAAGTGAGCCAGAGTTGCAATTTACTAAGCAAGTAAATTTTGATAGAATGTCCAATAAACTGATAGGTTTATAATAGGGAAGGAAGCGGGGAGGAGGTTACTTTTGAAGATGGGATAAACTGTATCCAGGGTCCTCTAGACAGGAACCTGTATGTGGTATAAACAACACGATGTGAGGGTCAGAGATCTGGACCTATCATTTGGAGCAACCCTTCAATGGCTCTAAAATCAAAAAGTTTTCTCTGGGTGCTCTACTTCATTTAAGTTTTTTAAATTACCCGGGAACAGACACATAGAGCAGTGAAACAGAATAGAGAACCCAGAGGTACGTCCACACATCTACAGTGAACTCATTTTTTGACAAAGGTGCCACGAACATACATTGAAGAAATGATAATTTCTTCAATAAATGGTGCTGGGAAAGGAGATACCCATATGCAAAAGAGTGAAACCAGACCCCTATCTCTTGCCACATACAAAAATCAAATCAAAATCAACTAAAGACTTAAACCCAAGACCTCAAACTATGAAACTACTACAATAAAACATTGGGGAAGCTCTCCAGGATATTGGTCTGGGCAATGATTTCTTATGTAATACCCCACAAGCACAGACAACCAAAGCAAACATGGACAAATGGGATCATTTCAAGTTAAATAACTTTTGCACAGCAAAGGATACAATCAACAAAGCAAAGAACAACCCACAGAATGGGAGAAAATGTCTGCAAACTACCTATCTAACAAGGAATTAATAACCAGAATATATTATATAAGGAGCCCAAACAACTCTGTAGGAAAAAAAAAAAACTAATAATCTGATTAAAAATGGGCAAAAGACCTGAATAGACATTTCTCAAAAGAAGACACACAAATGGCCAACAGGCATATGAAAAGGTGCTCAACATCATTAATCATCAGAGAAATGCAAATCAAAACTACAATTAGATACCATCTCACCCCAGTTAAAATGGCGTTTATCCAAAAGTCAGGCAATAACAAATGCTAGCAAGGATGTGGAGAAAAGAGAAGCCTTATACACTGTTGGTGGGACTGTATATTAGTACAACCACTATGGAGAACAGTTTGGAAGTTTTTCAAAAAACTAAAAATCCTACCATAGGATCCAGCAATCCCACCCATAGGTATATACCCAAAAGAAAGGAAATCAGTATATCAAAGAGATATCTACCCTTCCATATTTATTGCAGCAGTATTCACAATAGCCAAGATTTGGAAGCAACCTGTATCCACCAGCAGATGAACAGATAAAGAAAATATGGTACATATATACAATGGAGTACTATTCAGCCATAAAAAAGAATGAGATCCTGTCATTGGTAACAAGATGGATGGAACTAGAGGTCATTATGTTAAGTGAAATAAGCCAGGCACAGAGAAGTAAGTTTTGCATGTTCTCACTTATTTGTGGGAGCTAAAAATTAAAATAATTGAACTCATGGAGATAGAGAGTAGAAGGATGGTTACCAGAGTCTATGAAGGCAGAGATAGGAAAGTGGGGATGTGATAGGAAAGTGGGGATGGTTGGTGGGCACAAAAAAAATAGTTAGAAAGAATGAATAAGATCTAGTATTTGCTAGCACAACAAAATGACTAAAGTAAAAAATAATTTAATTGTACATTTTGAAAACACTAAAGGAGTATAATTGGATTATTTGTAACACAAAGGATAAATGCTTGAGATGATTGATACCTCATTTACCCTGATGTGATTATTATGCATTGCATGCCTGTGTCAAAATGTCTCATGTAATCCATATATTCACCTGCTATGTACCCACAAAAATTAAAAATAAATTAAAAACTTTATGTAAGAATTAGCTTAGCAAGGCCAGGCATGTTGGCTCACACCTGTAATCCCAGCATTTTGGGAGGCCAAGGTGGGTGAATTGCTTCAGTCCAGGAGTTACAGATTAGCCTGGGCAAAATGGTGAAATCCCATCTCTACAAAACAAAACAAAACAAAATGCAAACAATTAGCCAGGTGTGGTGGTGTGTGCCTGTAGTCCCAGCTACTCAGGAGGCTGAGGTGGGAGGATCACCTGAGCCTGGGAGATCACCTGAGCCTTGGTGAGCTGTGATTGCACCACTGTACTCCAGCCTCGGTGACAGAGTGAGACCCTATCTCAAAGAAAGAAAAAATAGCTAGGCAATATTTAGGGCTATTTCCAGACCGCAGTTAGAAGCCACCATGGTCTGTCAGTGAAGCTGGGGAAAGCAAGTCTGTCAGCTATTTGGCAGGGTCTGTGTGGCTTCATGACTCAAGTAACCCAATTAGGGCAAATTGCTAGAAGCCTATAGCCAATATTCATTCTCCCCCTCCTCCTCAGTTTTAGGACCTCTAGTTTTATTTGAGGCAACAAAATGTACCCAGCTAAACAACTATATTTCTCAGCCTCACCTTCCCAATTACATGTGACCATATGACTAATTCCTGGCTGATGAAATTAAGTGGAAATGTTTTTTGTGCCTTCTGGGAAAGCATCTTAAAAGACAGCTGATGTATATACCCCTTGCCTGTTCTTTTCTTTCCTCCGTTCTGCTCCATGGAATATGGATATGAGAGCTGGAGCTCTACAAGCCATTTTTTAATATAAGGACACATATCATGCCCTAAAGAAGATAGTTGTGACTAGAAGGAGCCTAGATCTCTGAGGACTCTGTGGAGTTGGCATACAAGCCCCAAAGCATCATATCTCTGAATCTCTATTAGTGTAAGAGGAAACAACTACTTCTATATTATTTAAGCCATAATATTTAAAAGTTTTTGTTTCGTGCAGTTATTTAATAGAAGTAATCCTAAACAGTATGCCAATCATTTGCATAATCTGCCCACATTGTGAAATTAAAATGGCCAATATCAAGTACTCTTACAAGGTCTTATGTAAGTTTCTTAAAATTTGAGATAATGAACAATTTATAATAATATTGACATAACCAATTTTGTTGTTATTGTTGTTTTAGAAACAAGGTTTCACTATGTTGCCCAGACTACTGCTAACCTCAAACTCCCACACTCAAGCAATCCTCCTGCCTCAGCCTTCAGAGTAGCTGGGATTACAGGCGTAAGCCACTGCTTCCTCCTAGGTGACCCCATTAATCTAATGAGTGTGTTAGCACACCTTAGCAGATCTCATCAAATGGAGATAATGGATTCAAGGGCTCTATAGCCTTTCTCACTTAAACTGGTTTAGACATCTGCAATCATTGTTACACTGAACGAGTGATTCTCATCTCCAGACCCCCATAGCAGAGTAGTCAATAATGCTCAGTTAATAATGTGTAACTAAAACACCTGGAAAGTCTCTCTCTTGATCTCTGTGATGTAAAACCGTGTGCTTTTTCTGCATGTGGTAATCATTATTGCATCTCACCAAATACTTCTTACCCTCTGCCTTCCAGGAACATGGCAGATTTGTACTTCCTGGGTCCCTATGGTTGAGTGAGACCATGTTCTGGCGAAATAATTGTATCACTTCCAGGTTCACCCTTCAGAGTTGTCTTTTCCATTTGCTATCATAGCCGGTAGTGGCTTCCCATCAGCCTGTGTCCGGGGAAGAAGATGAGCTGGCACTGAGCAGAGTCCCCAGGTGTCTCTTACTGAACATACAGTGTGAACAAGAAACAAACCTTTTTGTTTTGTTTTGTTTTGTTTTGTTTTGTTTTGTTTCAATCCACTGAGATTGAGAAGCTGTTTGTTAATGCAGCATAATCTACATTATCCTGACTGATACATCACACAGTCTTCCCAGGATGGGCATAATTACAGAGGCACTGAATGATACAATCTGTGGTTCCAGCAGGGATATGGGTAAAATTTCCCTCCAATTTGACCCATGCAATTAACCACTTTAACATCAACAAATTATATTCATAAAATATTTTTGTGGAGCAATTTCCTAAAACACATCTATGTAGAAAAATCTGTCAATAAGCAAAGCAATCTTCCCCTTCCTTAGCGGCTTCAAATCCTACCAAACTTACAGCCAATCCTGGCATTTAGATTCCATATACAGTTAGCTCCATCGTGTGGAATTCAGAAAGAATGACATTTGTTACAGGACCATGAAAGTGAGGTCAAACATCCAATAATACCATATACTCCTTGAGAGGGGTACTGTACATGATTTTAAAAATCACATCCAGCTTGCTAGGGTATCAAATCAAAAGCAAGAGGGAAAAAGTTCCTGCCATGTGAACTAGGAAGTTCAACAGAAGTGAGGCTCACTCTTATTTATCCGGTCAACTAATATTTACTGAGCTCCACTTTGTATGAGATATTGTTTCAGGGCCTGAAACAATATCTTTGTATGAGATATTGTTTCAGTAGTGAACAAGATAGGTAAAGTTCTTTCCTTAGTTCCAAAGACAATGGGAGAAATAAACAAACACATCCTACAATGTCTGATCGTGATAAGTGCTATAAGCCAAAATAAATCAGGGTTAGGGCATAGTGATGGGGAAAGAATTATTTTAAATAAGGTTGACAGAAATAAAGGCAAACAATCCACATTTAGCTTTCCCAAAGTTATTGTAGGTAAATGATCCAAAATCTCAAACATGTATAAACATTCTCTTACAGACATAAAATGAGAAAACACCTCAAAATGCTCAAATCTTGGTTTTCAAATTCATCGCCCTAAAAAAAAAAAAAAAAAAGACTCCTTGGAGAAATGGCTGATTCCAGCTCTGAGGCAGGAAATGGACAAGAAGATCCTGAAATGTATTGTTACATTGGAAAACACAGGCGCACTCAAAGACTAACAACAGAGTCATGTTCATCTTTAATCTGTCACACAGACAGATTACAAGGACTCCTGCTGGCAAAACTGGGGCATATTTAGGCATCAACAAGAATAATAACTATAATTGATACTACATTGGATGAATAAAAATCCATGAGTTTAGGCTGGGTGTGGTGGCTCATGTCTGTAATACCAGCACTTTGGAAGGCTGAGGTGGAAAGATCATTTGAGCACAGGGGTTCAAGGCTGCAGTGAGTATGATCCTGCCACTGCACTCCAGCTTAGGTGACAGAATGAGACTTCATCTAAAAAATGAAAGAATTCATGAGTTTCTAGTGATATTTAAGAAAAATGAAGGGATAGGGCTCTGTTGTATCAAAGAATGCCAATAGCAGGTATTATAGAATTAAAGAATAATCATTTGGCAAATTATAAGGTAACACTGATTCATATAAGGATCATCTTCTGTATTAATTTCTTGTTGCTTATGTAACAAACTACCACAATGTAGTGGCTTAAAACAACACAGATTTATTATTTTGCAGTTCTGGAGATCAAATGTCTAAAATGGGTCAGTGTGGCTGCGTTCCTTCTAGAGGCTCTGGGGAGAATCTGTTTCTTGCCATTTCTTGACTCTAGATGCTGTCCACATTCTATGGCTGTCATGGCCCCTCATAGTTCCAACCTCTGCTTCCATCATCACATGTCCTTCTCTCTGACGCTGACCCGCCTGCCTCCCTTTTATAAGGACATCTGTGATAACACTGGGTCCACCCACATAATCCAGCATAACCTCCCATCACAAAATCCTGAATTTAATCATACCTGCAAAGTCCTATTTTGCCAACTAACCCCTGGAACACATGTTCACGTGTTCCAGAGGTTAGTATGTGGGCATCTTGTGAGCAGAATATTTACCAGGTATCAAAGTATCATCTCACAGATTACTTATTAACTATAAAGAGAAAAAAATGACTTTTACAACTGAGGGTTCTCATAATCACCACTCTAAACAATGGAACAATAAGAAATTAGGTACTGCCTGACGTTATATAATAGGAGGTCCGCAAATCACTTATATATTCTTGCCAAAAATGTTTCACCTGAATCTAATCAACTCTTTCGCCCTAACTTCCAGCTTACAGAAATGATGCCATAGAAAAACAAGCACATTCAAGATATGGGACATGCTGTGTGTCTACCATTCTAGACTTCTCCAAATTGCAGTGCCATAAATGAGGATGGGGATATTCTAAATTTTGAAACAAGGACTAAAGAGACATAACCAAATGCAACGGGTAAACCTTGACTGGATCTTGAATTAAAAAGTCATTTTAAAGACAACTGGTGAAATTTTAAATTTAAGTATTAGCTGATACTATGGAATTATTGCTAATGTACATGTGGTTATATAGGATAGTGTCCTTATCCTTTGGAAACACATATTGAAATATTAGGGTTGAAATATTAATACATGATGTCTGAAGCTTACTTTCAAATGCTTTCAATGAAAATATTTGGTCAAACACTATTCTAGATGTTTCTGTGAAAGTAGTTTTTGATGAGATTAACATTTAAACCACTATACGAATGTTAAATTTCTCTATATATGTTTCCATAGTTATCTATGTTTCTCTCTCTCTCCATAGATATGAGATAGATAAATATAAGTTTTGTTTCTCTGGGGAACTCTAATACAATACCCTTCTTTCAACTTTTCAGTATGTTTGAAATTTTTTCTAATGAAAAGTTAGGGAAAAAATTTAATTCAGATAATTTTTTAAAAACATTCAGGAGTTTTTAAAAACATTTTCCTGATCTAGCCAATGCTGACATTCAGGAGTTAAGTGCGTTATTTTGTAGCTCATAGCTATTCTTCTAGGAGAGAAAATTAGTCTTAATGGAGAATAGTCTGAGGAGCCTAGCCAACTAAAAATAAGCATCACCTGTTAGTTTGCAAATATTTTTGAGAATTTATTGTCTTAGTGGCTATGCTCAGTCCTGGGAAAAGAGTGGTAAGCCACCCAGAAGTAGTCCTTTCTAACTTCTTCCTGTGTCACTGTGTGTCCCATACTTGGCAAGCCAAGTTCATTTGGGTCAAAGTAGAACACATCTAACTAGTTCTTGATTTTAAGAGAATCTACAGGTTTTCTGATCAGGGAGCCTGTATTGATGATATAGCCACTTCGGTGAAAGCCAACAGTGACAGCTTCATATTTCAAAAGTCAGACAACTCCAGTGAACATGATATAAACTCTTTTCTTCCTCTGTTTGTTCCTCTGTGTGGTGTTCCTCACACCAACACAGAACACATTTAGAAAGCTTATTTAAAAACATGTCAAGTTCTCAGAGAGAGAAGAAGAATGGTTACCAGAGGCTGGGAAGGGAAATGGAGGTGGGGTGGGGGAGTGGGGATGGGGATGGTTAATGAGTACAAAAAAACTAGTTGGAAAGAATTAATAAGAGTTACTATTTGATAGCACAACAGGGTGACTATAGTCAATAATAATTGTACATTTTAAATAACAAAAAGCACATGATTGGATTGTTTGTAACACAAAGAATAAATGCTTGAGGGGATGGGTACCCCATTCTCCATGATGTGATTATTACACATTGCATACTTATTTCAAAACATCCCATGTACGTGCACCCCATAAATATATAACCCTACTATGTACCCACAAAAATTAAAAATAAAAAAATTTAAAAATAAGAAAATAAGTTCTGCTTTGGCCATAATAAACATTTATCCTGATGCCTTAAACACTAGACAACTCAGCAGATTACATGAAACTACTGTGCTCAAACACTGGACAGTAGGAAGCACAGTATTTTTATCTATGAAAGAAGAGAAACGAACAAGGCAGATCCTATGATAACCCAGATTTCTGTGTGGGGCACTTTCTAGACCACCCAGCCAGGGAAAAAAATCCCCAGCAAAACATG
The DNA here is from genome assembly GCF_000001405.40 of Homo sapiens. Lineage (NCBI taxonomy): Eukaryota > Metazoa > Chordata > Mammalia > Primates > Hominidae > Homo > Homo sapiens. The sequence continues at coordinate 199,970,233 of NC_000002.12, read as the reverse complement.
ATAAACTTGCTGAATTGAGGAGACAGACATGGAAGGCCATGGAGTCTGAAGAGGCCAGAGGTGTAAGGCAAATGTTCAGACAGGAGCAAGCTATGCGGAACAAAACTTCAGAAGTTTGTATAGTAATTTCCTTGAGTTTTTAGTGAACTCTAAGCTATGAACAAAAGCTATAGAGTGAGACTCTATAAAGTCAAGCAAAGAGTGACTAGAAGCTGTGAAGTGAACAGTTCTCAGAGAGCCTGTAGTGCTGGGAATTCATTTGGGTTCCCTAAGCCAGCATGGAGAGTGCTGTCCTGTTTGATAACTCAGGGCATCCAGTAGAGACCCCATAAATTACTCCATACAAATGGGGCTACACTCTTGGTAGAGTAAAAACTAGTCTAGATAAACCCTAACAAAGCTTAACAATAGCCTCAAAAAAATCAACCTGAACCCCAAATAACCTAACTGGCTACCTAAGAGAACACAGTTCAACATTCTTCTCAAGGCAAATACTACCCAATGATACCCAGATATTCAATGACAGAAAATTCATAAATTCAGTGTCCAATAAAAAATTACTAGACCAGGCCAGGCCTGGTGGCTCACACCTGTAATCCCAGCACTTTGGGAGGCCAAGGCAGGAGGATTGCTCGGTCCAAGAGTTCAAGACCAGTCTGGGCAAAATAGTGAGAACTTGTCCCTATTTATTTTTTAAAAATTACTAGACCAGCCAAAAGCAGGAAAATGTGGCCCATAACCAAAAGAAAAATCACTTACTAGAAAGAGATTTTAAAGAAAGACAACTTTAAAACAACTGTTGGGCCAGGCAGAGTGACTCACACCTGTAATCCCAGCACTTTGGGAGGCAGAGGCAGGCAGATCACTTTAGCTAGAAGTTTGAGGCCAGCCTGGGCAATATAAGGAGACCCCATCTCTACAAAATCTACAATAATTAGCTGGACATGGTGGCATGCACCTTAGTCCCAGCTACTTGGGAGGCTGAGGTCGGAGGATCACTTGAGCCTGGGAAGCAGAGGTTGCAGTGAGCCAAGATCACACCACTGCACTACAGCCTAGGCAACAGAATGAAACCCTGTCTCAAAACAAACAAACAAACAAACAAAAAGCTGTTATAACTATGCCCAGCAAGTTAAAGGAAAACATGAACATAGAGAAGCTATGAGAAAGAATCAAATGGAACATGTAGACATGAAAACTAACACATCTGAAATAAAGCTGACATAATTCCACTCCCACCTTTCACTAACACAACACACTCTTCCTCAAAAATCCCTGTAAGATCAATGGTTTGCTCTGCTTGACAAGACTCCTCCCTTACTAAGGTAATAAATCAATTCAAATTTGGGGTTTTATATTGATTTTCAGTGGTGGTCTCATATTTTGACAACTATGAGGTTCCACCAAGGTTATTTTGATGACTCTAACTTAAAAATAAATAAAGGTGTCCTCATCAGGTCCCTTTGTGTCCAGATTTCATTTATCCTTTGGATTTGTTCCAAGTATATTTGTCTCAATATTGATCTGTACTCTGACTCTCAGTGAGCATGTATTGTTGAGTTTGTTAAATGAGGATTCCTATCAAAATAGTTCTTTGTAGATGGCATTGTCAATATTTTGGCCATTAATTTCATTATTCTTCAAGCGTGTGCTTGTTTTGCTTTAGTGCATCTACTAGTACAGAGTCTTGGCTTAGGACTTTTTTTTTTTCCTGTTTCTTTGTCTTTCATAGTCATTTTATTTCTTGGATATATAAGGGGGTTCTACATAGGGAATGAACAAAGGAATAAGTCCATTCAGCCTCCAATTCAATCCAAGTTGAGTCCAAGGACTATGAATTAGAGGTCCAGTAGACAATGACAAATTCATGATCAAACTTTGCCTTTTGTCCCCTAAACACCTTCATAGGGACACTTCCTCTTTTATCAATTAATGAAAGGCCATTTTGTTTAGTCCATATGCCAGGGTAAAAAATTGTCATGTCATTCATTGCATAGTCCCTTCTTAGCCCCAGTTGGTAGGTAACCCGAGATGCTATTCTTTAGCATATATTTTTGTTTGACTATAATGGCTTCTTTCTTGTTTGTCATGAATTTTTCTAAATTAAAGTCATAACTTCTTACTGGCAGAACTACTTTTTATATGAATTCTCACTAAAATACTAACTCACGTGCTCACCCTAGTACAGCAAAAATATTTTTAACTCAAAGTAGCAATGATTACCTTGGGGGACATTCTGATAGTCAAAATTAATACATTTAAGCAGAGCTCTAGAAAAATGAGGAAAACTAATAATATTCACAATTCAGTAGTCAACTTCTTTGGTGTGTCGAGACCTCAAAACAAACAGTTGATGAGAAGATAGTCTCTTTCAAAGACTCTCTAATTTCCTATCATTCAAGCCTTCTGAAACTATGCTCCGTATATAGATGATATCGAATTCTCATCACTCAGTCATATTCTTTCAATTCCTTCTACTCCTGGTCTCCTAAATGTCTAAATGTGATACCCTTTCCTCAGGACTTTTCTCAGAAAAGGTCATTGTATAGTATTCTCCTTAGACTTGCTAGAACAGAAAGCAGGATCAATAGAAGCTGAATTTAAACCTTGGTCTAGAGCATCAGTAAGACTAACACAAATTCGCTGCAGAATTTGGAATTTTGTTAGATAGACATTATTTTGGACTATTTAATTTATATAGCTTGCTTAATTGCTAGTCTCTCAAAAGGGAAAAATGGTTAAAAGCAGCAGGATGGGAAACACCAGGAGGAGATTTTCATCACTTAGCTGTGTATAAGTGAAGAAAATGGCTTTGAGAGGGAAAATAGATGTATATATAGTACACTATATAGGGACATGCAGTTTTTCCTTTACGGATATGAACAGATTCAACATTGTAAGCAAAGTGAAGACAAATTAATACAAGACTTTAAAGATGGATTTTAGGAAAGTTTCAGTTTGAGTAGACAGTTGGAATAGCCCCAATATATGAAATGAAGGGAACCTTATCTGTCATTGTAATGGGCTGAGACTCAAAACAGGGGTCTTAAACAGCAATTGCACAATGGAATGGAAAATTGCCAGTTTAGGAGAGTTCCAACATGTAGCTGAACATTTTCAATGAGCTTTAAAAAGGAAACTAGCTGAAAATTAAACCAAACTTATCACCCTTCAGATAAAGTAACTGGCTCCAAGTTAAAAATACCAAAAGTCCTCTGTTCTTTAAAAATAAAGAGCCTATGGCTAGGAACACCTGTAGATGTTGTAAGCAGAAAAGCCAGTGAAGGAAACAATGGGCGATATTTTGAACAAAATATGAAAGAAACAGAGTTATCCAAGATTTGTCCCTGCTGTAAGAGAAAACTCAGCACCCAGCAATTTTCTGTCATTCCTCTAAAGTCCCAAGGGGAATTGTCTATAAATACAGATGGACAACAATGCAGCTTTTATGTTACTAAACATGCCGCCTATCTATCATTAATTCTACTTCCGTAGAATATCAGATTGCTCAGAAAAACATTTTAAAGTTGAAGAGCCAGAGGAAAGATGAATTGACTTGTACTACAAGTTCAGAAGAGGGGAAAGGGAGTTTTGTCTTAAAGTGAAAATGTTTGGTTGTGCAATAATGTGAAAGAAAATAGTAACAAGCAAACTTGAGGGTGTATGTAAGTTGTAGAAGGCTTGATGAAAAGTGGACTTTACTTGGCCTTGTTTTACTAAAGCAATTCAGAAGTGGGACTTTCTATCAATCCCAAATCTTTTCACCAGACTCAATATTTAAATGTTACTTTGGGACTACTATGAGAACATTCCTTTCTTCTTTGTGACATAAGTCCTATCTTACATGGAATTTCCAGATAAAATAAAGCAGAAGGGTTATTTTTAAGGCTCCCTAAAATTTTCCCTCATGTATACACTTACTAACTGGTCTATGCATTGGAAAACTTTCACTATATAAAATTCAAGAAATAACTACAGAATTATCTATGGTCCACAGATGAGGTCAGAATATTTGCAATAAAGGCCATAAGAATCCATTGACTCGTTCAAGGTTATCATAAAAGTTCAGTTATATAGGTGTGTGAAAAGATAAAGCTCTTCTCCCTAGGGGCCATAACAGCATGAAAATTGTCAAAGAGCCATTGCATGTTCTCCTTGTTTCAAAGATATGGTAGTCTCAGCTAATTTTGTTAAAACCTTTTCAGATCATCTTTCCCAATCTGTGAACTGCCTTTTAATTATCTTACTGTTGTCTTTCAAAAAGTTTTAATTTTAATAAATTCCAAGTTATAAATTTTTTTTGTTTCATGGTTCATGCATTCTATATCCTAAGAAAATCTTTGCTAATCTCAAGACAGCAAATGTCTATTTTTTTTTTTCTAGAATTTCTAGGTTTAGCTTTTGTTTAGGTCTATCATCCATTTTAAAATCTAAATTTTTCACTAAAATTATGTATGTGATGTAAAAGTCGAGGTTCATTTCTCATATGAATATATACTTATTCCATTTGTTGAAAAGATGCTTTTCCTCTTTGCTTTGGTGCCTTTTTGTTTTGTTTTCTTTTCTTTTTAGACAGGGTCTCACCCTTTTGCCCAGACTGGAGTGCAATCACAGCTCAGTGCAGCCTCAACCTCTCCAGGCTCAGGTGATCCTCCCATCTCAGTCTCCCAAGCACGTGGGACTACAGGCACACACCACCACACACAGCTCATTGTGCCTTTGTCAAAAATCAATTGTCCATATATGCATGGGTCCATTTTTGAACTCTATTCTGTCCATTGGTCCTTAACATTTCTTATAAAACATGTCCATTGGCAATCAATTGTCTCATCTTTTCTCTGAGTCTTCTCACTTTTTGAAGATTTCTGCTGAATATCAAATTCTAGGTAAACCGGTTATTTTTTCAGCACTTTTAAGATAGCATGCCAAGGTCTCTAACTTGCTGTTTAAGAAAAATAGGTAGCTATTCTTATCTTGGTTTCTCTGCATGAATGTACCTTTATTTTTTTCCTCCAGCTGCTTTTGCAACTTTCTCTGGTTTTCAACAATTTCATTATGATGTACCTTGATCAGACTTTTTTCTCTGTGTTACCTTGTTTGTTGAATTTCTTGTAATCTGTGGGCTTATAGTTTTCATCAACTAGGACACTTTTCAGCCATTATTTCTTAACATACTATTTTTGTTTCCACTACTCCAACTTCTAGGACACAAAATACAAGTATATTAGAATAGTTGATATTATCCCATAGGTGGCTAAGACACTGTCCTGTTTTTTTCTCTCTCTTTGTATCTTAGCATGCTTTTAAATTCACTGATTTTCAGTTCTGTAGAGACCTATCTGCTATAATTTCATCTATTCCTTCTTACCTAGCTAGTGACCAAAGAGGCCAAATAGCAGCAGTGATTAAAAAATAAATGAATAAATCTTACACATACTTAAAATAAAGGTATAAGGCCAGGCACAGTGGCTCACGCCTGTAATCTCGGCACTTTGGGAGGCCGAGACGGGCGGATTGCCTGAGGTCAGGAGTTCGAGACCAGCCTGGCTAACATGGTGAAACCCTGTCTCTACTAAAAATACAAAAAAAAATTAGCTGGGCATGGTGGTGCACACCTGTAGTCCCAGCTACAAGGGAGGCTGAGGCAGGAGAATTGCTTCAACCCAGGAGGTGGAGGTTGCAGTGAACTGAGATCATACCACTATACTCCAGCCTGGGCAACAGAGGGAGACTCCGTCAAAAAAAAAAGTGTAAATGTATTAGCCACAAATAAAATATTTAAGAACTATTAATTTAGAAATGTGTAAGTAGGCTGGGTGCAGTGGCTCATGCCTATAATCCTAGCTCTTTGGGAGGCCGAGGCAGAACCACTTGAGGAGTTCAAGACCAGCTGGGCAACATAGTGAAATCTCTATAAAAATTTTTTAAAATTAGCCAGCCATGCTGGTGGATGCCTGTAGTCCCAGCTACTCTGAAGGCTGAGGCAGGGGGATCGCTCAAGCCCAGGAGCTCGACGTTACAGTGAACTATGATCATGCCACTGGACTTCATCCAGGGAGACAGAGCAAGACCCTGTTTCTCAAACAATTTAAAAAATATATAAAGAAATTTGTAAGTAGTTTTTTCAATACCTTCTTTATTATGTCTATAAAATTATATGTAGCATTGGAAATGTTATTGAATATGACACCAACAACGTGCTATTGTATTTTTTAAATTTTGACTTCTTTTAAAGAAGGTGATAACAATCTGTGGAAAATGCTTTTACTGTATCATGCCAATATACTGCAAGGAGTATTTCAAAATAATATAAAAGTAATTCACAGACTTAGATTAAGTGAAGATCAAATGACCCCAAAATTTTTCTTCCTTAGTTTTTCACAGCAACTGCTAAAGTCCATAAGCTGATTTTTCCAAGAAAATTATTCTAATAATTTTGAGTGTTCAATCCGTGCAATGGTCCAGTCAGGCTTTACTCCTTGTGTGAACTCCCTCTGAAACCTAGGAAAGACATTGCAAATAATGTAAATCTTACATCAGTCCAAGTATGTGTTAGATAACTATGTAATTTGCAAGTGTATATTTAGAAGAATTTTTGGCAACAAGATAATGGTTAATATTAAATCAAAATCAAAACAAAAAAAAGTTTAACCTACCCATTCAATCACAATAAATATACCCACAAAATTGAAGTACATTCTCAAGTAATGTAAGTATTTTTAATGGACTAATCTATATTCAACATCTACCAGCCCCTAAGAGAAACTTGGATATATGTGTTATATAAATAACACATATAGCTAGTATGTGTTAAATACTAGCTATAACACATGCCTAATATGAGGACAGATAAACTGGACTCTGGTGATGCAAACAGCACTTTAAATACATAACCTAGGATACAGGCAAAAAGCTATTTTTCAAATAGCACTGTTACCAATTTAGGAATAAATAGTGGAATTTAGTTTACATACATTAAATCAATCTTGAAAATAACAATGTTTATGAAGTACCCATAGTCTTAGTAAGAAACATCAGAAAAGATAAAGTTTAGTATTGACGACAGTGCTCTTTAAAAATTATTTCTTAACAGGCAATTCAGTAGATTTAAATTAAGTATTTAAATATATAGAATATTTTGGGTAATTACAAATAAAGCAAAATTTAAAAAAACACATTTCTTTTAAGAAGAGCAAAAAAAAAATGAGGATATAATTCTCTTTTACCTTAGTAAAACAGAATACATTTTATTTCTTAGGTCATTTTTGGGGTTTGTTATTTTGAAGCAGATTTGTGTAACTCTGGCAACATATTTTTTTAATAAATGTTAAATTATATCTTCACTGACTTGCTCCAGCAGTTCACTGTTCTAGATTTTATTCGCATAAAAATACAATATAATGTCTCTTTTACGTAACTTGCTAACTTCCTACTATACAGTATGTGCTTAAGGGCAGTATCCCTTCAACTTTGTATCTGAACCTCTACCAGAGCATGTGGGCACACAGATGACCAACAGATGTCTAGTGAATAAATTGTTCATGTACCAATTATGGCAGATTTTATTTTCCAAAAATGACCACAACCATATCTCCCCTCCCATGTGCTCTTCTGCTATGTGGCCTTGCTGGTTTTTGCCCCAAAAAATGGGGGAGTCTTTCTACACCCTTTAAACTATACAGATCCTTTGACTGCTTTGACAAGTAGACTATGGCAGAACTGATGTTCTAATTCTGGGCATAGCCCTTTACTGGTTTAGCAGCTTCCATTTTCTGCCTCCTAGAATTCAACCACTATATGAAAGATATGACTAGTCTGAAACTACCACAAGTCCAAGCCACAAAGAGTGGCCCTGGAGAATACAGAGTCATGCAGAAGCCAAGGAGTACCAAGGTGCCACCCATGCGAGTTAAGAAGTCACTGTGGAAATGAATCCTCCAGCTCCTGCCACTCGTGTTGATGCCAGGTGAAGCAGAGAAAACCCCCTAACTGAGCCTATCCAAAATTTCTGAGCAGTGAAATAGCAGGCAAAGTCAATGGCTGTTTGAAGCCAATGAATTTGGGGGTAGTTTGTTAAGCAGCAATAGACAGCTAAAACATCATTTAATTAAATTCAGCAACTTTACCTCTTTCTAATTTCTTAACTCTCCTGTTTCATATCCAGTGTGTCTTTCTGACCTTTTCTCTTCATAAATAACTTGTCAAATTTCAATTCTTTTCTTCCTAAAGATCTCTTAGTTTTCATACCTTCACACTACCTTCCATTTTCTGAAGAAAGGAAACAATGAAATCTGATTAAACTTACTCATAGCTTGCACTAAGAAGTTGTTTAGTTTCCACATTCTGATTCCCCAACTTAACCTGGAATACACTGGCTCCTCTTAAAGTTTCACTGGGGATGTTGGCACTGGTTAGATACCAAAAGCACATCAGGATGTTAACAAACTTCCTTCCTTAGAGAAAAAACATATACACACATACGAATACAAATCAAAATAATCTATCATCCATATAAACAAAATGAAATCAGAAATTGGCAGCAGTTATACAGTTGTTACAGGTCAAATTTTGTGCTTATTCTGATGTGACTTAAAATACTTGTATTGATACTATTTTATTTTTAGAAAATTGTCTTAGGGTTTATGGCATACTTGCCCTCTTCTCTGTATCTCAGTAATAAAACTACTACTTAACTGAGCACGTACTTTACTAAGTATACTACATGGATTATTTTCAATTAGTGGCATTTTCTTTTTCTTTCTCTTTTTTTGACACAGAGTCTCACTCTGTCACCCGGGCTGGGGTGCAGTGGCGCAGTATCGGCTCACTGCAACTTCCGCCTCCCAGGCTCAAGCGATCCTCCCACCTCAGCCTCCTAAGTAGATGGGACCACAGGCACGCACCACCATGCCCGGCTATTTTTTCATATTTTCAGTAGAGACTGGGTCTTGCCATGTTGCCCAGGCTGGTCTTGAACTCTTGAGCTCAAGTGATCCACCTGCCTCAGCCTCCCAAAATGCTAGGATTACAAGTGTGAGCCACCACATCTGGCCAGGCATTTTCTAAGATTATAATAATCTCCTGACAGATACCTGTTGTCAAACCAAAAATGAGGAGAAAAAAAATATTTTTTGCTGCTCAGTAACTATCTTAACTTCAACTGCCAGAAAGAGTAAAGGCTTCCTATTCTACCCAATTCACCTTACTGTGCCTGGTGATTCTGACAAACTCCTGATGCAAAAATTAGTTAGTGACCATGGTGCTGAGATGCAATTTGAAATATTAGGGAAGCGGAAAATATTTATCACTAAAAATATCTTTACAAATATTTCAAAATAATGTGTGCATGAAAAATTTTATCATCACTAAGAGTCTTTTTCTTCCATCTTGGGAAGTGTATAAGCAGAGGCTCCATTTCCTGTGTGGCTGGCACATAATACATATGCAAATAGAGTCATCCCTCAAAATCCACGGAGGATTGGTTCCAGGACCCCCCTGTGGATACCAAAATCCACAGATGCTCAAGTCCTTTATATAAAATGGTGTAGTATTTGCATAACACACATCCTCCAGTATACTTTAAATCATCTCTAGATTATTTATAATACCTAACACAATGTAAATGCTAATGTAAATAGTTGTTATACTGTATTATTGAGGAATAATGACAAGAAAAAAACTGCACATGTTCAAGTACAGATGCAACTATTTTTTTTTAATATTTTTTACCCTAGATTGGTTAAATCTGTGGATGCGAAACCCCCAGATACAGAGGGCCAACTTTGTATGTATCAGGAACAAACAGTGAATTATCAGGAATGCTATAGGGAAAATGTATGCCTCAGACAAGAAGAACCAGATAACCACTAAATTTCCTACCAACTTTTTTCATTATTCTCAAATAGATCCAATTTGGGAGTTCTGCAGTTAACCTTTTCAAATTGTCTTTAGCTGACAATATCTAATTTGATTTTCTTTTACCCCTCATTCCTTCCATATAAAGTGCAGCTTTAAAATACTCAATTGTTTCCTTCAAGTTAGGAAATCTGAAACATAAATATTTTCTATTTGAGACGTGGGAGCCACTCAAACTATTTTCATCAATGTAAGTGATGATGTTCTCTACTGTGAATAAAATAGTAGCAGAAAAAAGTTCTAGATAGAAAGGCTTAAGAAATGATGACCATATCTCAACTCTTTCAGAAGTAGGTCTTTAAAGAATGGATATAACATTTTCTTTGAAGTTCTATAAATACTTGTCCTGACAAAACTCTACTATTTTGTGATTATCCACTAGTTTAGCTTATCTGGACAATTATGGATCATTTCAAGTTGACTATGCTCTGGTATTACCTTTCTCATCATAGTAAATGGAGATGTCTCCTGTTGATGTAAATACAATTTCATCTATGTTAGCAGCAAGGGCATTTTTATGGTTGTCAGGTAGTGAAGTAACCTTTTCTTTCAATGCATGTAGCACCTAAGTTTGAAAAAAGCAAGCCATTAGTTCACTGATACAATTTTTGAAAACTTTCAAAAAGTGATCTTTATCATGGAATACATTTTTCCAAACCTATTTTTAAATTTACTACCGTATTTACTCATCCTCAAAAGCAAGGCTGAAATGTATCTCATTATTCAAGTAGGTAATTCCTAACAGAACATTCCATATAAGAGCAATTGGAAGACATCATGATTACTTCATTATGCCTTAAGTGGCAGGAGTTATTCCATGCTTTTATATGACCCAAAGTACCCATAAGAACAGATACACAGACTCTACTTTGGATGCTGGCACACACACTATTTTTAAGCATAAATAAGGAAAATGTGCATCATTCTATTGCAAGAGAATAGCATTTATTTTTAAAGCAAAATGTAAAATATACTTTACCTCTTTGGCCACAAGTTCTTCCAACAGATCAAATTTACACTGTGACAGCAACTTGGATACATGAGCAAAAGCCTTGAAAAAAATATTAAGGGAAGTGTGGGGATTATTATTTCAAAATACCATACCATGTTCATATTTAAATGGCTAAGTGTAATACAGACTATTTTATGGTAATAGTGATAAACAACATCAAATATTAATTTATCAAGGCATGACTCTTGGTTGACTTTTCATATATGGCCTTCCCACATATATAGCAGTAAGTGACTTGACCTTTAATTCTGGATCCACTCTCAGGACCGGGAAATGATAGTGTGTGGTGTACAATCTAGATGTCTCAATAAAAATCCTCCTTTATATTTCTTTTTAAAATGATGAAGTAAACAATCATTTGGCAGTTATATGACCTACCTCTTAATCATGCATAGATAGCAGTTGGAAAGGAGAACAGTCGAGACTGCATTGGGAGTCTGGAAATCTGGGCTGTAGTCTGAATCTCAGTATGGGAGATAATGTAGGTTTGGGAAAGTGGGAGAGAAGGTCATTAGTTTATGTGGTCTAAAACAGTAGATCCTAACTTTGAAGTATGAAATTCCATTTTCAAGGAGGGAAAAACCCAACTGCAATTCTCCTCACTGCTAGCAATGAGAAAGCAAACTGTGAGTTAAGATCCTACCTGTCTTCAGGGAACTTTCAGTCTACATGGGAAAAGGACAAGTAAACTGACAAGTTGAAGAATTTTGACAGGGATAAGAACAGGATGACTTGGGAGCATACAGAAGAGCCTTCTAACCCAATCTGGGAGGATCAGAGAGGGCTTCCTAAAGGAAGAAACATCTAAGCTGAAATCTAGGCTGCCAGAGGATGCACAGGCATGTCAGATATGGCATGTCAGAGAATACTGCCTAACTGTTATAGGATGAATTGTGCTCTCCTTCCCCGAAAATTTATGCTGAAGCTCTAACCCCCAGAACCTTGAAATGTGACTATATTTGGAGATAAAGCCTTAAAGAGATGATTAAGTTAAATGAGACCATCAGGGTGGGCCAAAATCCAATCTGACTGGCATCCTTATAAGAGGAGCAAATGTGGAGTAAGAGCCACCAGGAGCACGCATGCACAGGGAGGACCATGCAAGGACACAGCAAGAAGACGGCCATCTGTAAGCTGAGAGAGGCCTCAGGAGAAAACAACCCCTCCGACACCTTGATACTGAAATTCAGGTTGTTTGCTTTATATAAGCAACAATGCTTACAGGCTGGCTGATGAATGGGGTGGAAATACTGCTTAATAGCAAGGAAGGAGGTGAAAATAGCTAACAGCTGGAGGACCACTAGGACTGGAGTGACCCCAAAAATGCTGCATGCTCCTCTGTGTGTTCAGAGGAAACAAGTACTGAGGCCTGATGCCTGCCCATGGTGGGGAGATGATTTCCATTCCTTACTGAAACATAAATGAACTGGTACCATCATATGTGTTATGAGGTGGACAAGCTCATATATCATCAGTGGGCATTGTACAGAACAGTAGGATCAATACAACTTACCACTGCATGGACAAAAGACTTTGAGAACTGACAAGAGCAGAGGTTTATCAATTATAATGCTGAGTTAAGCATCTTAATCAAGTTTGTTCTTTGACTTTTTTTATATAAATATATATAGTAGTCAAGAGTTGACTCAGAGAAGCAGGCAGCAGGAGTTAATACTGACACTTATTAAACAAAGTTGAAAACATTTGATTTACAACTGATTGGTCTTATAAATACAAATGGCCATGATTATGGAAAGAATCTGAAATAAATTTGGAGTAAAATATCAATACCAGTATACAACCAATACTGTAAAATGATTACACCAATAGCATGGTTTTAAGGCATATGGAGGTATGAAGCGGGAAATAAACTTTCTGACTTCTATTGTGGTTTTTTTGTTTGTTTTTGTTTTTTGAGACGGAGTCTCGCTCTGTCACCCAGGCTGGAGTGCAGTGGCGCAATCTTGGTTCACTGCAACCTCCACCTCCCGGGTTCATGCAATTCTCCTGCCTCAGCCTCCAGAGTAGGTGGGACTACAGGGGCTCGCCACGCCTAATTTTTGTATTTTTAGAAGAGACACTGTTTCACCATATTGGCCAGGCTGGTCTCGAACTCCTGACCTTGTGATCCACCTGCCTCGGCCTCCCAAAGTACTGGGATTACAGGCGTGAGCCGCCATGCCTGGCCGACTTCTATTGTTATCAGCAGTTCTGCAATGTTTGGGAACGATACAATCTGTAAAGGAGTCCAAAAAAAAAAAAAAAAAGCATGTACCCACAAAATCTACAAATAATCTCAGGACCCAAGTGACCATATGTCACAAGGGTAAGGCAAGGTATAATCAGCCATTCAGAAACAGGTACGTAACTAACAAAGTCAGGGATAAGAATCTCTAAAGGCTAAATATTTTCTGTGTGCAGGGTGCTGTGCACTTAGCCACCAGGCAGTCTCAGCAAATCCTTTGAAAGGGTAAAATTGCTCATCTCCAGTTTAATCTTTACGGAGTATGGGGTGGTGTATTGGTCGGCTCTGTCTAATAGCTGGCAGGAAGTTCTGCTCTTCTACCCAAGGTGACATTACAGCACTTTGGAAATGTTATCTCAATTATTCTTCAATCTTACCCATTTATTAATGTATTCAGCAAACATTCATGGAGTGCCTACTATGTGCCAGGCATTGTCTTGCCCACTTTGTAAATTTGAAAATTATGTTCAGACAAGATGAGCCATATAGCTTTTTCTTTCTGAGACAGGGCCTGGCTCTGTATCCCAGGCTGGAGTGCAATGGCACGATCACAGCTCACTACAACGTCCAACTCCTGGGTTCAAGCGATCCTCCCCTTCAGCCTCCCAAGTAGCTGAGACTACAGGCGTGTACCACCATTCCCGGCCCAGAAGCTTACTTTAAGTCAAGCAATGGCTGGAAGGCTCTATGTCTGGGCCACTAATCACGTTTGATCACTTGTATCCCAGTGAAGAAAACTCACTGCTAAGCACTTCTGCGAGCAATAGTTGAACTCATTAGAGACGGATAGGTCAATCAGGGAAATAAACAAACCTGCTTCGCTCCCTCGGAGAACTCTGTGATGCTGAACTCTTTGTCGAAATAGGCCCAGATAAGGAAGGCCTTAATTCGAGTCCTAACCCAGTTGATGGGGTTGGAGAATCCCAGGACGATCATCTTGGTTTTCTGGTGCTGCTGGGGCTTCTCCTCCGTGCTGTAGCTGCGCTGAGGGCAGGCAGGGAAAGAAGCGAAGGCTGCGGGGAGTCCCGGGCTGCTGAGCACTGGCCACCGGGAGCCCTGGGCAGGTAGCGCCGAGGCTGCCAAGGCCCTAGCGCTTCGTGGAAATAACGCCGCTCCCAAGCCGAGGCGACAGCGGCAGAAGTAGCAAAGTGTGGCCGACGGCAGCCTCACCTCGGCCACAGCAGGAGTCCGGAGTCGGACGGCCCCGCAGGGCAGCGACCGAGAGTGCAGGAACTGGGGTAGCAAACGAGCGGCCAGCGCCATTTTTATGACCCTTCACACCGGTGCCTGCCGGTGCTGTATGGAAAGGAAGTCGGTGGGAAACCGCCTCAGCGGTGTCGGAGAAAGAGACTGGAGAGCAAAGTGGACCTGTTGCTGCAGCCTCTGGTGAGTCGGCCCCGTCCCCGCTCTCCAGCACGCAGCCCAGGCCGAGGCCCTTCGGCAACCCGCCCCGCGCTCGGACCCAGCCACTCTGGAGTCTGCCGGCCTCGCGGACCTTTTCTCTGTCGCTCGTGTTTCCGGGCGGATGGCGCTGAGGAACGCTTTAGAGCCGAAGTTCCGAAGACCTGGAAGAGGGCAGGCGTGAGCAACCATGGCCGGGCAGCACCTCCCGGTACCCCGGCTGGAGGGCGTTTCTCGGGAGCAGTTCATGCAGCACCTCTACCCACAGGTGAGGCCCTCGCGCGGGGCAGAACCTCGAGAAACCAGCGAGAGACACGTCTTTACCTTTCGGACAGCTGGGAACTGGTTTTTAGAGACCCAGGGTGTGGGAAAGAGGCGCAGGACGGCAGCAGATCACTGGTTGGCCCTTAGACCAAGGGAAAGGTGCACGGGGGACGCCGACTGGCTCCTCTATTGAAATTTCCGGAGAAAGTCCCATGTTTCTGGGGAGCAAGATGATGGCGGAGAGCTGAGTGCGAGAGGTATTTTGCCTAAACTCTTTACTCCGCATCTGTCAGTCTGCTCCGAATTAATGGATTTGAAGGCACAACTTTTCACTCCACTGAGCCAAAAAGGAAAGCAATGGGATTCCCCCGGAAAACTCCTACTCGTCTTGAATTCTAACTTACTTAGGTTCTAGTTCCGACATTGGAGTCTTTTATACCTGTAGTTAGAACCTTAGGTCTTTAAAAGAAAACTCATAGAGAAATATTAGGGAAACAAAAAGTGCTTTTACTTGCAGTGCTTTTCAAGGGAGTCCAGACCTAAGAAAAACAAGGTATTAAAAGGAAAAATCCACAGGATTACAGTAAGTCAGTTTATGGTAGGAAAAATACCCAGCAATTTTCTTACCTGATATTTACATTTATAAGGGTGGTCATAGAATTACAGTTCTGGGGCCGGGCGCGGTGGCTCACGCCTGTAATCCCAGCACTTTGCGAGGCCGAGGCGGACGGATCACCGGAGGTCAGGAGTTCAAGACCAGCCAGTAGAAATCCCATCTCTACTAAAAATACAAAATTAGCCGGGCATGGTGGTGGCCCATACCTGTAATCCCAGCTACTCGGGAGGCTGAGGCAGGAGAATCGCTTGAACCCGGGAGGCGGAGGTTGCAGTGAGCCGAGATCGCGCCACTGCACTCCAGCCTGGGCAACAAGAGCTAAACTCGGTCTCAAACAAACAAACAAAACTACAATTCTGAGTGTTACAAAAGTCGGATGGGCTGGGCGCCGTGGTTCATGCCAGTAATCCTAACATTTTGGGAGGCCCAGGTCGGTGGATCACTTGAGGTCAGGAGTTCAAGACCAGCCTGGCCAATATGGTGAATCCCCGTCTGTACAAAAAATACAAAAATTAGCCGGGCGTGGTGGCGCACGCCTGTATTCCCAGCTACTCTGGAGGCTGAGGTCGGAGGATCTGCTTGAGCCCGGGAGGTCGAGGCTGCAGTGATCCATGATCCTGCCACTGCTCCAGCATGGGCGAGAGGGTGAGACCCTAGCTTAAAAAAAAAAAAGGCGGGGTTGGGGGGATGCGGGAGGAATGAAGTTTTTCTTTTGATAGCAACCTACGGGAGAGGATTCAAGCCTTTATTAGTTTGGAGACTTGTACTAGATGGGTTGTTCTTGCTCTCCCTGTCCTTAGACACCCCCTATCTCAGAATGTGCTAGACGTAAGTTGCCTAAAGGGCAGTGTTGTGAAGATTAGGGTATGTGGAAGTGCTTTGTAAGAGTCATAGCAAAAGGTATTTTGTAATTTAATCTCTTCAGACAAGACATACAGCACAAAGCATCATTACATTTTAAAAAGTCGAAAATTACAAACAACTTTCTCTGGCCATGGGCAGTAAAACTAGAAATTAATAACAAAATTGGAAAAAAAGACCTTTCTATCTGGAAACACTAAAAAGTATGAGGGGGCATAGTGCTATGAGTTTTTTGTTAAACATTTTCTAATAACTCCATAATTAACACTGTATATTGTACAGGTACATGAATAGATAGACCAAGGGAATAGAATAGAAAGTGCAGAAATACCTATTCCTATGGAAATTTAGTGTATAATAAGCATGACATTTCAAAAATCAATAAGGCACAAAATGACTTTTTAAAAAATAGACTGTTTTTTCGAGGCTTTATAGGTTCACAGCACAATTGACCAAAGGTACAGAGATTTCTCATGTCCTTTCTGCCCTGACACATGGATAGCCTCCTCCATGATCAACATCCCCTCATTAGAGTGGTATATTTGTTACAATTGATAAACCTACATTGGCACATCATTTTCTTTTTCTTTTTTTTTGAAATGGAGTTTTGCTCTTATCGCCCAGGCTGGAGTACAGTGGCACAGTCTCGGCTCACGTTAACCTCTGCCTTCAGGGTTCAAGCGATTCTCCTGCCTCAGCCTCCTGAGTAGCCAGGACTACAGGCACCCGCCCCGACGTCCGGCTAATTTTTGTATTTTTTAGTAGAGGCGGAGTTTCGCCATGTTGGCCAGGCTGGTCTCAAACTCCTGACCTCAGGTGATCCGCCCATCTCAGCTTCCCAAAGTGCTGGGATTACAGGCGTGAGCCACCGCGCCCAGCCTGGCACATCATTTTCACCCAAAATTCATAGTTTATATTAGGGTATACTATTGATATTGTACATTCTATGGGTTTGGGCAAATTTATAATGAAATGAATCCACCATTATGGTATTATACAGAGGAGTTTCACTTAGAAAATGATAAAATTCGGTTTATATCTCACACTGTACACAAGAATAAACTCCAAGTGGATCAGAAAAATGTAAAGAAATGAAACTACACAAGTTGTGAGTACACTCGGCAATACAAAACAAAATGAAGCTACACAAGTGCTAGTAGAAAATATGGGTAAATTCCCCTATAATCTAGGTCTATGGAAGGCATTTCTAGCTATGACTCAAAATTCAGGTGTAATATTAGATTAAAATTTGACTGCATGAAACATTTGTATGCCAGAAACACTGTAAGCAAATTTGAAAGACAAATACAAAGTGGGAGAAAATATTTGCAACATTTATCTCATATAAAGGACAGTAAAAGCCCTTGTATGGAAAGAACTTTCAAAAGGGGGTAAAAGGCTGAAAATCTGGTAGAAAAATGAGCAAACGATTGAGGGGGGAAAAAACATTAAAATGGCCTTTAAACTAGGAAGTTTAAGTTTACTCATAAGAGAAATAAAGCTACACTGAGATACAACTTCTTATATATCATATTGGCAAAAATTTAAAAAGCTCTGGTAATACTCTCTTGGTGATGCCCTGAAGAAACTGGCATACTCAAATTTTATACCAAATGGTACAACTCTGTTGGCATATCTAACTATGTTCACTTTATGACCCAGTAATTCCTCATTTAGGAATTTATTCTGGAGATATACCTCCAAAAATGTGTAAATATTTACGTAGTGTTACTGTACTTGCAAATTATTGGAAATAACCTAAATGCTTATGCAGGCGAGAATAATTGAATAAATTATGGCCCATTTACACTGAGGTATACTAAGATGTAAAAAAGAATAAAGGCGATATCTGAACTGATAAGTGGTGATTTCTAGGATATATTTATGATTTTTTTTTTTTTTTGAGACGGAGTCTTGCTCTGTCACCCAGGCTGGAGTGCAGTGGCACGATCTCAGCTCACTGCAAGCTCCGTCTCCCGGGTTCATGCCATTCTCCTGCCTCAGCCTCCTGAGTAGCTGGGACTACAGGTGCCCGCCACCACACCCGGCTAATTTTTTTGTATTTTTAGTAGAGATGGGGTTTCACTGTGTTAGCCAGGATGGTCTCGATCTCCTGACTTTGTGATCCGCCTGCCTCGGCCTCCCAAAGTGCTGGGATTACAAGCGTGAGCCACTGCACCCAGCCATATATTTATGAATTTTTTAAAAAGCACACAACAGAAGAAAATATATGGTAAGCTACTATTTATGTAAAAAACAAGGGGAAGAGATAATGAAATATATGTTTTTGATCACTTTGCAAAAAAGAAAGGAATAAGCCAAAAATTAATGAGATCAGTTATGCATAGGGGATGTGTGAGTATGAAATGGAAGAATGTGGATGGGGTGACTTTTGTATAGTTTTGATTTGGGGAATCACATGGATGTTTTACATTCTAAAGTCATAATAATAAAATCAACAAGGATGAAAAATTATTTTTTAAAAGACCCTAATATAGAATATAAAAAGTAACACATGAATCTGTTTAAGTGGGAGAGGGAGAAGTTACCCAAGTCACTTTTTTTAAACACAATACTTTAATTATATGTCCTCAATCTAAGACACAAAAAACTGAAAACAAACTGAATTCTAGTTAGTACAGTAAGTCCTCATTTAACGTTCTCAGTAGGTTCTTGGAAGCTGCAACTTTAAGGGAAATGACCTATAATGAAACCAGTTTTACCACAGGCTAATTGATACAAACAAGAGTTAAGTTCCAGTGGCATATTTCTGGTCACAAAAATATCACCAAACTTGTAAATAAAGACCCAAAACATTTCTAATCTTAAACATTGAAATAAACATGAGCTACATGTACATTTAAGAAGGATTAATAAAAGTAAATAATTACTCAATTTTTGGTGAATTGTTATGTGACAGTGGTCATAGTAGTGGTGGGTTAAATCAAGGAATAAATGTTTACAAATGGAAAATTGTAAGGAGCTCCTCCTACCACTGAACAGTTCAAAACAAGTGTGACAGGTTTGCTGATTGCTTTCATACCCCCTTGTTTATTGTGCACTTGTATGATTATCATATGCTTTACAAATTTTTGTTTTACATACTTTGTATTCACTCCTTTCTTCATTTTCCAACCTGCTTATTTCAGTTCAGGGTCACAGGTGGCCAGAGTCTCTCCTGGCAGCTCAGGGCACAAGGTAGGAACCAATCCTGGACAAGATACCATCCCATCTCAGGGCACGCGCACGTGCACATACACACACACATACACACACACAGACCCACATGCACTCACTCATACTGGGACCATTTAGACATGCCAGTGTACCTAATGTGCACATCTTGGGGTTGTGGGAGGAAACCAGAGTACCCGGGGAAGACCCACAGAGATGTGAGGAGAATGCAAAAACTCTACTCGGAGGGGGGCCCTGGCTAGGAATTGATTTTTTTTCTCATCTGTGTTATAACTTTATTTGAGGACCTGTTGTAGACATGTTTTTTACAGTGGTGTGACCTAACAGTGGCAAAAGCAAATTCTGTGAATTCTTTACTTCTTGTGAATTCTGGGATTTTGCAAGTCATTAAACATTGAGGATAATGGGAACTAGGTTTCCCACTGCTGAAAATGGGAATTACAAATTCAGTAGATTATAATGAACCTTGAAATGTTTATGGTTCATACGTACACCTGTTAGGTATATGTGTGTGTGCATGTATTATATATATGGACATATATGGAGAGAGAGCTGAATAGAATAGGTATATGCATATATGGGGTGTACGTGTATATATATTTGTGCGATATACATAGACCCTCACATATATCCTAACTGTGTCCACTGAGAAGAAACCAGAACTACTTTAAGAAATGACTGATCACAGGGCTGGGCAGAGAAAGTATAAAAGACGTCGGGTTCTTTTTTTTTGCCATAATGTAAGGAAGTGCCCCAGTTAAAAAGTCACAAGAAGCATCTTGAAGGGGCTTACTGGCCAAATCTGGGATAATTTGGGTATCAAAATTATACCACTAGATACCACTAGATTATTACCCAGTAAATAAAATAATTCAGTGGAGAATTTAGAGCTCATTTCGATATTAGGATGCCAACTAATAAATGTAGAAGAAATGATGGAGTTTAGAAAAATCACTGTTTTTTGCACTCATCATAGCAAAACATCGTGTGCTACCTGATGTGGCATGCTGAGAAGGCGACACCATTCCTTTTGTGGTACATTCCTTCTCCAAAATGTGTAACTTGAGTCTAATTATGAAGAAACTTAAGATAAACCCAAATTGAAAAGTTTTCTACAAAATAGCTGGCCTATACTCTTCCAAAATGTCAAAGTCATAGAAGGTAAAGAGGCTGATGATTAAACATTTCAGATTAAAAGAGACATAGCAACTGAATGCAGTGTGACATCTCAGATTGAATTCTGGGTTAGGAAAAAATAAAGCAAAGGAAATCATTGGGACAATTAGCAAAATTTGAGTATGGACTGTAGATTAGATAATAGTATTATGTCAGTGTTTTGTTTTTTGTTTTTTTGTGTGTGATGGAGTTTCACTCTGTCGCCCAGGCTGGAGTACAATGGTGCGACCTCAGCTCACTGCAACCTCCGCCTCCTAGGTTCAAGCAATTCTTCCATCTCAGCCTCCCGAGTAGCTGGGATTACAGACATGCACCACACTTCAAATTTTCTTTTTCTTATTTTTTTTTTAATTTTTAGTAGAGATGGGGTTTCGCCATGTTGCCCAAGCTGGTCTCCAACTCCTGACCTCAAGTGATCCACCCTTGGCCTCCCAAAGTGTTGGGATTACAAGCGTGAGCCACTGTGCCCAGCCTACATCAGTGTTAAATATAATTTTGGTAATTATTCTGTGGTTATATAAGAAGATGTCTTTGTTCTCAGAAAATATACTTAAGTTTTTAGAGATAAGGACCATGGTGTCAGCAATTTAACCTTGAAATGGTTCCAAAAAACAAAATTATGCTTAATTTAATTTCAATTAATAATAATATGTCCTTCTCTTGAAAGTAAGAACAAATCATAAAGCAAATGTGCAAAATGTTAACAGTTGGTGAATCGGGGTAAAGCGTTTACGGAAATTCTTTGTAGTGCTCTTAAAACTTTTTTATAAGTTTGAAATGACATCAAAATTAAAAGTTACAAAAATATTTGACTATAAAGTACAAATTTTAGTCATTATATATTGATGGTCTTGCAGTTTTGTTTTGTTTTTCTAATCTTAAAATTTTGTTCTAGATATTTCATATGGCCCCTCTTCTTGTTTTAGTGACAGCATGAACTGTCAGAAGCTTTGAGTTCAAGCATCTTGGGAGCAAGAGTCAGATCTTACTTGTTTTTGTCTCCCTGTTGCCAAATACAGCTCTTGATGTGTTGTTGGTTTTCATGAATTTTGTTGTATTTCTTTCCCCACTTACAGAGAAAACCTCTTGTGTTGGAAGGGATTGATTTGGGGCCATGTACAAGCAAATGGACAGTGGATTACCTAAGCCAAGTTGGAGGGAAGAAAGAAGTAAAGATTCATGTTGCTGCAGTTGCACAGATGGACTTCATTAGTAAGAACTTTGTATATAGGTATTTTCTTCTGAGGTTTACTCTGGGGATACAAATAACTTTTTAAAAACTTTTAAAATATTTTTGCATTATTATACAAAGACCATATGGCATTTCATCTTTTGGCTGGTTTGATGTAATCATGGAATAGCTTACTGATTTTTAAAGAGTGGTTTTTAAAAGACAAGAGTTCTGAGTTTACATAATTATACAGTGACAATTTTTTATTTTATTTTTTATTTTTTTTGAGACAGAGTTTTACTGCGCCACCCAGGCTGGAGTGCAGGTGTGTGATTTTGGCTCACTGCAACCTCTGCCTCCTGGGTTCAAGTGATACTCCTGCCTCAGCCTCCCGAGTAGCTGGGATTACAGGCACATGCCACTATGCCTAGCTAACTTTTGTATTTTTAGTAGAGACAGGGTTTCACCATGTTGGCCGGGCTGGTCTCAAACTCTTGGCCTCAAGTCATCCACCTGCCTCAGCCTCCCAAAGTGCTGGGATTACAGGCATGAGCCACCATGCCTGGCCAACAATTTTTTAAATAGGGTATATACCCAATACCTTCTGGAGTCATGGAAGGAAGATAAAATTTCTGTAACTAGGGTTAGATTTCATACGAAGTTGGATGTGCCATACTCATTCAATGCTTGATTAATTAGTTGATCCTACCACATTAGTAACTGTTATCTAGAATAGGAAATTCTAAAAGGCTCATGTTTTCTTTTTCTGTCCTCTCCAGAAAACCAGGACAAGCTATGTTTGGTATAATCTTTCATCATCTTAGATAACTTTTAAAAATCATACTTAATTTTCCCTTTTGATAAAATAGTCTTAAATACCTTTAATTTCTCCCATGATGGTTATTTTATGCTGTGGAATTTCTTAAAAGTAAATAAGAAATAGTCAAAAGCTGCTGATTGTCTAAAGATGAAAGTTTTAAATGCTGTCATCTTGCAGATTTCATTTGCTATTTATTCCCATGAGTTTCATTTAAATTGTTAAATTAAAAACAAACAGCTCTCAAACTCTGAGCATGTGAAGTTCCCAGCAAAATCAGTCTATTGAAAAACCATGTAGTTCACAAGACTTCAATTTAGAGATGAGTTAAATAGAGCTTCTAATGTCCACAGCCATTCCTTTCTCATTAGAGTTTTCCAAGTTCATATAGCAGCTGCCAAAGCATTCCTCAGTTTTTAATCCTTTGAATATTCACCATAATGGTTTTAGTTATTAATAGTCCATGAATTGAATTTAATTGCCTTAAGTTTTTCCAAGTGTAGGAACTTTTCATTTTTTATCAAATTAAAAATGCCAGAATGATGAGTGTTTTTCAGCTGGCAGTTAATGATGTTTATTTTCCAGGGAGTCCAATGCCATAACAAATGAGTACTGAAACTTCATCTTGAATTGCCTTGATGTTTTGTCATGTCTTTTTAAACTTTTCAAAAGTTGTTTTTGAAGCACATACATTATGTAATAGTTCCTATCACAGCTTCCTCCAAGCCTTTCACTAGAGCTACTAAAAAGTTGCAAGATTATTTTTTTTAGTGCAACCAAAAAAATAGGTTTAGTCATTTTTAGCATTTACCAGGCAGTAAGAAAGAAGGAATGCATCCAGGCCAAAGAGAGACTAGAAAGTAAGAAACCCTGCACACACATGTATATTATTATTATCACTTCAAATTGAGGTTGCTTTTATGCCTTATCAAACATTGGAAGATTGATACGTTAACAGGTATGAACTTTTACTTCTTTCTTATTGGTAGTGCTCATTGTTCAGAGTCAGGAGAGTCTGGACAAAAGAACCTTGTGTGGTGAAAGGATATTGTTGGCATTCTTCTGATCATAGATTTTTTTAAAAAGTCTCATCATGTAAGGTTTGCCACATCTTCCTGTCACATCCTGTAATTCCTGTCATCATCTTGCTCTTGTTTATTGTACTCTCATCAGTTCTGATCTTGATTTTGTAAAGCAGCCTTTTCCAAATGGGGAACAAGACAGTGAAGGGCTTTCTTCTTCTTTTTTAAAATGTTGATGACTACTTGCGTGCTGCAAAAGGGTACATTATCATTGTTGTTAACCCCACCATCTGTCCTTTACTGAGTACTTATTATATATCAGCTACTGTGCCAAGCAATCTAGGTTATATTACTCATTTAAACTTCAGAACAATCTGTGAGGTAGATATTTTTAATAATAATTTCACAGATGAGGAAAGAGAGGTTTAAAAATATTAAGTAACTTCTCCAGGATCACATAGCTTGAAGTGATGGAACCCAAGGTGTTTACTCTAATTTCCCTGACTCCACGGAGCCCATGATTAAGCCTTCTTTGACATTACCCTCCTTACTGGTGCTGCCAGTCCAGACAAATGGCCCTTTAATAACCAATGCCCTTGTTTTTGAAACATGGATAGGATAGATTTTTAAAAAGCCAAAGAACTTCCCAATTTACATACCTAATTTCTCCCCCATCTGGGCTTAGTAGAAGCTATGACAGGTACCATTACCTAGGAGAAAAGGTTGCTGGTGACACCCCAGTTCTGCTTATCTGGGCTGAGCTACTCTGTCTGCTCTTTCAGGGTCACTGTTCTGTTCTGTTTTTCTAAAGGTCTTGAAACACTTTTGTGTTATTCCTGGTAAGAAAGCTAAGCCTGGTTAAATGCAGCAATTACAGTAGTGGCTATGGTCCAGATAAACTTCCCCACTGGCCCAGACTCTTCAAAGATGCTTTGAAGAATGAAAGCAAGAAGGAATGAAGGGTATATGGTGAGGTCAGAGATGGGAAACACTGAGTAGGAGAATGCCAAGTAAATTTGTTGATATTAGTTAGTCAGACACTATCTATAGTCAAAGAAATAGTACTCTGCATTGGTCTGAGTAGATGGCAGACCCCTCTTTTCTCTCCTGCAGTGCTCACTCTACATAATTACCAGCAGTGGCCTCAAGTTCAGACTGACATACAGAGCACCCACCAATCCATAACCTGGCTTCAGATTCCCTTAGCTTTTTGCGGGAGGATATAAGGCAGGAAACGGCATTCTAGCAGGGTAGTATCAGTGGAGTCTTTATACAAATCCAGGGAATATTTGTTTTACTCATCAAGTTACAGCTTAGTTGTAAGGGAATGAGACAATGGAGGTAGTATAGAAACACCTGAGCTTAGGTAAGACATATGGTCCATAGAAACCGGTAGCTTGAAACACCCCATGAACTTAGCTTCTGCGTTCCTCCAAGGGCCATACTCAGTTAGGAGAGTTGCACTACACACAGGAAAGCCAAATCATCTGCTTCTGAACAAGTATTTGTAGTCCACTTATAGGCCACCTGGTGCAAACATAATTCATCTATCAGGTTATTTTTATGATAAACAGTGTTACCTGATATCACAACTGACATTCCACATTTATCTTTAATTTTTTTTATTCAACATAATTCATGGGTTCACACCATGTTTGTGTTTACCCAGTATATTTCTGGGAAAACAGTGCAAGGAGAAAGTAAGCTGGCCCAAGGTCATCTTCTCATAGAGAAGGAGAAAGTATTTAACCTTTTCTTTCGACTTTCTCAGTACAGAGTTCAAGTGGGAAGATATTTAGTAGTAAGAGTGAAAAGATTACAGCTTTTAATCAGAAGTTTGGAGGCAGGAGTGTAGTGGGGGTAGCAGAGGAGAGGATTTTGACCTAGAGGCTTTTGAGGACTTCATTGTCTTGTTACTTATACAGTATCACCATCATTTATAGAGCAGTACTTTTGATTCTAGAGAGTAAAGGAATAGATGCAATCTGGAGTAAGAATATCCTTCTAGCTCAAGAGTGTGATGTAAAGGAAACAAATTTTGCTTCCACAGTGTTCAGCCCTGTTCATCAGGATGGAAGGAGACAGGCATTTGGGCAGAAATTTTGAAGAATAAAAATTGGTCACTTCACTGGAATTCTCCTTGAGCTATTCTTCAGAAGCCTTAAAATGATAGAGGGTGGTGCAGCAGGATGAGAGCAGTGTTACTGGCTTCTGTGTTCTGTGATATGCCAAAAGGCAGGAATATGGGGGGTGGTTATCTTCATGGGACCATTTGTGTACTGTCTCTTCCAAAGTAGCACTAGTAGTTTGCCCCACTCTTCACAAGATTTGTTTTGCCATGCCACTTAAAAACAGGTAGCAATCAGAACCTGAAAGTCTGTGTATTTACAAAGGTAATCAGATACCATAGAAACATTTTTCTGTCATAACTTGGAATAGAATATTGATCTATTGAAAGATTCATCTGTATCATAGATTTTGAAATATTTAATTCCAAAATTTCAGACAACTTAGATCAAGTAAACATACTGCTCAATAAGTTTTGAAAAGTTAGAATTTCACATAATAGGTTATAATAAAAATTACAGATATTATAAAACAGGAGATTATATCCAACTCCAGCAAGCCTTTATGTATAGTGATTAGATTCTTACTAGTTGATCTGTTATTATTAAGTCCAAGGATTCCTTTGTGTTTATTTCAGAACTTTACCTTTTGACCAGTTGGTCCAGAGGGCAGCTGAAGAGAAACATAAAGAATTCTTTGTTTCAGAGGTAATTGCTTTTAACATTTTTAAAAGAAGGCATTAATATCTATATACTAAATGGATTTTCTTATGAAAGAATAGTAGATACACAAGAGCAACAGCCGTCTCTGATAGACATTCGTAAGATTTGGTTGGATGCACCACAGACTGTAGCTCTGCTATTTATTAGCTCTCAAACTTTGGCCAAATTATTTTTCTGTACTTCAGTATACTCATCTGTGAAATGGGGGTGATAATAGTACCTATTTTATAAAGTGTTTGTGAGGATTAACTAAATAAAATAGTAAAATACTTAGCAGTGTGCCTGATGTATAGAAATTACGCATTAAATGTTAGCTATTAATGTTACGTCCTTTTAAAATGCTTTGGTCTGATATGCCAACTTCAAATGCTAATGGAAAACTTCATTTTCATATCTATTGACTATTAGACTGTTTCTGTATTCTTGTTATCAATGTGATTTCTATTGTGTATATTTGCTGTAATATTTGTTCAGGATTAAATGCGGAAGAATTCTACTTAATTATAGTCTAGCTTTAAATAATTCAATTTAAATACCTTGAGATAAGGCATCAAGGCCTTGTATATAAATATGTTTTTAAAAATTTCCTGTGTTGGTCGAGCGCAATGGCTCACGCCTGTAATCCCAGCACTTTGGGAGACCAAGGCGGGTGGATCACCTGAGATCGGGAGTTCGAGACCAGCCTGACCAACATGGAGAAACCCAGTCTCTACTAAAAATACAAAATTAGCTGGGCATGATGGTGCATGCCTGTAATCCCAGCTACTCAGGAGGCTGAGGCAGGCGAATCACTTGAACCCAGGTAGCGGAGGTTGCAGTGAGCTAGATTGCGCCATTGCACTCTAGCCTGGGCAACAAGAGCATAACTGTCCAAAAAAAAAAAAAATTCACTGTGTTATTCAAAAGCACATTTTAAAAACAAATTGCTTTTTAATCTTTGAATGAAGCTGTTTTCTGCATTTGAGCCAGCTGGGCTGGGGAGTTTGGTTCTAAAAGGTGCTGCATTTTTACAGTCCTCTTGTCAGGTAATAGTTATACTAGATTACTGCCACAATCCCCACAAACTCTGTAGGTCTGTGATTCTGTAGTATAACCAAAATGTCTTTTTAAATGGATTCCATTAGCTGCACCTGAGAACTGTTTTATAACTTTATAGCCATGCTTTGAACATGTATATTCAGTTGCCCTTTGGTACTTTGATGTCTAAGGGTAATCAGTGGTATATATTTAAATAGCCATGAAATGTGAAGTAAAAGAAATAGACACGTGGTAAAAGATTAAAGTCTAAAAATCATGGAAACTATGTAAACAAGATCAACTTGAACTGTCAGTTTGGTCCTCTAAGAAGCAGATGCTGAGATGGAATTAGGAGTGCAAAAGGCTGGCCGGGCGCGGTAGCTCACGCCTGTAATCCCAGCACATTGGGAGGCGGAGGCGGGCGGATCAGGAGGTCAGGAGATTGAGACCATCCTGGCTAACACGGTGAAACCCCGCCTCTACTAAAAATACAAAAAAATTAGCCAGGCATGGTGGCATACGCCTGTAGTCCCAGCTACTTGGGAGGCTGAGGCAGGAGAATGGCGTGAACCCGGGAGGCGGAGCTTGCAGTGAGCCGAGACTGCACCACTGCACTCCAGCCTGGGCTACAGAGCAAGACTCCGTCTCAAAAAAAAAAAAAGAAAAGAAAAACAAGGAGTGCAAAAGTCTTGTTAAATAGGAGAAATAACTGTGAAAGGAAAGGGGAGGAAGCAGGATTGGATAGGGGAAGACATGTAGATACAGATCTGACAGTCTCTGCCAACTCATCCTGGAACTCCTGAGCAGACTGCCTATGAGAAAAGTCCTGCATTGGGTGGCAATGTCTAGGTCTTTTACCAGCTTAAGTCACTGGTTGTGACTACCCCAAGAAGAGCATGACCTAGATTCCAATCCTGAGGTGGACCTGAAGAAGTTAACAGCTGGTAGCTCTAAGCTAATCACACTCCTTACAATGAAGCAGTGAGTTCTTTCTTGAAGGAATTTCTGAGCAGTGCACTTCTGTGTCTGGTGCATTAATTTTATTTTTTAAATCTTGAAATGTTAGAACTAGTAGAAAACCCTTAGACTTTCGAAGAACATTTTGAAACTTATTAGCCAGTAATTTATAGAATCTATGTGATGTGGTGCTAGCTAAAAATAGAAAAGCACTGAGAGTTCAATTAAAACCTCAATCATCAATTTATGTCTTAAGATAAATATTATTATCTTTTGAAGTTTATGTTATAATTCTCAGTGTTGGGTGAAAGAGGCAGAATTCTGAGTTTGGATTGCCCAAGTGCTTGACTTGGTATATCTCACTTCTCTAACAGTGAATGTTTTATAATTCAAACAGTTCTCTAGTTACTTGGTGAAGGATAAATAATAATTTTTGGCCTCGCACAGTGGCTCATGCTTATAATCCCAGCACTCTGGGAGGCCAACACCGGAGGATCACTTGAGTCCAGGAGTTCGAGACCAACTTGGACAACATAGCGAGTCTCCTTCTCTACAAATAGTAAAAATAATTAGCTGAATGTCCCAGCTACTCGGGAGGCTGAGGCAGGAGGATTGCCTGAGACCAGGAGGTTGAGGCTGCAGTGGGCGTGATCGCATCACTGCACTCCAGCCTGGGTGACAGAATGAGTCCCTGTCTCAAAACAATTAATTAATTTAAAAAATTTAAATAATTTTTTTAAATGATCAGTTTACGTTTACTACAATGAAATTATATTTTTCTAATTCATACATGAGCTGAATCTTAAGCATTTGGCTTGAGAATTTATAGACAGGGATAGGCTTAGCTTGATAAAATGCAGTGTTCTCAAGTTTAAAAAAATATATTATTAAAAGCATAAGGTATTTATCTGTTACTGTACATTTATATTTACTAAGTATTAAGACACTATTAAAATAAGAGTCTAAATAATTTGGAACATAAAGACTAAATCATTGTAGCTTTAGAGATGGTATGTATATGTTGCCTTTAGAATTTATTTTACTTATTGTTTTATGGATCCAGTCACTATCATGAGCAACATATTAAAGACATTTCTTCATATGGCCACCAGAGAGCATTAGTAGAAAGGGTAAGAGAACTGAACTTTTTTTTTTTTTTTCTTTTTTGAAAAGGTCTTGCTCTGTCACCCAAGCTGGAGTGTAGTGTCACAATCATAGCTCACTGCAGCCTCAGCCTCCCAAGTAGCTGGGACTACAGGCACGTACCACCATGCCCAGCTAATTTTTTGTAGATGGTGTCTCACTCTGTTGCCCAGGCTGGTCTTGAGCTCTTGGACTTAAGCAGTCTTCCTGCCCTGGCCTCCCAGAGTACTAGGATTACAGTTGTGACCCACCACGCCCAGCGATAATTGAACTTTTTAGAAAACTACTTAACTGGGTCAGATTTTAAGACTTGTTTCCTAACTTTACTTCCTAATATTTTTGAAGTGAAGGTGTTTTATTTTTTTCCGTAGTTCTCAGTACATAATTCTTTTTTTTACTTTTAATTATTATGAATACATGATAGCTATACAAATCCTAGTATTTTTACATTTGAAAAAGTAAAATATTGCTGATGTTATTTTTCTCTGGGGTGTTTAAGGATGAGAAATACTACTTACGGTCACTTGGAGAAGACCCTAGAAAGGTAAGAATTCTAAATGTAAAACAATTCCCTAAAATCTAAATGGATGTATGTATGTTAACTGGCAACACTGTAATTTTATACTTACTGCCTGACATATTCCCTGTTCTATCCTTTTCCATTCTTCTCTCAGTGATTTGTGCCCCTGAATAAGAAGTAAGATGATTAAAAAGTGATTACTTTGTATTCAGGTAGGCCTGTAGAATCTTAGTGTTTATAGTCATCTAATCCCTATACAATAAGAAATCTCTTCTACTGTATATTTTATAGGTGGCAACTCAGTTAACAAAATATTAATTTGAAATAATTATTAGAATCCTGAATAGTTCATTGTATAAGTTTTGACATGTATTCAGAGTCAAATTAGTATGGCTGTGATATTAAAGAGTAGTCCCTAAAATGATCAAATAAGATTATTTTTTCCATTTATGTCACCATTTAGTTGTTTACCCTCTCTTTTAGTCCCCTCCCTCAGTAGAATTCACAGGTTTTATGTAGGTGATAGCTAGTAATGTTAGTTCAAGGTGTTGACTCCTGAATATTAGAGTGGATGACATTTGTGTAATTTGCTTAAAGTAGAAAGAACCTTTCTATTAATGAAGCATATTGAGCTTAACAGTAGTGATACTATAAAATCTGCAGTCTTGTTACACAGCCTGGTATTTCTTCATTTGAAAGATCATGTATCGGCCAGGCAAGGTGGCCCCATGCCTGTAATCCCAGCACTTTGGGAGGCTGAGGTGGGTGGATCACCTGAGGTCAGGAGTTCAAGACCAGCCTGGCCAACATGGGGAATCCCGTCTCCACTAAAAATACAAAAATTAGCTGGGCGTGGTGGGAGGTGCCTATAATCTCAGCTACTTGGGGGAGAGAGAGAGAGAAAGATAGAGAGAGAGAGATCATGTATTGGCACATGGTCACATCATAGTATTTTAAAGCAGTGAACAAAGTTTTGCCCCAGTCTTCCTTAATATCATAGGGTCTAATCTAATTTTTTCTTTTTATGTTTCTGTAAATGCAGGATGTTGCAGATATCAGAAAGCAGTTTCCTTTGTTGAAAGGAGATATTAAGTTTCCAGAATTCTTCAAAGAGGAACAGTTCTTTTCCAGTGTTTTTCGAATTAGTTCACCAGGATTACAACTATGGACTCATTATGATGTATGCTACATAAATGAGAAATTTAAAGCTACAATAGATCTTTAGCATTATAGATTTAACAGTCACAGTTTCAACTTCCTATAGGTTACCCTAAACATCTGTGTAATTTGCTGAAACATGACTTTTGAAAATAGGTGCTGTGCATAGCAGTGATACAGGAATGAATTATTTTGCTAATGGCAAAGCCTAGTTGGTTCCTCACATTTGTATTTCCCTGTGGTCCTATTCTTGATTCATCATCATATATATACCAAGTTTTGTGAAGTGATTTTTTTTTCCATGTGAAAAATGGCCACCAGATAATGGGGGAAATTGTATTGGAAAAAGTGATAAGCCTTTAGTATAAGGAGGTATAAATGATACACATGACTCTGGCTACCCAGAGATCCATAACTCTCTGGGTCATGCAAAGTTATGTTATTCAGGAAAAAGGCTGAAGCTTGTTGAGTCATTACCAATTGTAAGAATTTGGGGATATCTGAAGATCTTAGGATATATATGCCTTGAGAATGTCAAATATCTGCTGTATTTGTAGGGCAGCAAAAATGTGTACAATATTGATCTTGATCTGCTGGGCGCGGTGGCTCACACCTGTAATCCCAGCACTTTGGGAGGCCGAGGCGGGCGGATCATGAGGTCAGGAGATCGAGACCATCCTGGCTAACACGGTGAAACCCCGTACCTACTAAAAATACAAAAAATTAGCTGGGCATGGTGGCGGGTGCCTGTAGTCCCAGCTACTCCAGAGGCTTAGGCAGGAGAATGGCGTGAATCCAGGAGGCAGAGCTTGCAGTGAGCCGAGATCGCACCGTTGCACTCCAGCCTGGGCGACAGAACGAGACTCTGTCTCAAAAAAAAAAAAAATTGATCTTGATTATTTATGATGTTATTTTGTTTGCTTAAATTTATGTACACATCTATAAGCGTTTTAAAAACATTAAAAATACTAGTATGGTATATGGTTTGGTGTTGGGAAGTAGAGAAACTTAAGGAAGGTAAAGGAATATCTAACAAGTTTCCAAAGAAAAAAAAATTTTTAAGTTCTAAATCACAGTATAACATTTTATACATGTGTTTTGTAATTCAGTTGAGACCCTCTTGGGAGGATTTTACCATAGTCAGTAAATCTGTAATTATGAAATAGACATGAACTCTTAGCATATTTTACAGTTTTATATGAATAACATGGTGAGAAAATCATGTGGTAATACATTTTAACTATATTCTATGATGATGATGATGATGATTGTTGTTGTTGTTTTTTGAGACAGAGTCTTGCTCTTTCACCCAGGCTGGAGTGCAGTGGCACGATCCTGGCTCACTGCAACCAGTCCCTCCCAGATTCAAGTGATTCTCGTATCTCAGCTACCCAGATAGCTAGGATTACAGGCATGCACAACCACACCCGGCTAATTTTTTTTTTTTTATTTTTAGTATACATGGGGTTTTGCGACGTTGGCCAGGCTGGTCTCAAACTCCTGGCTTCAAGTAATCCGCCCACCTCGACCTCCCAAAGTACTAGGATTACAGGCATGAGCCACCATGCCTGGCCTCTATGATTATGTTTTAAATTTTGAGTAGTATCCCCTTTACCTTGAATTATAATAGAATGTAATATATAAAGCTTTTATTATAAATTAAGTCAGAGGAACGCTAGTTTGAATTGTATAGTTATGGTTTACATGAGTAAAGGGTTAGTACTAAAAGGAAGAATGCTTAGGTAGAAGTAAAAAATCATGAATATATCTTGCTTAGTGCTTATCTTAAATCCTTAGCTGAGAATTATGTGACTCTGCCTTTAACATTTTTTCACAATCTATACCAAGAAAGTATACCATTACATTCATGGGAAACGATTGCTCCAATAATAAATATATATTAAGAAAATCTGTCATAAATCACCATACTGTTTGCAGAAAAGGAAAAAAAAAGAAAATCTGTGAGATTATATTCCTATAGAAATAATTTGAAAATCAAGATACCTATAATGAAATTATGGTTGAACATATATTAAGAGTGTAGCAGCAGTTGCAACAGTACCTTGTATTTTCCTAGCATCTGATTTTTCTAAGTGCTTTTACTCTGTTGTCTAATTTTGGGCTTATAGCATTCCTTAACAGATAGTAAATATTAACCAAGGGGAGCCTTAAATAGGCTTAACTATGCTGTCAGTTAATGGTGAGGCAAAGGCAAATCGTTTTCTGACTCCACATTTTCTAATTTGCCAAGTCTTCCCATTTTAGGGCAGTACTGCAGAAATGTCTTGAAGGCCCAGTTGTATATGGAATACAAATGTTTTTATTGTTAGGTAACTGTAAGAGTCTTAAGTAAGTCAAGTCTCATTAAAGGATCGGGTTTGCAGTTAAAGTTTAGCATGCCATTGGTTCTATTTATTTGAATTTTAGATAATGATTACCCATAAGCTTTTATTGGTCTTCAGGTAATGGATAATTTGTTAATACAAGTGACAGGAAAAAAGCGTGTTGTACTCTTCAGTCCTCGAGATGCCCAGTATTTATATTTAAAAGGTATGGGATTTTTTTTAAGTTTATATTTCAAAAGTCTATTCAGTTACTCTTTTTGAGAAATCTCTTGATTCTTATAGGAAAAGAACACTTCAGTACTTAATCCTAATTGTATTTGTGTATATATGTAATAACAGGTTCAAATTTGAAATTATCTTATTACATGGGTATCAGTCATCAGAATTAAAGAGTGAGTCATTGAAAATTGTCTTAGGTGTCAGTAGCATAGTAATTCTCACAGTGTTGGTACAGTAAGTAACTGGATAGAAAAGAATAAATTTTCAAATTTATATTTGTGATTACTTTTTTTAAAATGCTAACTTTGCTGAATCTATATTATCCCTTTTTGGAACTTTTTAGGTACTAAATCAGAAGTACTGAATATAGATAACCCAGACTTGGCTAAATATCCACTTTTTTCCAAGGCTAGAAGATATGAATGTTCCCTTGAAGCTGGTGATGTATTATTCATTCCTGGTAAGATTTCTAGACCTCACTAATGTGCTATTTATAAAATGTGTACTCTGTCACTCATCCTTCATGTGATTTTTTTTTTTTAGTACAAATATATATTTGTTATATGTATCCGGTCCTATACAAGATGATTTTTAGACAAAACTCTGTGTGTGCGTGTGTGTGTATGTGTGTGTGTGTGTGTGTGTGTGTGTGTGTGTGTGTGTGTGTGTGTTTAAAGCAGGCCTAGGCAAACTTATTATAAGTTAACAGCCCTTGTAGTTTTGGCCTATAAGTTAACAGGTCTTGCACTTTTGGCCTCAAGCAATCCTCCCAACTTGAACTTTGGGAGGCCAAGGTGGGAGGATTGCTTGAGGCCAAAAGTGCAAGACCAGCATGGGCAACATAGCGAGACCCCGTCTCGACAAAAATAAATAAATAAATTTAGTCAGGCATGGTGGTGTGCATCTGTACGTCCCAGCTGCTCGGGAGGCTGAGGCAGAAGGATCTCTTGGGCCCACGAGGTTGAGGTTGAGGTTGAGGAGGTTGATGCCATGGCATCATGGAATCACTGTACTCCACTGTGAGCAACAGAGTAAGACCCTGTCTCTGAATAAACTAAATTAACAGTCTTGCTTTCAAGGGCAACCTATAAAAATAATATTATACTCTATTTTACTAAGTGACATCAAGTAAGACACATTTTTTATAGCTTTTATTTATTTATTTATTATTATTTTCAAAGTGGGACACTTTATATCTGGGAAAAGATTATACTTGTTCGTTTTCTAAATTATTTTTTAAAAATAATATACTCTATTAAATGACATCAAGTAAGACACTTTATATTTGGGAAAAGATTATACTGATTGGTTTTGTAAATTATTTTATTTTAAAAATATTTCTGTATTTTAGAACTGTGTCACTTAAATATTTACCAAAAAAAAATGATAAGTATCTTTCAAGGCCAAAACAGATGAAAGATTTCATATTAAAATGTTATAATCTCAACACCTGTAGTATCATTTGTGTACATTATTTTTCTATACAGTCTGGATTTGTGTCACTTAATTTCTTTGTTCAATTAATAGGCATTAGTTTGAAAGTCCATAAAGTTCAACACAGCAAGGTAATTAACATCTGTAATTAATACTTAAAAGTGAACTCTTGAAGATTATAAAAATCATAATTAAAATTAAAGGGATATATTAACAAATTCTATTTATAGTTGTAGTTCCATATTTAAATTAATCTATTAAGAATCATTAATACTTTTCACTGATAAAAATAAGTAAATATTAATAAAGATCCATATTTGATGACTTCTTTTGGGACTAGATTATAAATTCCTTGAAGACAACTATGTTTTGTTCATCTTTGTCTTCCCCAAAAGGGCCAGATATGATATAATGGCTTTCATATAATTGATAATTTATAAAAAGTTGACTTTTTATTCTTATTTTCATTGAAAGCAACGAACGTATTAGTCTTCAAATCTATTGCCATCTTTTAAATTTACACTTTTGGTTTTTGTATCTTGGGAGCATGATTAAGATCTATGTAGTTTTCCCTTATTCTTCATACAATTGTTTTAAGAAAAAAAAAAATACTGAACATTTGCATATATTTTTAAACAAAAGCAAAATTCCTGTCTTTGGGTTTAAATTCAGCTGAATGGTTAGCATTTTCTTCCTATTATATTGAATAAGGGAAAAAAAAGATTCTGAAAGAAAGTGTAGTTAAGATTAAAACCATGTTTGAAAATTAGTTTTCCAAATCAAAATGTTAAGCTTTTGTTTTTCCTTAAACACTCTTAGAATAAGTTTCTAAAATTTAAATCTCCCTTTCACAGGATTAAAAGGGTTTTTCCTGTGATTAGTGTTCCATCTTTGTTATATTGTGGTATTGCTTTAGTATTCCTCTAGCACCTATATTCTGAAAATGTTTAGATTCAATTGAAAATAAAGTAAATTTCCCAATAAAAGGAAAAAAATTAATTAGGTATATAATAAAGTTTACTCATCATTTCCACCACCAAAATATTTGCTGTAGTTTTGTATACTATTTATAAAGGAGCTGAAAGAAATATAAGATGATTATAATTGCATTCAA
Organism: Homo sapiens; assembly: GCF_000001405.40. Lineage (NCBI taxonomy): Eukaryota > Metazoa > Chordata > Mammalia > Primates > Hominidae > Homo > Homo sapiens. The sequence continues at coordinate 199,933,842 of NC_000002.12, read as the reverse complement.
AATATAAAACGAGGAGGCTATAATGAATACGAATTTAAGCAAGTTAGAAAACCAAATCGCAGCTTGAACAGGAAGTCTTTAGGGACAAAAGTATTATAATGAATCAGAAAAGGTCAAAGATACTCCTCAAGTAATTGAAATGTTCTGTGTACCAAAAAATAAACACTTTGATGTGGTTGTATGACTCAGGAAGTATAAACAAGTAACACAAAACACAGCCCTAGATTAGAGAACTGCAAAACAAATATATCTTTATTATGTCTTTCAAGTTTAAAGGAAAAATTGCTATTTCTAAAGGTTTTAAAAGTAAGGGTTGTGCTATTGACACTTTAAATTTGTTGGCAATTCATAAAAGTTAAAATGATTCTGTTAAAAGCCTGGAGTGTGCTAACGAAGGGATCTGGTTACAAGAATTATTTCTTACATTGGCTATATGCAATTCGTGATATTTCACTGACATTTTGGGTTTTTTTTTAACTGTAGGTTTTATTTTTAACTTGTTTTTTAAACTTTCTCCAGCTTTATGGTTCCATAATGTAATTTCTGAAGAGTTTGGAGTGGGAGTGAATATCTTTTGGAAGCACCTTCCATCTGAATGCTATGATAAAACAGATACCTATGGAAACAAAGATCCTACAGCAGCATCAAGAGCTGCACAAATTCTGGACAGAGCCTTGAAAACACTGGCCGAGTTACCAGAGGAATATAGGGACTTCTATGCACGACGAATGGTCCTACACATTCAAGACAAAGCCTACAGCAAGAACTCTGAGTAAATAATGAAGTGAATGCAATGCACATTAACACTTTAGTAAGGTATAACGATATAAATTAAAGATTTTGTTAAAATAGGAAAGATACATCAGATTTACAGATTATGTAAGTACGAAGGGGTGTTTGTGTGGATTCTACTTGATACAGATTGTTATAATTAAAGAATGCTGTGCTGGGACCACTCTTTAACATTCAGATGCTGACCACTAAAAGTCCAACTTAAAATGACTTAAAAACAGTAAGAAAATATATTGATTCACAATACATGAAATCTATTGACAGAATGTGCTGCAGTGTTTCTGATCCAATGATTCAGTAATGTCATCAAGAACCTTGGGAACCCGCCTCCACACCCCACCCCCTTTTCAACCACAACATTGGCATCATCCTAAGGCTGGCTACCCTCGTGGTCATGGGATGATTGCCAGTAGCAGTTGGAGCCTTGTGCATCTTCATTTACATGCAGCGGAAGAGTCAGGCTGGATTCTAGGGGCCCTGTCCTAGTATGAGAAAGCTTTCCCAGAATTCACTTTCCATATCCTTAGGTCTCATTGCTCTAAAGTAACTTAGACCTGTCCATCCCTGAGCCAGTCACTGGCAAAGGGTCTAGAATAACCTTTAGGGCAGTCAGGTCCACTGGAGCTGAGAGTAGAAGTGGAGGCCACATGAGGGATATATGGGGACAGAAAGGATAGTTTTTTTAAAATCATGGTTCTGATAGGAAAAACATGAGCAACGCACAATATCTATTACATTTGCCTAGAAGCAGAATTTTTTGAGGAACTTTAAAAAATGTACAGATACCTAGGTCCCAACTTTGTAGACTGATTCAAGAGTGTTTGGGATTTGGTATAGGAACTTAATAGACCTCACAGGGTGTTCTGATGCATAATCAGAGCTGAGATCAACTGGAGTTGATGATAGTGACTTGGATTATTAGTTTTGTGATTAGTGCAAAACAAATGTTTAATCTGATCTTGACTTTTCTTGCCACCCAGTATGTCAGGGTGGTTTTTGGTTTTTGAATGTTACAAAATAAATAATTTATACCTATGTCTAAACCTTAGCCTAGTTAAAGATTTCCCAACTATTTTTTCCACCTATCCCTTTTTTAAAAGAAAAATTACTTAAAGAATGAATAAATGAGATCCTAAAAGTGTTGTCATCGAAGACAGTGAGCCATTGTGTGTGGATCTCTGCTTTTGTTTTGTACCTAGTAATTATATTGCAGTGTCATTGAAGACCACATAATCTTCACTGAACATAAATGTGTTCATCTAAAGCAATCTCTTAGTACATCAATTTGGTGCATTTTAATTAGAGAAAATCATTTTCTCTATTGAAGAGAATCCATCCACTCATGTCCTATAAATTATAGTAAATAAGGAAAAGCATATATAACATTCTGAATTTCCTAGGTGTCTTTGGAAACAGGTAAGTTACTCAGGTGAATAAAGGTGAAAAAAGTCTTGTCAGAAAAGGAATGATTATATTAGCCAAATTTAATTACCAGGTTTTGATCTTCATTAAGCAAAGCAAAGAACTTCTTTACTGATTCCTTGTCCTTCAGTAAGGAAAAAGACAAAACTCTCCTTAGTTTACACATTATTTATGGTCAGTTTTTAATAAATCTTGTTTTTTTTCTTAACCAGCAAGAGAATTGATACAAAGTATAAATCCAGAGTCATGTAGAAAACTTGGAAGTATTAATAAAACAGATTACAGTTTGTGCACTGAATAGTCATCTTAATTGATTGTTTAATGGAGAAGCAAACTGGATGACCTTAGACAAAATAACATTTATCTATGAAGCTTATTTTCCTCATCTTTAAAACAGAACTACAAAAATGCAGAGAGTTCAAGGGCAGGCACATAGTTGATAACTGGTGCTAGTTCTTCTATTTAATTATATTCCATCTTTGTTGAGAGATTTGAGGTAGCTCCTGTTGCAGTATTAATTTATAATATTTTAAAAGTTAGAGAACTTTCCTTTGGGATGTTTTAAAATTATTTCCCTGGTCATAATTAATATTAGGGTCTGTTTATTTCAAATACAAAATATTTTAATCTTTTCTTCCTACTGGGTTAAGACCAAATGAGATGTTTGTTTTTAATGTATAAAATCTTATACAGTGTATGTTAGCTGCAACTTCTCAGGAATTCTGAATCTTAGAACTTTTTTATTGAAAGAGATCTTAGAAGCCATCTAACCAACCCAGATTGCTTAATGATTGTCTGGGTTCACATAGCTATGGGTGATAGAAACCGGGATTCGTTGTGACCAGTAATTCTCCATTCTCCCTAATGTGCAGCACATCTCCAGTACTTCTGAATAGATTACACAGCTTTTCTTTGGCTAGTTTGGGGGCTTGACCTGATGCAAAAAGGAATTTTTTTCCTCTGCCAACAAAATTTCTCACTGCACTGCTTGCTACACAGACAAGATTCAAAATAAAAGTAATGGTGGGTCAGGTGCCATGGCTCATGCCTGTAATCCCAGCACTTTGGGAGGCCGAGGTGGGCAGATCACGAGGTCAGATCAAGACCATTCTGGCCAACATGGTAAAACCCCGTCTCTACTAAAAATAGAAAAATTAAATGTTACATGAAAAACATATTTGAAACTGTACTGCCATTTGTGTAAAACAAGGTATGTGGTGTGTGAACATCTTATTTGCATATGCATATAATTATCTCTAAGGATGCACGAGAAACCAGTGATAATTATGCCTCCAAGAAGAGGTTCAACTAGGTGGGCTGCTTAGAATCTAGTTTTGTATTATTTGGACTTTTGTTCACATTATCCTTTCAAAATACATTTTAAAAATACTATATGCACCGAGGTGGGTGGATCATCTGAACTCAGGAGTTCGAGACCAGCCTGGGCAACATGGCGAAACCTTGTCTCTACCAAAAATACAGAGAATTAGCTGGCTGTGGTGGTGTGCGCCTGTAGTCCCAGCTACTCAGGAGGCTAAGATAGGAGGATCACTTGAGCCTGGGAGGTGCAGGTTGCAGTGAGCTGGAATTGTGCAACTGCACTCCAGCCTGGGTGACAGAGTGAGACCCTGTCTCAAAAAAAAAAAAAAAAAAAAAAATATTATATGCAGAGCTGGGGAGTGGTGGTCCACACCTGTAGTCCCAGCATCTTGGGAGGCTGAGGCAGGAGGAGTGCTTGAAGCCAGGAGTTCAAGTTCAGTCTGGGCAACATGGGGAGACCTGTCTCAAAAAAAAAAACTAAACAGAGTGTAATTATTAGCATTTCATAACATTATTTGTCTTGGTATTTGAATACATTAGAATTCTATTTGTCCTGTAATTAATTTCTAACTCACTTTGATAAAATACCAAAACAAAGGAAACAAAGTCAACAAAACTTAATTTGTATCCTTCATCCTTTTGAACAGCAGCTATGTGAACATTTGGAAAGAACCTTAGTAAGGCGGCTTTTCTATCACCTATAAAAAGTTGCCAACAGACATCAAAGGAGTTGACAAAAAAAAAAAAAAAAAAATGCAGGAAGCTGGAAGGCAGGCCTGGATGGAATTGGAACTGTGCTGCTGTGACTCCTTTCCCCAGTGCTAAAAAATAGATGTAGTCAGGAGGAACTAACATAGATTGGCAGTCACCCACACATCTCTGGTGTTACCTTAGTCTTGTTTCAAGCATACAAGCCACAAGTTTTTGGGTGTCTTAAATATACCTAAGTTGTAGTCTCTATTTATTTTTTTATTATACTTTTAAGTTCTAGGGTACATGTGCACAACGTGCAGGTTTGTTACATATGTATACATGTGCCATGTTGGTGTGCTGCACCCGTTAACTCGTCATTTACATTAGGTATATCTCCTAATGCTATCCCTTCCCCCTCCCCCAACCCCACGATGTAGTCTCTTTCTAAGTTCCATTAAACAGAATACTAAAATGACCTTTTTTGGTGACTCTTGCCTGTCTCTACCACTAACTGGCTTAAAAGCTGCTGGGTCTCTTCCTTTGTAAAGAGCAACATGAGTTTACAGATGAGGTCTGTCTATATCTCCTCTTATGTTTTTCTCTTAAGAACTTCAAGTGAAATAAAACAAAATAGCTCTTTTATGAATACTACCTTTTGTATTTTACCTCATAAGATTTAATGTATTAAACATTTCTATACCAACATGCTGGGACTTTGTATTGTCTGTCCTATATCCTCATTGCCTAGACCCTCCTTGACCTTGGTGGTTACTTAGATAGTACATGAATGAAATGAAAAATAGATTACACCATACCCTAACCAAGTCTTGTAAGAAGCTAAAGGACTACAAATCCCTGAGATGATTAGCACAGAAAAGAGAAAAGGATGAACTTGTTAGAGGTTTTGTTCTCTATGAAATCCAATAAAAGAAGTGGATATAGTGCAAATTTTTATGGAGCAATTTTAAAGGGAGAAGGTATGTATTTGTACAAAAAAGGTTCAAAGTTGCTCATTTGAAAAGACATGGAAGATAATGAAAAGATGCACAGTAAGTCCTCACTTAATGTGCATAGGTTCTTAGAATCTGTGACTTTAAACAAAAGGACAAACAGCAGGTCCTCAACGTTTTGTTCGTTGTCATCTAGTTAAAACAATGATGAGAAAAAAATTGGTTTTGTTATATCAGTTTGCTTCAAGTCTCAGTTTCCAAGAACCTACTGATATGTTAAGTGAGGACTTACTGTATACAAACCCAACTTAGCAGGGTGGAGAAATGGCTTCCTTTATAAATAATCTGAAGTTTTAACAATGCTAATAAATATAAAGCACATCCAAACAAACTTCTGTGGATGATCAATTTTAATACAATTATACATTCATGCTGTGGTGGTAACAACTTTCACATTATTTGTAGGACTACTTTTCTCAACTCATGACAAAGGCACAATCCAAAAGTGTAAATTAACATTACAATAAGTTTTAAACAAATGTGGACAAAGGACCAATCTGAAGTATTAAACAGAAAACATCTGAATATGGATCAACTTGAATATATTTTCATTCCAGAAAATATTTTGTCTTTTCAACACTGTCTCATTTTGCTATGATGGCAGTTTTGTGTACCTGGTGACTTACTCTTAATACCCATTCAACATGTAACAATTATAATTAAGCATTCACATACTGGATAGACAACCTAGATTTTTAAATATGTCTGATTTTTTAAAATTATTTTTAAATGAATTATTCTGCTAAATGTCTTACTTTTCCATTTCAGTTAATCATGTGAAAATAAATGCTTTTTCTTCCCCTTATAGAATTCAGTAACTCAGCTATTTTCCTTTAGATACATGTGAATTTAGCCAAGGATTATTAAACAAATAGAAAAAAAGCCATCCAATCATAGTGCTTAAAGGCAATGTAATATGTAAAATGTTAAAATCAGGCTGATTTATTTCCTTGATGGGAATTTTTGGTCTCAAAAGAAACGAGGTATTTAAAGAAACTGAAGCAACATAATACTACTTTGTCTTTAAAAAAAAAAAAAAAGCCATTTAGAGATGCTGTTCTGCAGTTTATAAAATTAAGTGTTAAAACACCAAAAAGAAATGTTATTTTTAAACATTTGTTAAGAATCCTTTCTCATGAATCTCTGAATATTTGGAATGTATTTATGGAGTCATTAAAATATAATTCTGGGAAGAAACCAAGAAATTAACATTTTTATTCTATATGGCTTTATAAATCTAGGTCTTCTGGGTCATTAAGGTATTAAGCTTCAGTGTCTTTTTTTTTTTTTTTTTTTTAGTCCTAAAGCAGCATGTTACTTCCCTGCTATTTCATTACCTGCAAAAGCTAATTATTAATAAACAACAAACTGCTCACCTTTTATTGTAATCACCCAATTACAATGTCAATGTTGGTTGACATTTATTAGATCTGGATTTCTCAAAGTGTATTTATCTAGGTCAAGAAAAACGGGCAGAAGGAAACTTCACCCAAATTATGTAGCAGTGTTAAGCAAATTCAGTTTTTGAGCCAAAATTAAATCATTTGTGTCTTCAAACTTTCCCTTGTAACTTTTCTTATAGCAATGTAATTTTGCATTTTGGCCAAAGAGAGCTATTTTCTTTTGGCAGACAAAATCATGCTTCTGGAGAAACATTGACTTAGATCTATGGAATCTGTTTCCTTTTTAATAGAGCTCTAACAAATAGAGCATTATATATTTATTTTATCCAAGTTGATCCTTTCAAAAAGACTGATATAATGAAAAATTTGAAATTTGCTCTGTAGTACATTTTTATCCAATATACATAAATATGCTCAATTTAAAGCAATTTTCCAAAACAACTGGTTTTTGGACAAGATTCAAGAAACCCCAGAATGTCTTACCCAAAATAATGATAAACTGACAATTAAAAATTAAACAATAGTGCTTAAGTGTAATTTTGTTTTGTTTTGTTTTAGAGATGAAGTCCCACTATGTTGCCCAGGTTGGAGTGCAGTAGCTAGTCACAAACACAATTATGGTGAACCACACAGCCTGGGCTCAAGCAATCCTCCTGCCTTAGCCTCCTGAGTAGCTGGAACTAAAGGCACGTGCCACCACACCTGGCTATGTTTTTAAAAACCACCTTTACACTATTGTACACTTGTGGACATTTGGAAACAAATATATGTTGACTCTCATGAGAAAAGTACTTGGTGACACATGAAAGAATGAGTCAAGGAGTTTACAAAAACACAAAAGGCAGGGTGCAGTTATTCCAAAATGATAGAAAACAGCATCGTACCTTTGCTTTTGTTTGAAGAGAAATGAAAATATTTCCACTCAAAATAGCTAATTACTGTTAAAATGTCACCAAATTAGTTTAAAACATTACTCAGAAAATCAGTTATTTCCAACAGTAACAATTTTAGTTACCTTTTATAAGAACAATGTTGTAACTTTCATTTTAAGGGTCTTATATCTCCTCAGCATTATTACAAACCACCTTGTTAGATTTCAAATTAACTAATTCTAACTCAATCCAAATTAATAACTGCTCACATTCACAAGCAAAAAATACTATTGCACATTACACTCACATTTTAGGAATGTGTGCTTCCCCCCATACCCCAAAACTGACAATGCAGCTATGAATTACATCCCATTATCTGAATTTATAACACTCAAAAGTGCTTATGTTCTTCCACTGAACAAGTTCATTAATATACCTGTAATCTCAAAATACTTCATGAACCCTGAAGTGATTCTCTATGGAAGGAGCTTCCTTTGTAAAATGAATTTGGCTAGTCACCTGCATACCAAGATCCCCAAGTATCTGAACAAATTTCTTGTGCTCCTTTCCAATCCAAGATCTCATTGGATCACGTACTTGGTAAGGTGTTACATGAGTGTGAACGATAATTCCTGTTTGTGCAAATTCTTTCAAGACTTCTGGATAAGTAACCCAAGTATTGCTTCCTCCAGAATGACCACCATCCAGCCAATACATTGTTCTTATGCTTTTGATAAAAGCATCTATGTTCTTGTCTTTCTTGGCTTCTTTCAATTCAAAAAGCAACTGATTCAAAACAACACAACCTTTACTGAATCCAATCAAAGTAAAAGATGCGTCATTTAGTGATGGTGGATAAAAACTCATGGCAGACTCATCAGATTTTTCACAGGTCCTCACTTTTTCTCCCTGGCAACCATTCGTAGTATGAGAAGGACTGGATCTACAGTTAGATGCTATGGAGTCCTTATTCCAAACATTCAAACTTTTCTTTGATAAACTATTCTGACTTAAATTAAAAGCATTAACTAATAACATATAAAGGTGCTTAAAAGCTCCAAAGTCAGTATTGTGTTCTGGGGCACCAAACATGTTACTTTTCACAAAATTGTCATAGCAGCTGAATTTGTGCAAATGCATTCGGGAACATTTTATCACCCAAATATAACTATTGGGGAACCGGTGGGCTAAAATGGTAGCAACATTTTCTAGACTCCAGTTTTCCCATTGATAATTCTCAGGATGACGAGTCATAATTTCATGGTAATTCTGAAAGGTAAGAAAGATGAAATAAGTATTAAATACATATTTACATAAAATGATTTCCACAAAATAAGTTTCCATTTTTATTGTGGAGAAGGGATGTTACAATGACCTATGGTTAATGTACACTAGAAATGAAAACTATAAATTTGTCATTACTTTCTAGTAATAAGATTTTTGAACCAATTACTTCTTCAGTTTAAGCCTGAAATCTATCAAGAGACAAGGAAGTAAGTTATACCTACATGAAACAGTAAAAAGTTTTTAAAAATTTAATTTTGAAGGGTTATAGGTATGTTTAACAAATTTTATTTAGTATATACATATAATCAATTTTCCTAACACATCAACTGAAAATATAAATTTGGTTCACTAGATAGACTTTTTGACCAACACAGAATCTTAAAATATTTCCCTAAGTTGCCATTCTATACCCCTCCCTCTTTGGATTTCTCTAGCAACCTGAACACTATGTTCAATTTCAGATTTAGTATTATACACAAGGCTGCAATAAACATTATAGAAAACTCTTTGTACACATCTGTGATTATATCCTTAAATTCCTAGATATGGAAAAACTGGGTCAAAGAATATTTGTAATTTAAGTCTGGATTTCTACTCTTGCCTATTCATATCCTTTGCCCCTCATTCCCCATTTTCTGTGTGAGACAGGATCTCTGTCATCCAGGCTGGAGTGCAGTGGCATGATTATGGCTCACTGCAGCCTTGACCTATCAGGCTCAAGCAATCCTCCCTCCTCAGCCTCCGGAGTAGCTGGGACCACAGGTGCATATCATCACTTGTGGCTAACGTTTTTATTCTTTGTAGAGAGAAGGTCTCACTTTGTTGCACAGGCTGGTCTCAAACTCCTGGGCTAAACCATCCTCCTACCTCATTCTTCCAAAGTATTGGTATTATAGGCATGAGTCACCATACCCAGCCTCCTTTGCCCTTTTGTATTTACACCTTATTTATAAGCATTCTATATATACTAACCACAACTTTTTGTTTAGGTCCTAGGATGTGCATATAAATTGTCTTCCTTTTAATTTTACTCATACTGACTTTTTTTTAAAAGGGAGGTGATTCATTCAAATTTATTCATTTGTTCTATAAAATTTACTGGATACCTACCAGTTGGGCAGGGAGCAAAACAGACTAAACCCTTGTTCACATGGAGCTCACATTCTACTGCAGAGATACACAATAAACAACTCCACAAATAAATAGAGCAGCACTGTCCAACAGAAATAAAACATGAGCCACATTTAAAATTTTCAAGTGCCAGATTTTAAAAAGTAAAAAGTTAACAGGTGAAACTAATTTTAATCATTTCTTTTTTGAGCTAAATATATCCAAAATATCACAATCTCAACATGTAACCAATATTAAAAATTACTGGAGGATTCTTAACATTCTTTTTTCCTTCCTAAGTCTTTGAAATCCAGTGTGTATTTCGTACTTATAGTACATCTCAATTTGGATGCTAAATTTTCATCAGAAATACTTGATCTGAATTTGAATCTCATAAAATTTACAGCTGAAAAAGTAAACTCACATACCCAACTTGTTCCAAATATACTTAAAAGTTTTCCATTAACTGAACTGGGTATCCGTTATTTAATATACATTTAAATTAACCGAAATTAAATACAGTTACAAATATAGTTCCTCTATTAAATTTAGTTCCTCAAGTAGACTAACAACATTTTAAGTAGGCAATAGCCACAAGTGATTAGTGGCTACGATACTGGACAGTTCAAAACATATTAGACTTATAGCTTGGAAACATTTCAAAAAATATATATATTAGATGTTGGTAAGTACAACGGAACATAATAAAGCAGGAGAAAAGGAATACAAGGTGGAAAATTATTACTTAACACAGAATGGTCAGGAAAGGCTTCTCCAATAAAGTGATAGTTTGAAAGGACCTGAAGGAACTCAGAGAGTGAACCACGTGGGTATTTCAGGCAGAAGGAACTGTAACTGCAAAACGCCCTGAGGTGGGAGCTTGCCGGACATAACCCAGACACAGCAATGAGGTCAGTGTGGCTCCAGAGGAGTCAACAGTAGCAAATGTGATCACAAAGGGGGGCAGAGAGATGGTTTGGGGAAAAGGAGAGGTGCTGATCAGGCTTTTTAAGACACCACAAAGACTTCGGCTTTTGCTCTGAAAGGATCTGGAGCCAAGGGCTGATATATGCTTTGAAAATATTACTCTGGCTCCTAATAATGAAGGGGCAATAGCTGATGCAAGGAGACCGTTAAAAGGCTACTGAAATATAATCCTGATAAGAGAAGGTGGGTTGAATCAGAGTAGAAGTGGTCAAGTCCTGAATTTATTTTGGAGTTAGAGTCAACAGGATTTGCAAATGGATTGGATATAGAAGGTGAGAGAAAAATAAGATAAATGGTGTGAGTTTTCCTTATTTCTAATGGTGATATACAGTATCTATCAGTTTTAAATACACCTTCCTTTTGACTTAGTAATTCTTCGAGAAATTTATCTCATTGATATACTTACATATATGCATAAATAAATATGTATAAGGATATTTATTTCTGCTTCAAAAGAATGAGGCAGCTCTATGAGTACTCCTATGGGTTGTAAAATAAGGACTAAAAAATCCAGTACACTATGCAACCATTTGTATTTTTAAAAAAAGCCTGAGGCTGGGGGCGGCGGTTCACGCCTATAATCTCAGCACTTTGGGCGGCAGAGGCAGGCAAACCGCTTGAGTTTGAGACCAGCGTGAGCAACATGTGAAATCCTGTCTCTACAAAAAACAACAACAACAAAAATTGGCAGGGTGTGGTGGTGTGCCCCTGTAGTCCCAGCTACTCGGGAGGCTGAAGTGGGAAGATGGCTTGAGCCCAGGAGGTGGAGGTTGCTGTGAGCTGAGATTTTGCCACTGCACTGCAGCCTTGACAATAGAGTTAGACCTTGCCTCAAAAAAAAGAGAAAAAGAATAAGGAAAAAAACACATAAGTATAGAATGTCTCTGGAAGCATATATATATATATATATATATAAAAATAACAGTGGCAGCCTTGGGGAAGGGAAATGGGCAACTGGAGGGAATGGGGTGAAAGAATTACTTTTCAATGTAAAACCGTAAATAATCTGAACTTTTAGCAACATGCACATTTTCTCTATTTAAAAATAAAAACTAGTAAATACTACAAAAATTCTATATACAAAGGTACAGGTAAGATAGAAAAATCATCCATATAACCAATTAAAAATAATCATTAAAATTCTGATGTCTAGCAGTCGTTTTCTCTAGCATACACATATACAAGTATGTATACAAGGAAGCATTCTTCTCCCCCAACAAGCAATAAGCTTATACATAGTTTTCACTTAAAAATATATTATAGGCATGGTTCCATATCAATACAGATTTGCATCATAATTGTTAGACATCTAAGGTTAATACCAATTTACACTTTCACTGGAAACATAAAAGAGTGCTTATTTTCCCACATCTTTACCCATTCTTAATGCTGACGGCTATTAGCATCAATTTTTTAAAATCCTCGCTACTATGATAAAATGATATCTTACTTTTGATTTAATTTGCATGTTTTGATTCCCAATCAGGTTAAACATTGTTAACTGGCAGTTTTCATTTTTCTTTTGTTAATTTTCTGTTCATGTCCTGTGATAATTTTCCCACTATGATGTTCAATTCCTTCCTAAGTTACATTTCACTAATATTAGTAGTTTGCCATATATGTTAAAAATACTAATTCCCAGGCCGGGCACAGTAGCTCACGTCTGTAATCCCAGCACTTTGGGAGGCCGAGCCAGGCGGATCACGAGGTCAGGAGATGGGAGACCATCCTGGCCAACATGGTGAAACCCCGTCTCTACTAAAAATACAAAAATTAGCCAGGCATGGTGGCGCGTGCCTGTAGTCACAGCTACTCAGGAGGCTGAGGCAGAAGAATCGCTTGAACCCAGGAGGTGGAGGTTGCAGTGAGCCAAGACCGCGCCACTGCACTCCATCCTGGGTAACAGAGCAAGACTCCACCTCAAAAAAAAAAAAAAAAAAAAAAACTAATTCCTAGAAGGCCAACAAGTGACTTTTTTTTTTTTTTTTTTTTTGAGAGTCTCAGGCTCTGTCCCCCAGGCTGGAGTGCAGTGGCAAGATCTCGGCTCACTGCAACCTCTGCCTCCCGGGTTCATGCCATTCTCCTGCCTCAGCCTCCCGAGTAGCTGGGACTACAGGCGCGCGCCACCATGCCCGGCTAATTTTTTGTATTTTTAGTAGAGATGGGGTTTCACCATGTTAGCCAGGATGGTCTCCATCTCCTGACCTCGTGATCCACCCGCTTCGGTCTCCCAAAGTGCTGGGATTACAGGCATGAGCCACCGCGCCTGGCCCATCATTTGACTTTTTATGGATTCTGCTATTGCTTTCTGCACAATTATTTTATAATTAATGATATATCCAATTATCATGAAATCATAGGCACTTACATCTCGAAGGGCTCATCTAAATCCTTTTTATAGTTAAGGAACCTGAGGTCCTGGAAACTACAGTTATTTATATATTTATTTAGTTAATGAGCCAAAATGAACCTAGATTTTATGACTCTCAGTTTAGTCCTACCACATAGAAGGTGCTCTAAATCTAGAAACATGATATTTTCCTTGATTAGCCCCAGGTTCCACGATTAGAGGAAGGAGAATGCTTATTCTAAGGAACTGTATGCAGTAAAATGTAAAGATGGAATCATTACTGTGTGTCAAAGCCCAGATCTGGGAACAATGGAAACACACTTTCATATTCTAAAAAGAGGCACCAGACACCCCTCTAGGAGTTACTAAGAGGTAGCCCAAACTGGTTCTGCAACTGAGGCTGTTACCCACGGCCAATCTACAGAAAAGGTTAAAGACTAAGGAAAGAGAGAGATTTCTTTCAAGAGAGTTTTCATCCTAGTTGGGAATGCAATGCACTACTATCCCCATAAGAGGTAAGGGGTGAAAGGCCATGCTTCTCATCCCCAGTGAGGCAGGCCACAAGAGAATCTCTTGAGAGTTTAAAGAATGCCTACTACTCCAGTTAGATGCTTGCTGACCTGCAAAAACTCAGAGACCCACTCCAAACTGCTATTGAAGTAACGAACAATGGATTTTTAGGAAATCTTGACATGTGTCTCTAAGAGTTGGTAGACAAATGATAGATTCAAACTAAGTGTTCTGCCCTTAGAGCAGAGTGAACTTCTGCTACGGTTTGAATGTGTCCGCCAAAGTTCATGTTTTGTAAACTTAATCCCTAAAGCAACTATGATTAGAGGTGGGATCTTTAAGAGGTGATTAGGTCACAAGGGCTCTGCCCTCATGAATGGATTAATGGTTCTTGATAAAAGGATGAATTTGGCCTCTCCTTCCCCTCCTCCACTCCCTAGTGCTCTCTTGCCCTTCTGCCTTCCACCATGAGATGACAGGGCAAGAAGGCCCTCACCAGATGTAGGCCCCTCCTAACCTCCAGAATCATGAGCTAAATAAATTTCTGTTTATTATAAACATAAAGTGCACATCTGAAGTAAGCAGGCTAGAATGACCAGAACAGGGTCCAGCCTAAGAGAGCTGCCTGATAAAGCACAGGAAGCTCCAAGGTACATGACCAGGAGACACCACTTAGGGCATGATCGTCTATAGATCCTAACCTTTAGGAAAGCAAAACTTTTAAAGAGTTAAAACTGGAAATAACTCAAATGTTTATGAACTGCTGAATGGATAAACAAAGTATATATCCATACATAGAATACTACTCTGTAAATAAAAGGAACAGACTACTGGCTGGGCACAGTGGCTCACGCCTGCAATCCCAGCTCTTTGGGAGGCCAAGGCAGGAGGATCACTTAACCCCCGGGGTTTGAGACCAGCCTAGGCAACCTAATGAGACCCTCGTTTCTACGAAAAATTTTAAAAATTAGCCAGGTGTGATTGTGCATGCCTGTAAGTCCCAGCTACTTGAGAGGCTAAGGTAGGAGGATCGCTTGAGCCTGGGAGGTTGAGGCTGCAGTGAGCCATGTTCACGCCACTGCATTTCAGCCTAGTTGACAGAGCTAGACCCTGTCTCAACAAAAAAGAACAATGAAAAAAACTACAGATACAGGTAACAATATGGATGAATTTCAAAAGTATTAAATAGTGAAACAGTCACACACAAAAGACTACATACTATATGACAAATTAACAAAATTCTAGAAAAAGCAAAAACCATAGTGAAAGAAAGCAGGTTAGTGGTTGGGAAAAGAAAACTGACCATAAAGGAGCACGGAGGTACTTTTTAGGATAATGGAGATACTCTACAACATGATTTTGGTGGTTACATAATTCCAACACTTGTCAAAATTCACAAAATTGTACTCTTACTTAAAATACAAGGGCCGGGCACAGTGGCTCACACCTGTAATCCCAGCACTTTGGGAGGCCCACGCAGGCAGATCACTTGAGGTCAGGAGTTCGAGAGCAGCCTGACCAACATGGTGAAACCCCGTCTCTACTAAAAATACAAAAATTACCCAGGCGTGGTGGCACACACCTGTAATCCCAGCTACTCAGGAGGCTGAGGCACAAGAATTGCTTGAACCCGGGAGACGGAGGTTGCAGTGAGCCGAGATTGTACCACTGCACTTCAGCCTGGGCAACAGAGCAAGACTCCGTCTGAAAATATAATGATAATAAATAAATTAAAATACAGTAAAATAAAGGGGATACATATAATTATATACCCAAGGCTTTAAAAAGATAACTCAAAATGGAAAGCACCTACTTTAAAAAAATCTTGATCACCCTTCAAAATCATTATTGCTAGATGAGAAAAACATAGGTACCTAAAGAAATACAAAATACTATGGATATATGGTTTGGTTGTGTCCCCACCAAAATCTCATCTTGAATTGTAGTTCCCATAATCCCCACATGGGAGGGACCCGATGGAAGGTAATTGAATCATGGGGCGGTTACCCTCCTGCTGTTCTGGTGACAGTGAGTTTTTACAAGATGGTTTTATAAGGGGCTCATCCCCCTCTTTGCTCTCATTCTCTTTCCTACCACCATATGAAGAAGGGCATGTTTGCTTCCCCTTCCACCATGACTGTAAGTTTTCAGAGGCACCCCCAGCCCTGTGAAACTGTGAGCCAATTAAACCTCTTTGCTTTATAAATTACCTAGTCTTGGGTATGTCTCTATTAGCAGCATGAGAATGGACTAATACAGTAAATTGGTACTGCAGAGAGTGGGGTGCTGCTATAAGGATACCCAAAAATGTGGAAGCAACTTTGGAGCTGGGTAACAGGCAGAGGTTGGAACAGTCTGTAGGGCTCAGAAGAAAACAGGAAAATGTGGGAAAGTTTGGAACTTCCTAGAGACTTGTTGAATGGCTTTGACCAAAATGCTGATAGTGATTTGGATAATGAAGTCTAGGCTGCACTGGTCTCAGACAGAGATAATAAACTTTTTAGAACTGAAGCAAAGGTCACTCTTGTTATGGTTTAGCAAAGACACTGGCAACATTCTGCCCCTGCCCCAGAGATCTGTGGAACTTTGACCTTGAGAGGGATGGTTTGAAATTGGAACTTATATGTAAATGGGAAGTAGCACATAAAAGTTTGGAAAATTTGCAACCTGACGATGCTATAAAAAAAGAAAAACCCATTTTCTGAGGAGAATTTCAAGCAGCCTGCAGAAACTTGCATAAGTAACGAGGAGCCAAATGTTCATCACCAAGATAATGGGAAAAATGTCTCCAGGGCATGTCACAGATCTTCAGGGCAGCCCCTACCATCACAGGCCCAGAGGCCTAAGAGGAAAAAATGGTTTTGTGGGCTGGGCCCAGGCCCTCGCTGCTTTGTGCAGTCTTGAAACTTGGTGCCCTGTGTCCCACCGTGGCTAAAATGGGCCAACGGATAGCTCAGGCTGTTGCTTCAGAGTGTGCAAGCCCAAGCCTTGGCAGCTTACATGTGATGTTGGGCCTGTGGGTGCATAAAAGTAAGGAATTGAGGTTGGGGAACCTCTGCCTAGATTTCAGAGGATGTATGAAAACACCTGGATGTCCAGGCAGAAGTTTGCTGCTAGGGCAGTATGGAAAAGAAATGTGGGGCTCTACACTTCCCTACTGGGGCACTGCCTAGTGGAGCTGTGAGAAAAGGGCCACCATCAACCAGACCCCAGAATAGTAGATAAACCAACAGCTTGCACCGTGTGCCTGGAAAAGCTGCAGATACTCAACACCAGCCATGAAGGCAGCCTGGAGGGGGGCTGTACCCTGCAAAGCCACAGGAGTCCACCTCTTGCATCAGTGTGACCTAGATATGAGACATGGAGTTAAAGGAGATCATTTTGGAACTTTAAGGTTTAATGACTGTCCTATTGGATTTCGGACCTGCATGGGGCCTGTAGCCCCTTTGTTTTGGTCCATTTCTCCCATTTGGAATGGCTGTATTTACCCAATGCCTGTATCCCCATTGTATCTAGGAAGTAACTAACTTGCTTTTGATTTTACAGGCTCATAGGTGGAAGGGACTTGCCTTGTCTCAGATGAAACTTGGACTTAGACTTTTGAGTTAATGCTACAATGAGTTAAGACTTTGGGGAACTGTTGGAAGGGCATGGTTATGTTTTGAAATGTAAGGACATGAAATTTGGGAGGGGCTAGGGGTGGAATGATATGGTTTGGCTGTGTCCCCATCCAAATCTCATCTTGAATTGTAGTTCCCATAATCCCCATGTGTTGTGAGAGGGACCCAGTGGGAGGTAACTGAATCATGGGGCAGGTTACCTTCATGCTGTTCTCATAATACTGAGTGAGTTCTCATGAGATGGTTTTACAAGGGGCCTCCCCACCTTCGGTCTCATTCTTCTCCCTCCTCTTGCCATGTGAAGAAGGACACATTTGCTTCCCCTTCTGCCATGATTGTAAGTCTCCTGAGGCCTCCCAGCCCTGTGGAACTGATTCAATTAGACCTCTTTCCTTTATAAATTACCCAGCCTCGGGTATGTCTTTATTAGCAGTGTGAGAATGGACTAATATATATGGCCTTAGCTTTCTTGTAATTCAAATGATAAAGGAAAAGTACAGAATTTTTAAAAAGGACATACAACAAAACATGACTGCAAAAGGAACATCAAGAAGTTAATAGGAATTAAGAGGACTTAAAATCATATGAAAAACCAGTTCCAATTAACAAACACCAAATAATGAAACAGTATCAAGATAGGTGAAGCTTCAGGCCAGGTGCGGTGGCTCACATCTATAATCCCAGCACTTTGGGAGGCTGAGGTGGGAGGATCACCTGAGGTCAGGAGTTTGAGACCAGCCTGGTCAACATGGTGAAACCCCATCTCTACTAAAAATACAAAAAAAAAGAAAAATTAGCCAGGCGTGGTGGCATGCTCCTGTAGTCCCAGCTACTCAGGAGGCTGAGGCAGGAGAATCGCTTGAGCCTGGGAGGTGGAGGTTGCAGTAAGCCAAGATCACGCCACTGCACTCCAGCCTGGGCAACAGAGCAAGACTCCATCTCAAGGAAAAAAAAAAAAAGATAGGCAAAGCTTCTAATACTATCTTACAAAATTCTGTTTAGCCCTATTCTGTTCAATATTTCTTCAAATTAAGAATAAAGCTATAACAAGAATGCTCAGCGAGGTGTGGTGGCTCATGCTTGTAATCCCAACACTTTAAAAGGCTGAGGCAGGAGGATCACTTGAACACAGGAGTGGGCAACATAGTGAGACCCTGTCTCTCTAAAAAATAGTAATAAAAGAAAATAAAGAAAATAGAATGTCTATAGGCATTCTAAAAGCATCAACACAATAAAAAGATGGGCTGTACTCAGCAGCGAAAAGTTCATAAGGATAGATATTAGGCTCAAAAGAATCAAGTACAAAAATACAGATGAAGAAATCAGCCTAACAGCATTTTATATAATAGCCAACACATTTCAAGTATTTCATGCATTGTTCAAAGCAATTAAAAAATACTCATTTATACAAGTCATCTACTGCACACCTAAAACATGCAACTCTCAAGCATCGCAGATTATATCGGTGAACAAACGTAAGCTTATATTTTAGTGGCAGAAGGCAAACAAAACTCAAAACGAAAACTAGTATAGTAAATGCAATGGGTAATAATAAAGAAGAAAAGTTGATAGGAAGCCTATATATACTATGATTATTAAACAGGATGGTCAGAAAAGGCCTCAGAGAGGCAGAGTCTTGAGCAGACCTGGAAGAGGTGAGGTAATAAACCTACAAGTCATCTACTTGGAAGGCTGTTCCAGGCAGTATACAGAAAGCTTTTTAGGTATAGTGTGCCTGACATGTTTGAGCAACACCAAGAAAGCCAGAGAGGCTGGAGAAGAGTAAACAGAAAAAGGAGACCAAGTCAGATAGGTAACAGGGTGGGAAAAGATAGAAATAATGAAAAGCCTTGCAGGACAGGATATTAACAGGAAGGACTCTGGCTCTTACTCTGAGTGACATGGGAAGTGACTGCACAGTTTTGAGCAGACGTGGAATGATTTGACTTACATTTTTCAATGGTTATTCTGATTACTTTAGATACACTGAAAAGGTAAAACCACTAGATTTGATGAAATGAGGTATGAAAGACAGTTCTAATGGATGACTTCAAGATTTCTATCTTGAGCAACTAAGAAGGTAAAGTTTCCATTAATGACATGAGGAAGACTGCATAGGGGTAAAGATCCAGAGATTTTAGGTTTAGGATATCTATTAAATATCCAAAAGGAAATAATCGTGCATATAATTGGTTGGCCTAAAGTTTGGGGAATATGTGTAGGCTAGATACATAAATGTTGAGGGGTGTCAGTGTACAGGTAGTGAGTAAAGCCATGAGACTGAAGGGAGTGAACACAGACAGAGGAAACATGGAAGAACAGACGACTAGGATACTCCAATAATTTTTAAAGTCACCAGAGAGATAAGAAGGGACCAGAACTCATTTAGTATCCACACATTTAATCTCCATTGACACCTTATAAACTATTATTCTTATTTTGTAGTTGAAGTAGCTGAAACACAGAGAGATGTAACAATTGTCCAGGGACTTTATACCTAAAAAGTTCTAAATCAGGGTTCAAACCCAGGCAATCTGGCCTCAAACTGTATGTAAGACTTTTTAGACTTCCTCTGAAGACTTGTACTATATATCCTGGCTGGCACA